>NW_018654717.1:4859623-5161204 GCF_000001405.40 Homo sapiens
GCCTGGGCCTCAGAGGGCTTCGTGCTCTTCCACTGTGTCTCTGGCTCCTCTGTCCTCCTCCTGACACTGTTTCTACATCCGCTGCTAGCCTGCTGGAGGACGGCGAAGTGGAGCAGAGCCAAGTCAGCCCACTGGGCCTAGCCAAGTCCCCAGATTTGAAAGGGAGCTCAACCAAGATCACCAAAACCACCTAGACTGCCACCACCAACCACAGATGCATAAGTGTGCCCTGCTGAGTCCAGTTCAGATCAACACATCCAGAGCAGTGAGCAAAAATCCGTGTTTATTACATTATACATCTGAGGTGAGCAGTGGTTTATGAAACAGTAATAGCTAACATACAATAACAAATCTCTGCTCAATTTGCACCTCGTCTATGAAGTATTCTTTTCTTTTTTCTTTTTTTTTTTTTTTGAGACTGAGTCTCACTTTATCACCCAGGCTGGAATACAGTGGCGTGATTTTGGCTCACTGCAATTTCCACCCAGGTTCAAGCAATTCTCGTGCCTCAACCTCCCGCGTAGCTGGAATTACAGGTGCTTGCCACCATGCCCGGCTAATTTTTGTATTTTTAGTAGTAGAGACGAGGTTTCACCATGTTGGCCAGGCTGGTTGCAGACGCCTGACCTCAAGTAATCCACCTGCCTCAGCCTCCCAAGGTGTTGGGATTACAGGCGTGAGCCACTGTGCCCAACTACAAATTATTCTTAACCACTTCAACCATACTGACTTCTTGCTTTTCTGCACACCAGGAAGAACTCACTGACCAAGCCCATGGTTCCCAACTTTTGTTCCAGTAACAAAAACTTTATGTATAACTTTGTGCTATACCTTTAACGCTTGGGAGTTGAAAAAACAAACCATCATGATCACCTGAATTCAGTAACCATTACAAATGAATATTTATTTTCATAATCACATCACTGTATGCACGTGAAAAGAATAGTATGCATATGTATGAGATATTATGTATTCAGTCAAAAAACAATGTGTGGTTCAGCTGGAGATTCAAAGCCTCCTTATTAAACTTGAGTGTTCTTTGGGAGTCTTGGACCCCAGTGATGGAAAACGTTGGTCCTTGCTTGCTTTTTAACATTTACTCATGCAATATTTGGGAATGTGAGTTAAATGTTCTCCCAGGTATCCTGTGACATTGTTCATGTTTCAGAGGAGGGATTCTGTCTTGTCCTTCCCTCGCCCTGTTTAGTGCCCCACCTTGTAGCACATAGAACCATGTTGTGCACACAACAGCATCAGTGTGGATGAGGCTGGTTCCAGCCACCCAGGCCTTGTGCTATTTGGAAGGCTGTACCTTCTAGTCATTAGACAAGCAGGCTCTGCAGTCAATGGGCCTGGGTTCAATACCTGGCTCTGCCACTTACTAGCTCTGTGACCTGGAGCAAGTCACTTACTTAGCCTCTCTGCCTCAGTCTACTTATCTGTAAAATGGGCATATTCTTATATCCTCATTAGCACCCATCATTTAAGGTTCTTGTGAGGATTAAATGAATTAATACATATAAGACACTTAGCTCATTGCCTGGCACATATTAACATGTTAATTTGTTAATATTAACTTATTAGTAATATAATATAAATATTAACTTAAATTATTGTTAATAATGAAGTCCTTAGAAAGAGTACCTGGTGCAAGTAAATGTCATTAAACATTAGATGTTGTTATTAATGTTGGTATTGTTATTATTACTATGAAACCCTCAAAGTCCCTGAAAATTTTTGATTTGTTTAAAAAGACATTTTGCCAATATCATTGCTAAATATATAATCCATGATCTAACTCAGCAAAGCTCCTCAATATGGTAAATTTGGGGCATAACTTTGGTTACTTTTGGTAGGTGGTACTCGATTTCATGTGGGCAGACAGACCATTCTGAGGAAGCAGCCAGCTCCCTTTCTGTGCAGGAGGGAATATCTGACAGGTCCTTGCAAAGTGTTTTTCTGGTCAACATTCTCTTCTGATCCTTGGAGTTGTTCATGCTCACTTTCTATACTGTGAGCCCTTTCACATTCAGGAGAAAGAGAGGTAAAATCTGGGGACACCTAAAAAGGAGGTTTCTAATGTACTGTTGAAATGATACGGTGTCTGGGATTGATTGCTTCAAAATACTTACGAGGTTGAGGACAGGAGAGAGTGAAGCTATTAAACCAGATTGGCCATAGATTAATGACTTGAGATTGGATGATGGATACATGAGATTTCATTTTCTTGTTCTCTCTGCTTTTGTGCATACTTAGCAGTTTCCATAATTAAAAAATTTAAAAAAAACCTGCATGTACCCTGTTGAGAGGGCTAAACAAAGAGATTTCATTGTCTTCTAAGATAATGTATTATATTGTCTCTGAACACTTGCTTTTAGTTAAATGTTTCCTTTTACTTATTCTTACATGAGTCTATTCTTCACCTAAGGTTCATTTCTCACGGCCAATGAAAAAAGAGCCCATGACCCCTTGTATTAGTCCATTTTCACACTGCTGTAAAGAAATACCTAAGACTGGGTAATTTAAAAAGCAAAGAGCTTCAACTGACTCACAGTTCCACGTGGCTGAGAAGGCCTCAAGAAACTTACAATCATGGCAGAAGATGATCCCTCAATACCTGGGGATTACAATTCAAGATGAGATTTGGATGAGGACACAGAGCCAAACCATATCATCCCTCATTCATCCACTCTATAAACACTTATTGAGCAACTACTATGGACGGTGTATAAGATAAAGAATGCTTCTCTTCTCTCTCATGGAGTTTATATTTTACTAGGAAAAATAGAGTACAAGCAAATAAGCAAGAAAAATAACAGATAATGAGAATTTTTATAGAGGTGACAATTTTTATAAAGGTGATCCCTTAAACTGAGGGGTTATCTTAAATTAGATGATCGAGAAAGAGCTCCCACAGGAGATAACACTTAAGCTGAGATCTAAAATTTAAAAGAAGCCATCCATCAAAGGTTGGCAGGAAGAACACTCCAGCCAGAAAGGCCAGGCAGTACAAAAGCTTCAAGGCAGAGCAAGCATGGTGATGTTTCAAAACCGGGAAGATGGTGGCCATGCCGGGTGTATGCTGGGCAAAGGGATTGTGGCTCAAGATGAAAGTAGGACAAGAGAGAGGCAGAGGTCAGTTCAGACTTTGAAATCCAGGGTGAGACTCTTGACTTTTATCCTAAGTGTGTTGGAAAAGGAGCTGGAGGGTTTACAGCAGGGATGTGACATGACCTGGCTTCAGATTTAACAAGAATACTCTGCTGCTGTGAGAGAATGAGGTGCAGCAGGACTTATCGCAGGCAGAGCATGTGGGAGCTTTTATGGCCAGTCTTGGCCAGAGAAGGTACTGTTTTAGAGCAGGGCTACAGCAGGGAGGTGATGAGAAGGGGTCCCATCCAGGCTATTTGAGGAGTGGCATTGACAAGTCTCGCTGCTGGCTGGGGTGGAGGTAGGGGGATGGCGAGGGAAGGACAGGAATAACTTTTGCGTTTGGAACTTGAATGACTGGGTGGATGGAGGTGCTGTTTTCAGAAATAGGAAAGACTGAAAGGAGACCAGTCTTTTTTGGCATTTGCATGGGTAGAGGGAGTGAGGGTGGGAGTCATTTGCATGCGCCAAGTGGTTAATACTAAGTAGCTAAACACAGTTGTCTTAAACTCTGGGTAGCAGCTTCTTTCATTGGCCTGATATGTAGATGTGTCAAGAAAACAGTCACCGTCGCAACAGCTTTTTTGAACATGGCCAAGATTACAACTGCTTCTTAAATAAGTTCACAGGATCAAGTATTTGGTAGGGTTTTCTTTTACAGCCTTATGTGCAACGAAGTACATAAGGAATGCCTTTTCATGAGAGCAATAGTGATAATTCATTGGGGAAAGCCGACATTTATCTTATAAACCACAACAGTGTGATGATGTGTGTAACTGCTGGTTTATTGTCTGTCTCTATCACTAGAACGTAAACTCCCCAGAGGCAGGGCCTTATCTGAAAGGTGGAGAGATGAAGACAAAGAAGTCAGGGACCTCAGGATCTAAGGGAAGAAAAAAGTTGGTGAGTTTCTTTTAGCATCATAGACCTGAGACTAGTAGCTGAAGAAGTAGCTAACCCAGAAACGCAAACAGGTGCAGACAAAAAAAAATTTCCCCCCAAACCTGCTCTCTATAGCCAAAGGAGCAAGAAAGGAGAAGCCTAGCAAGACAGAAAACTTGTAGACAATAACCATGGTACTCCAGCCAAACATGCGGAAAAACTACAGCCTCACCCCATCCATGGTATTAAGGACTAAATATTTGTGTTCCCCCCAAAAAGGAATATGTTGAAATTCTAATACTGTGATGGCATTTGTTGGCAGGGCTTTTGGAAAGTAATTAGAATTAGATAGAGTCATGAGGCTGGAGTATTTATCAATAGGGTTAGTGCCCTTGGAAGAGCTTGCTGGCTTCTCTGCACCACGTGAGGATACAGCAGGAAATGGGCCATCTGCAATCCGGAAGAGTCCTCATTGGAACCCGGTGATGCTGGCACTGTGACCTCAGGGTTCCAACCTTGGAACCATGAGAAATAACTTCTGTTGTTTATAAGCCACTCAGTCTATGGTAATTTGTTATAGCAGCCTGAAATGACTAAGACACACACCAGTACATCCAAGTGGAGAGCCAGACTTCCACCCACACGAGACTGTCTCAAGGTGCTCCAACACCTCCCCTGTAGGGAGCATCTGAGACAGTCAAACAGAGCCTGTCATAAGGCCACCTCGTGGTATCTGTGGAGAATGTCAGGAGAGTCTTGCCTTTCTCCTCCACCAGCAATAACAAAGCGCCTGTCCTCCTACCATCTGGGTGGCGTCAGAGGGATATTCTAGTGGAGACTCGGGACTTTCAAGATTTACCATCAACAATGAGGTCAGCTCTACCTCAGTATCAGTGGAGACCACAAACACAGCTGAAAATTCCTCTTCCATCCAACCGTAACAAGGAGCATCCCCACCCCCAAACTTGGGTGTCAATGAAGGATGGGTGGAGAACCTGGATTTCTTCCTCTACCTGGCAGTAAGAGACTCCTGTTTTCCTACTGAAGTAGTGTTGAAAAACAAAACAAAACAAAACAAAACACAGCTCAAACAGAAGGTTTAAATAAGATCCAGGGGCTCACAACATAGTAAAAAAATATCCAGGTTTCGAAAGAAAAACACTCATCATACCAATAAGCAGGAATAATTGTAAATGAATTAAAAAGTAGAATCAAACTAAGCATGATGGCTCATGCCTGTAATCCCAGCACTTTGGGAGGCCGAGGCAGAAGAATGGCTTGAGCCTAGGAGTTCAAGACGAGCCTGGGCAACATAGCAAGACCTCATCTGTACGACAAACAAACAAACAAACAAAAATAGAATCGACAGATGTCAACATTGAGATGACAGAAATGTTGAAATTATCTGACAAGGATTTTAAAGCAGTCATTGTAAAAATATTTCAAGAACACACTTGAAACAAATTAAAAAATAGAAGGCCCAGCAAAGAAATAGAAGATATAAAGAAAAAACAAACAGAAATTTTAGAACTAAAAAATACAATAACTGAAATAAAATTATCCATGATGGGCTTAATAGCAGAATAGAGGGTATGAAAGAATAATGCAGTGAGCTGAAGGAACAGTAGATGTTATGCAATCTAAACAAGACAGAGAAAATAAACTAGAATTCAATTAACAGAGTTTCAGGGACCTGTGGTCTCTAACAGAACAGTAACATTCAGGTCATTGGTGTTCCAAGAAAAGAAGAAGGACGATGGGGCTGAAAATGTATTTAAAGAAATAATGGCAGAAAACAGAAATCTACAGATTTAAGAGCCTAAGTGTAACTCAAACACACACCCCCACAAAGTTCCATGCACAGACACGTCATAATTAGACTTCTGAAAATTAGAGGAAATGAAAAAGTAAACCTTGAAATCAGCAGAAGAGAAATAAGATCTCACCTACAGGAGAAAAACAATTAGAATGGCAGCATAGTTCTTATCAGAAATCTTAGAGCCAGAAGGAAGTGGCACAAGGCTGGTTCATGTTTTGAAAAATCTGTTAATGTAATCCACCTTCTTAACAGGCTAAAGAAGAGAAAGTATATGATTATATCAATCAATGCACCGAAAAGGCATTTGACAAAATTCAGCATCTGTCTGATAAAAACCCTCAGAAAATTAATAATAGAAAGAAATTTCCTCAACTTGATAAAGATTATCTGTAAAAAGCCTGCAGCTAACATTACACTTACTTAATGGTAATGAATTGTTAGCAGTGTAGGGAATTAGAGGCAGTAGAATTGCAGAGTGCCCGTAGCTGAAGGAGTGACTTAAAGGCCGCCTAATTATCCTTCTCACTTTTTAGGCAGAAAACCAGCGTCTAGAGCTCTCTAATATCACGACAGTGCCAGATGCACGTTTCCACATTCTCAACAACTGTTTTTCTTCATCTACATATTTCCCCTCAGCATTTGATGTCTAATCTCAGAAGAATAAAGAATATAATACTTCCAAGCACAGTGGCTCACGCCTGTAATCCTAGCACTTTGGGAGGCCGAGGCAGGTGGAGCACCTGAGGTCAGGAGTTCAAGACCAGCCTGGCCAACATGGTGAAACCCCGTCTCTACTAAAAGTACAAAAATTAGCTGGGCATGGTGGCACGTGCCTGTAGTCCCAGCTACTAGGAAGGCTGAGGCATGACAATCACTTGAGCCCGGGAGGTAGAGGTTGCAGTGAGCTGAGACTGAGATCACACCACTGCACTCTAGCCTGGGTGACACAGCAAGACTCTGTCTCAAAACAACAACAACAACAACAAACATATATATATATATATAAAATACTGTATGTTCATAATTTGCTTCTATGAGAAATATTAGACTATAAGTCCCTGGAGGGTAAAATTTCTGCTTTTTGTTTTTTTGTTGTTGTTGTTTTTTAGAGACAGGGTCTTGCTATTTTGCTCAGGCTGGATTCGAACTCCCGAACTTAGGGATCCTCCCACCTCAGCCTCCGGATTACAAAGATTACAGGCACTGGGATTATAGGCACCTGCCTCGAAATTCAGCTTTGGTATTCATTGTGTATACCATCTAGCTCAGTCCCATGTGTGGTCATTGAATACACTCACATTTGAATGGATAATATGAGCATTTATCCCTTCTTTCTTAAGGCGAGTGCTGGTGATTTTTCTTGATGAGGGCCTGCATGACATTTGCATTTCTCAGAAGGGAGTAGCTACACAGAGATAGTTCTGGGCAGAACTGCCAAGCAAAACTTTTGGATGAGCCCTGGCCTGTGCACTCGGCAGGTTCGCTTTCTCACAGTCAGCTCATCCAGGGGCAGTTTGATCTCCTCCCGAGCAGGGTTCTTAAAGCTAAGGGGTGGTTCCACACTGCTGGCAGAAAGGCATTTTTCTCCTAACTGCCTACTTTTTAACTGATTGACTTAGGGTCCAACCAATTTGCAGCACAGTGACAAGCAGGAAAAAAAAAAAAAAAAGCACATAGTCACACGTATACACATTTTACAAATTTGCTAAGGACACTGTTTGAAGTTGATTTCTACTTGGACATTCCAAGCCAACTGAGAGCCTCTCAGGTGTTTTGACATCCACGGGCATAACTGCTAATTATCGACTTTGATTTGAGTCTTTTTTAATTCCCTCAAAGCTATCGGCTCATGCAACTTCTCTGAGAATTTGAAATGCATCATCCAGGTGAGTTTGAAAGGGGGTCACCGTCCTCAAGAAAACAAGCGTATGAATAGTCCTCGTGGAAAAAAAAATCTCACACTTTCCAGATATCAGATCTTAAAGGATAAGAAGCCTTAAAATTATTTACGGTGATTGGTGTGAGATTTTTAAAGCCTGGCTATGTCTGTGACTATCAGAGGGCCCAGCCTCTTCACCCACTCTGGGAGCACAAAGTGACAGAGATATGGGGCAACACAAATATGAAATGGAAATGATGCTTGTGATTGCCATCTGGCAATACTTATTACACGACGTAGCCCAGAACGTCACAGAACAAATCACTTAGCCCAAGAAAAGCATTCAGATCAGGAGCAGCTGGTTGGGGTGTGTGTTTCCCCATTACAAAACTCACAGAGTTCGGTGAGTCCTGATTGGTACCTCCCACTGTGTGTGGTTCCTCCCAGGGGAAGCAGGTTAAGGAAGGGTAGACAAATAAGCATCAACTTCTTATCCCATGAGCAAGCTAGCCAGGGGTCCTTTTGTACATGAAAAGCAACCTGTCCCTTTTTTTCTTCTAGTTTCAGAAAATTATTTTAGGAATGAGCTCTCACTATGTCACCCAGGATAGAGTGCAGTGGCTCTCCATATGCATGATCATAGTGCACTACAGCCTGGAACTCCCAGCCTCAAGCAATCCTCCAGCCTCAGCCTCTCAAGTAGCTGGGATTACAGGTGCACACCACTATGCCCATCCCGTTCCTTTTTGTAATCCCCAAAGCAACTATTGCTAAAGAAAGATGTCTGTGAAAGAGACAGCTCCAGCCAGGACGGTAGTTCGGAGTGTCTGGGCTCAGTTTCCAATCGCAGATGATTGCAAAGCATTCCTTCTCCCCTTCATCTTCCAAACTCCTGGATGATGAGCTAGTATAGTAGAGGAAGATGAAACTGGTGGACTGCTGCCCAGACAGAAAATCTTAAAGGACCATATTGCCCTTTGCTGAGGCTCCATTACCACTGAGATGCATTCCTTCACCCATTCATCTTCCAAACTCCCAAATGATGAGGTAATATAATAGAGGAAGATGAGATCGGTGGACTGCTGCCCAGACAAAATCTTAGAGGCCCATATTGCCCTTTGCTCAGGCTCCGTTACCACTGAGATGACTGGAACCTTGGATGGTAGCTGGTTTCACAGTGAGGGCCTTTGATGTGGTGCACAACTGTTTCTTTGAAACCATCATAGTGCATTCCTTTTTTTTTTTTTTTTTTTTTTCAGAGAAACACAGCAGAAGGCATAGCAAGTCCATGCCCATCCCTTCTTCCCAGAGGTAACATTAAGCTGGTGAATATTTCAGCAGCCCTCTGGCCATGTCTCCTTTGACTTCTGCACAGGACTAAACAAGTGAGAACAAAATCAGAAAAAAAGTTAGTGCACACACAGACCTTGTCTTCTGTGATAACTCAGAAAAAAATAGAATGTGAGGAGTAGAATTACGCAAAAGCACTGACTCATTTTTAAAAACTTTTTCTGTGTATTTCATATCAAACTATAATTTATTAACATGGCAGTACACAAATCACAAGTAGCTAAGTGGATTTTGACAAATGCACACTGCTGTAACAATCTTCCAGTTAGTCATTATTTTTAAGTGCTCAGATTTCTAAAAGCAACATTAATGGGCTAACCTAGTTTCTCCATTGTTCTCAACTGAACCTGTAATTTTTTTTCTTGAAAAGTCAGATCTTGGAGAAGTTGATAAACAGAGAAGGGATAACAACCTCCTGTTTCTTCATTGGACAAGAGTTTTATGAGTTTGAGCTAGGTAAGAACCCACCCTTCAGAGAGAAATCAAATCTTTGAGTAAGCCAAAGTTTCTTTAACTTTCGGTATTACAGAAATCTTTTTTTTTTTTTTTCTTTTTTTGAGACAGAGTTTCACTCTTGTTGCCCAGCCTGGAGTGCAATGGCGCAATCTCGGCTCACTGCAACCTCTGCCTCCCTGGTTCAAGCGATTCCTGCCTCAGCCTCCTAAGTAGCTGGGATTACAGGTGCCTGTCACCATGCCCAGCTAATTTTTGTATTTTTAGTAGAGACAGGGTTTCACCGTATTGACCAGACTGGTCTCAAACTGCTGACCTAAGGTGATCCACCCACCTCGGCCTCCCAAAATGCTGGGATTATAGGCATGAGCCACCGCTCTCGGCCAGTTTTTGGTATTATAGAAATCTTGAAGCAAGTCTTTAAAAAAAAAATACTCTTTCTACTTTTTAATTGAATTTCCGATAATTTTTATTTGACCAATTTCCTCCCCCCAACCTATTAAGAAAACAAAACTGTGACCTTAAAAAGAAAAGTCTGAAGAGCTCTGAATGCTACTAATTTCAAAAAGAAATATTATTTTTGATGTGTAATTTTGATTCAATATGGCATTGAATTTTAGGCAGTGCTTTCTAAATCCGAAAACATTAGGCTTATTTGAGGCAGTTATTAAAAATGTAGCCCCACCTTAAGCCAGTCAAATTAGAATCTCTGAGAAGTTGTATTACACCAGATGATTCTGAAATCAGGGCTCCTAGAACAGTTTGAGAAACTCAAAGTTAAGAGGACATAGGCAACAGGCCTAATGAATATCTAGAAGTGCCTAAAACTATACAAAAGTATTGTGTTTTTCCTTTTTTTTTTTTTTTTTTTTCTTTTTGAGACAGAGTCTCACTCTGTCACCCAGGATGGCGTGAAGTGGCACAATCTTGGCTCACTGCAACCTCTGCCTCCCAGGTTCAACTGATTCTCCTCGTGCCTCAGCCTCCCGACTAGCTGGGACTACTGGTGCTGGCTACCACACCTGGCTATTTTTTTTTTTTTTTTTTTTTTCTTTCTTTCTTTCTTTCTTTCTTTCTTTCTTTCTTTCTTTCTTTCTTTCTTTCTTTCTTTCTTTCTTTCCTTTTTTTTTGTATTTTTAGTAGAGACGGGGTTCTACCATGGTGGCCTGGCTGGTCTCGAACTCCTGACCTCAGGTGATCCACCCGCCTCAGCCTCCCAAAGTGCAGGGATTATAGGCGTGAGCCTCTGCACCTGGCTTCTTTCCTTTTTAATTACATCAGTGTCACCTTGATGGGTAGGCTCTGGTCATGGTCAGCTGTGCAGTCCACGGTTTGAAATCACTCAAGGGCAACATGATTATAGGGTTAACTTTCAGCCTCATACACCAGACTTAAATCCCAACTCTACCGCTTACTCGCTGTGTGACCTTGGGCAAGTTGCTGACCTCTCTGTACCTTCATTCTTTCATCTATTAAAATGAGAGTGACATTTTTGGAATCTGTTAATAAATTTTTTTACAACTTATTCAGGATTCTGGAACTCATTCTGAGTTCTTGATCCTTATCAGGATCAAAGAGGGGCGAGGATAACACCTACTTCATGAACTGTTAACAATTAAATGAGTGAATACTGCTGATCCTCTTAATTCTGCATTTGTGATCTTGCCTACTTGCTAACATTTATTTGTGACTCCCAGATCAATACCTAGGACACTTTTGTGGTCATTTGTGGACACGTGCAGAGCTGCAAGCATGTGTGTCACCAACATGCATGTTCCCAGCTGTGGCTGAACAAGGTTACCCTCTGCCCTACTATTTCAGCTCTCAGTTTGTAAACACGTCTTTTTTGCAGTCTATTTAGTACACATTTATTGCACGTTTGTACTTTTTGTTAGTCATTTTTCTATCTGAAATGGGCCCCAGGCATGGCGCTGAAGTGCCGCCCCGTGTTCCTAAGCACAGAAAGTTGGGACGTGCCTTACAGAGAAAATATGTGTGTTTGGAAAAGCTTAGTTCATGCATGAGTTATAGTGTTGTGGGCTGTGATTTCAATGTTAATGAGTCAACAATATATGTGAAATAAGATGTCTTTAGACAGAAGCTCATAGAAAGCCAAATTATGTACTGACCTGTTAACAAAACATTGTGACCTTCTGCTCATACAAACCTCACTCTGGCTCTCCCCTAGGAGCAATGGTTCAGTATTTGTTAACTCAGTGTTTGCTGAGAATCTATAGAACATAACTACATACCAGGCGTGGTGGCTCGCACCTGTAATCCCAGCACTTTGGGATGCCCAGGTGGGTGGATCACTTTAGGCCGGGAGTTCGAGACTAGCCTGGCTGACATGGTGAAGCCCCATCTCTACTAAAAATACAAAAATTAGCTGGGCGTGGTGGCAGGCACCTGTAATCCCAGCTACTTGGGAGGCTGAGGCAGGAGAATTGCTTGAACCTGAGAAGCGGAGGTTGCAGTGAGCTGAAATCATGCCATTGCACTCTAGCCTAGGTGACAAGAGTGAAACTCCATCTCAAAAATAAAAAAGAAAAAAAAGAACATAACTATGGCAACTAATGAGAATTGATTGTGTATGTAAAACACAGTGCTGCCAGGCACATAGTGACTGTTCTAGAAGTGTTTGTTAAATGAAGAATATCTGATGGAGTTTGTAGGGAGGCCAGATCCCATCTGCAGGGAGCTATACAACCCAGTAGAAAGCAGATAGACTGGGTAGTTCCAATGTCCTTCTGATGAAGGAGACCGGGGTCCAGGATGAAGGGAACTGCAGTGGGTCAAGGCAGATCTGGTGGGTGGAATCTCAGGTCTCGGGCCTTCTTACAAGCACTGATGCTGCTTTCACCAGGGTCAGAGGTGTCGGTGGGAGGGGCTGGTGCCGTGTGACAATCTGGTGCCTGATCCAGCTAAGGACCCAAATTACCAGGAGGGCTTTAGAAATATTTGCTGAGGCGTATTTCTCAGCCTCACCTCAGAACTTCTAAATCAGTTTTTCCAGAGCTAGAAGCAGACATCTGTATCCTTAAGCAGCTTCCAACACCAGTCGGCAGGTAGTATTTGGGTTCTACTCTCATCATGGAAAGAACTCTTTCTTTGGAGTAGGACCAGCCTGGCTCCAAATCCAGCTACATGGCCCTGGGGTAGGTGACTGAAAGTCAGTGAGCCTGAGTTTCTTCCCCTGTAAAATGAGGATGGTAACTCCAACCTTGGGGCCTCCTTTTCTTTTCTTTTCTTTTCTTTTTTTTTTTTTGAGACAAATTCTCACTCTGTCACCCAGGTTGTAGTGTAATGGCACGATCTCGGCTCACTGCAACCTCCGCCTCCCAGTTTCGAACAATTTTCCTGCTTCAGCCTCCTGAGTAGCTGAGATTACAGGCATGTACCACCATGCCTGGCTCATTTTTGTATTTTTAGTAGAGGCGAGATTTCACCATGTTAGCCAGGCTGGTCCCAAACCCCTGACCTCAAGTGCTCCACCTACCTGGGCCTCCCAAAATGCTGGGATTACAGGCATGACCCACTGTGCCCAGCCCAGGTCTCATCTTTGAGAATAAACTAGAGTGAACGTAAATTGTCAGATCCAATATCTGGTATGTTGTAGACATCCAATACACGTTGGGCCGACCTTCCTTCTTGTTGGTTCAGCTCTGACTGCTATTTCCACATTCTTCCTTTATCTGTGAAAGTGGCATTCGTCCAGAAGGGATTGGATTCTTTTCCAGCAGGGTGGAAAGTTAGAGCCAATCCGCTCACCTTCCTTCTCCTCCTCCTCCCACTGGCTGGGCTCACAGGTTTGGTGTAGAACATACGAATGCAAGGGCACCCGGGCAAGGGCCAGGAGCACTCAGCCTGGTCTCACTGTCCTTGTGGTTTCTGTGACGCAGGGACACCTGCCACAGGCTGCATTGTTGGTTCGAATGGGAACGGGAAGGAAGCATTCCTCCCTTGGGTCTGATGTCAGCCTTCCTTGGGAACTTGATCTGGAGCCCCTGGAGCTTTTGCAGATGCTATCGGTGGGCTGAGTAAATGCACACAGGCCAGGTGGGGAGCGCGGGTGCCAGAGCTCAGGTGGTCACTGCCTCGCGGGCATCCTCCACCACCAGCTGCATCTTTCCCAGGGTCATCCGCAGGCCCTCCAGGCTACATCTGTTCGCCACTGTTCGGAATGCAGGCCCCAGGTCCCTGAGCAATGAGTCTACAGGATGATGAACTGTCCTTAGTGAGAAGACCGTTCAGCCTTCTTCCTTTCCTCCCCTTCCATCTCTGACACTTGGTCCAAAACTGCCTCTCTTCCTGTTCCTTTCCAGTCTCTCCTCCAACTCCCACCCCATCTCCAAGTTGAAGCTTCTCTCCAGTTTGCTTTGGGTTATTCCCAGCCTTTCTCCTTCATGTTATTGCTGGACCTGTGCTAAAGGCTCGGCAAACAGGAAAGCCTCCCTTTCTAGTGGCAAAGCCATAACCCTCTGATAAAAGTAATTTCCCTCTGATTCCCTGGTTGTTAACTTGCAAAAAGATGTCAGTTTCCTGGCAGACTGAGATGAAGTCCCAGATGGCTTCCCTTCTGTTCCCCTTGACTGGGCTTGGCCTCAGTCAGTGTCCAGAGCTTCTTGAAGTTCAGTCCTGACCATTAGAAGGCAAGCATCGTATGATCTGTCATCAAGGTGCTTTCAAGTCAAGTGGAATTTTCCTAAACTTTCAAGTCTGTTCCATTGCTGTCATCCACGCTGATTGAAGAATGTGGACAGCTATGCTGGATTGGAGAGAGCTGAAGGGCAGTTCATGAACACGTGGACTGTATTACCTGACATTTCTTGAGTGCTTACTCTGTGTCCAGCTCTGTTGTGTTATATATGAATGAATTCATTTACTATTTTCAACATTCAAGGAATTAGGTACTATTAGAATTAGGTATAATCCTAATTTTATGGATGACAATATTGAGACATGGAGGAATTAAATAATTTGAACAAGATCTCAAAGCTTGGAAGCAGCAGCAGCAATCAGAAACCAAATTGAATGTCCCCAGAGCCAGGGCTCGTAGTCGCCATGCTGGGCTGGGCTCTACTTTGCATTTTTGCAGCTGAGACACCACTGAGTCTTAGAGTTCCTGAGACCCTAGGAATAGCCAGGGAAGTAGAAGGTACCAAGTTTATGGGGCACCAAGTTACCCTGCCTCTACCTGCCTTCCCCAGTATCTGCTGCAACCACAGCCCTTCTGCTTTTATCTGGTATAGATGATGGACATCCATACAAGTCTTAACTTGAAAGGGGGGATCCGAGGGAAGTATGTGGCTCATCAGACTGGGTTCCATCGGAAAGGAACTGTTAGATTTGTGTTCCTAACTCTGGCACCTAGTCAGAGGTCTGGCAAGGGGTCGCTTCCTTAACAACTGTTTGTTGGATGAGCAAACAGAGAAGTTTCCTGGCCCTGCCTTCTTCTCCTTTTTAGAGATGAAGAAATGAGGCCAAGCATAGTAGCTCATGCTTGTAATCCCAGCAGTTTGGGAGGCCAAGGTGGGTGGATCACCTGAGGTCAGGAGTTCGAGACCAGCCTGGCCAACATGGTGAAACCCTGTCTCTACTAAAAACACAAAAATTAGCCGGGCATGGTGGTGGACACCTGTAATTCCAGCTACTTAGGAGGCTGAGGCAAGGAGAATCACTTGAATCCGGGAGGCGGAGGTTGCAGTGAACCAAGATCGCACCATTGCACTCCAGCCTGGGCAACAAGAGCAAAACTCAGTCTAAAAAAAGAGAGAGAGAGAGAGAGAGAGAGAGAGAGAGATGGAGAAACGAGCATAGAGAGAGGAAGAGTGTGACCAAGTGGCCAAAGGCGGCCAGCATGATTCTGGAAGTGACCCTGCGCTCACTGCGCTCCTCAACCAACGAGCTCCATAGGTTTCAGGGGCCTCACTTGCAAACTCTAGGGTTCGGATTACAAAACCTCAAGTTCTAGTACACCTTTAAGTTTCTGTGTGTCAACAGTCAGGATGCCAGAACCGGGAGCCAGCTCAGCATCGGAGGTGTCAATCACATCTCTTTTTTTTTTTTTTTTTAATTTTTTTTTTATTATACTTTAAGTTTTAGGGTACATGTGCACATTGTGCAGGTTAGTTACATATGTATACATGTGCCATGCTGGTGCGCTGCACCCACCAACGTGTCATCTATCATTAGATGTATCTCCCACTGCTATCCCTCCCCACTCCCCCGACCCCACCACCGTCCCCAGAGTGTGATATTCCCCTTCCTGTGTCCTTGTGATCTCATTGTTCAATTCCCACCTATGAGTGAGAATATGCGGTGTTTGGTTTTTTGTTCTTGCGATAGTTTACTGAGAATGATGGTTTCCAATTTCATCCATGTCCCTACAAAGGACATGAACTCATCATTTTTTATGGCTGCATAGTATTCCATGGTGTATATGTGCCACATTTTCTTAATCCAGTCTATCATTGTTGGACATTTGGGTTGGTTCCAAGTCTTTGCTATTGTGAATAATGCCACAATAAACATACGTGTGCATGTGTCTTTATAGCAGCATGATTTATAGTCCTTTGGGTATATACCCAGTAATGGGATGGCTGGGTCAAATGGTATTTCTAGTTCTAGATCCCTGAGGAATCGCCACACTGACTTCCACAATGGTTGAACTAGTTTACAGTCCCACCAACAGTGTAAAAGTGTTCCTATTTCTCCACATCCTCTCCAGCACCTGTTGTTTCCTGACTTTTTAATGATTGCCATTCTAACTGGTGTGAGATGATATCTCATAGTGGTTTTGATTTGCATTTCTCTGATGGCCAGTGATGATGAGCATTTCTTCATGTGTTTTTTGGCTGCATAAATGTCTTCTTTTGAGAAGTGTCTGTTCATGTCCTTCGCCCACTTTTTGATGGGGTTGTTTGTTTTTTTCTTGTAAATTTGTTTGAGTTCATTGTAGATTCTGGATATTAGCCCTTTGTCAGATGAGTAGGTTGCGAAAATTTTCTCCCATGTTGTAGGTTGCCTGTTCACTCTGATGGTAGTTTCTTTTGCTGTGCAGAAGCTCTTTAGTTTAATTAGATCCCATTTGTCAATTTTGGCTTTTGTTGCCATTGCTTTTGGTGTTTTGGACATGAAGTCCTTGCCCACGCCTATGTCCTGAATGGTAATGCCTAGGTTTTCTTCTAGGGTTTTTATGGTTTTAGGTCTAACGTTTAAATCTTTAATCCATCTTGAATTGATTTTTGTATAAGGTGTAAGGAAGGGATCCAGTTTCAGCTTTCTACATATGGCTAGCCAGTTTTCCCAGCACCATTTATTAAATAGGGAATCCTTTCCCCATTGCTTGTTTTTCTCAAGTTTGTCAAAGATCAGATAGTTGTAGATATGCGGCATTATTTCTGAGGGCTCTGTTCTGTTCCATTGATCTATATCTCTGTTTTGGTACCAGTACCATGCTGTTTTGGTTACTGTAGCCTTGTAGTATAGTTTGAAGTCAGGTAGTGTGATGCCTCCAGCTTTGTTCTTTTGGCTTAGGATTGACTTGGCAATGCGGGCTCTTTTTTGGTTCCATATGAACTTTAAAGTAGTTTTTTCCAATTCTGTGAAGAAAGTCATTGGTAGCTTGATGGGGATGGCATTGAATCTGTAAATTACCTTGGGCAGTATGGCCATTTTCACGATATTGATTCTTCCTACCCATGAGCATGGAATGTTCTTCCATTTGTTTGTGTCCTCTTTTATTTCCTTGAGCAGTGGTTTGTAGTTCTCCTTGAAGAGGTCCTTCACATCCCTTGTAAGTTGGATTCCTAGGTATTTTATTCTCTTTGAAGCAATTGTGAATGGGAGTTCAGTCATGATTTGGCTCTCTGTTTGTCTGTTGTTGGTGTATAAGAATGCTTGTGATTTTTGTACATTGATTTTGTATCCTGAGACTTTGCTGAAGTTGCTTATCAGCTTAAGGAGATTTTGGGCTGAGACAATGGGGTTTTCTAGATATACAATCATGTCGTCTGCAAACAGGGACAATTTGACTTCCTCTTTTCCTAATTGAATACCCTTTATTTCCTTCTCCTGCCTGATTGCCCTGGCCAGAACTTCCAACACTATGTTGAATAGGAGTGGTGAGAGAGGGCATCCCTGTCTTGTGCCAGTTTTCAAAGGGAATGCTTCCAGTTTTTGCCCATTCAGTATGATATTGGCTGTGGGTTTGTCATAGATAGCTCTTATTATTTTGAAATACGTCCCATCAATACCTCATTTATTGAGAGTTTTTAGCATGAAGGGTTGTTGAATTTTGTCAAAGGCTTTTTCTGCATCTATTGAGATAATCATGTGGTTTTTGTCTTTGGCTCTGTTTATATGCTGGATTGCATTTATTGATTTGCGTATATTGAACCAGCCTTGCATCCCAGGGATGAAGCCCACTTGATCATGGTGGATAAGCTTTTTGATGTGCTGCTGGATTCGGTTTGCCAGTATTTTATTGAGGATTTTTGCATCAATGTTCATCAAGGATATTGGTCTAAAATTCTCTTTTTTGGTTGTGTCTTTGCCTGGCTTTGGTATCAGAATGATGCTGGCCTCATAAAATGAGTTAGGGAGGATTCCCTCTTTTTCTATTGATTGGAATAGTTTCAGAAGGAATGGTACCAGTTCCTCCTTGTACCTCTGGTAGAATTCGGCTGTGAATCCATCTGGTCCTGGACTCTTTTTGGTTGGTAAACTATTGATTATTGCCACAATTTCAGAGCCTGTTATTGGTCTATTCAGAGATTCAACTTCTTCCTGGTTTAGTCTTGGGAGAGTGTATGTGTCGAGGAATGTATCCATTTCTTCTAGATTTTCTAGTTTATTTGTGTAGAGGTGTTTGTAGTATTCTCTGATGGTAGTTTGTATTTCTGTGGGATCGGTGGTGATATCCCCTTTATCATTTTTTATTGCGTCTATTTGATTCTTCTCTCTTTTTTTCTTTATTAGTCTTGCTAGCGGTCTATCAATTTTGTTGATCCTTTCAAAAAACCAGCTCCTGGATTCATTGATTTTTTGAAGGGTTTTTTGTGTCTCTATTTCCTTCAGTTCTGCTCTGATTTTAGTTATTTCTTGCCTTCTGCTAGCTTTTGAATGTGTTTGCTCTTGCTTTTCTAGTTCTTTTAATTGTGATGTTAGGGTGTCAATTTTGGATCTTTCCTGCTTTCTCTTGTAGGCATTTAGTGCTATAAATTTCCCTCTACACACTGCTTTGAATGCGTCCCAGAGATTCTGGTATGTGGTGTCTTTGTTCTCGTTGGTTTCAAAGAACATCTTTATTTCTGCCTTCATTTCGTTATGTACCCAGTAGTCATTCAGGAGCAGGTTGTTCAGTTTCCATGTAGTTGAGCGGCTTTGAGTGAGATTCTTAATCCTGAGTTCTAGTTTGATTGCACTGTGGTCTGAGAGATAGTTTGTTATAATTTCTGTTCTTTTACATTTGCTGAGGAGAGCTTTACTTCCAACTATGTGGTCAATTTTGGAATAGGTGTGGTGTGGTGCTGAAAAAAATGTATATTCTGTTGATTTG
Source organism: Homo sapiens (assembly GCF_000001405.40). Taxonomy (NCBI): domain Eukaryota; kingdom Metazoa; phylum Chordata; class Mammalia; order Primates; family Hominidae; genus Homo; species Homo sapiens. Next base: position 4,878,716 of record NW_018654717.1, read on the forward strand.
GGGTGGAGAGTTCTGTAGATGTCTATTAGGTCCGCTTGGTGCAGAGCTGAGTTCAATTCCTGGGTATCCTTGTTGACTTTCTGTCTCGTTGATCTGTCTAATGTTGACAGTGGGGTGTTAAAGTCTCCCATTATTAATGTGTGGGAGTCTAAGTCTCTTTGTAGGTCACTCAGGACTTGCTTTATGAATCTGGGTGCTCCTGTATTGGGTGCATAAATATTTAGGATAGTTAGCTCCTCTTGTTGAATTGATCCCTTTACCATTATGTAATGGCCTTCTTTGTCTCTTTTGATCTTTGTTGGTTTAAAGTCTGTTTTATCAGAGACTAGGATTGCAACCCCTGCCTTTTTTTGTTTTCCATTGGCTTGGTAGATCTTTCTCCATCCTTTTATTTTGAGCCTATGTGTGTCTCTGCACGTGAGATGGGTTTCCTGAATACAGCACACTGATGGGTCTTGACTCTTTATCCAACTTGCCAGTCTGTGTCTTTTAATTGCAGAATTTAGTCCATTTATATTTAAAGTTAATATTGTTATGTGTGAATTTGATCCTGTCATTATGATGTTAGCTGGTGATTTTGCTCGTTAGTTGATGCAGTTTCTTCCTAGTCTCCATGGTCTTTACATTTTGGCATGATTTTGCAGCGGCTGGTACCGGTTGTTCCTTTCCATGTTTAGCGCTTCCTTCAGGAGCTCTTTTAGGGCAGGCCTGGTGTTGACAAAATCTCTCAGCATTTGCTTGTCTATAAAGTATTTTATTTCTCCTTCACTTATGAAGCTTAGTTTGGCTGGATATGAAATTCTGGGTTGAAAATTCTTTTCTTTAAGAATGTTGAATATTGGCCCCCACTCTCTCCTGGCTTGTAGGGTTTCTGCTGAGAGATCAGCTGTTAGTCTGATGGGCTTTCCTTTGAGGGTAACCCGACCTTTCTCTCTGGCTGCCCTTAACATTTTTTCCTTCATTTCAACTTTGGTGAATCTGACAATTATGTGTCTTGGAGTTGCTCTTCTCGAGGAGTATCTTTGTGGCGTTCTCTGTATTTCCTGAATCTGAACGTTGGCCTGCCTTGCTAGATTGGGGAAGTTCTCCTGGATAATATCCTGCAGAGTGTTTTCCAACTTGGTTCCATTCTCCACATCACTTTCAGGTACACCAGTCAGACGTAGATTTGGTCTTTTCACATAGTCCCATATTTCTTGGAGGCTTTGCTCATTTCTTTTTATTCTTTTTTCTCTAAACTTCCCTTCTCGCTTCATTTCATTCATTTCATCTTCCATTGCTGATACCCTTTCTTCCAGTTGATCGCATTGGCTCCTGAGGCTTCTGCATTCTTCACGTAGTTCTCAAGCCTTGGTTTTCAGCCCCATCAGCTCCTTTAAGCACTTCTCTGTATTGGTTATTCTAGTTATACAGTCTTCTAAATTTTTTTCAAAGTTTTCAACTTCTTTGCCTTTGGTTTGAATGTCCTCCCGTAGCTCAGAGTAATTTGATCGTCTGAAGCCTTCTTCTGTCAGCTCGTCAAAATCATTCTCCATCCAGCTTTGTTCCGTTGCTGGTGAGGAACTGCGTTCCTTTGGAGGAGGAGAGGCGCTCTGCGTTTTAGAGTTTCCAGTTTTTCTGTTCTGTTTTTTCCCCATCTTTGTGGTTTTATCTACTTTTGGTCTTTGATGATGGTGATGTACAGATGGGTTTTCGGTGTAGATGTCCTTTCTGGTTGTTAGTTTTCCTTCTAACAGACAGGACCCTCAGCTGCAGGTCTGTTGGAATACCCTGCCGTGTGAGGTGTCAGTGTGCCCCTGCTGGGGGGTGTCTCCCAGTTAGGCTGCTCGGGGGTCAGGGGTCAAGGACCCAATTGAGGAGGCAGTCTGCCCGTTCTCAGATCTCCAGCTGCGTGCTGGGAGAACCACTGCTCTCTTCAAAGCTGTCAGACAGGGACACTTAAGTCTGCAGAGGTTACTGCTGTCTTTTTGTTTGTCTGTGCCCTGCCCCCAGAGGTGGAGCCTACAGAGGCAGGCAGGCCTCCTTGAGCTGTGGTGGGCTCCACCCAGTTCGAGCTTCCCGGCTGCTTTGTTTACCTAAGCAAGCCTGGGCAATGGCGGGCGCCCCTCCCCCAGCCTCGCTGCCGCCTTGCAGTTTGATCTCAGACTGCTGTGCTAGCAATCAGCGAGATTCCGTGGGCGTAGGACCCTCCGAGCCAGGTGTGGGATATAGTCTCCTGGTGCGCCGTTTTTTAAGCCGGTCTGAAAAGCGCAATATTCGGGTGGGAGTGACCCGATTTTCCAGGTGCGTCCGTCACCCCTTTCTTTGACTCGGAAAGGGAACTCCCTGACGCTTGCGCTTCCCAGGTGAGGCAATGCCTCGCCCTGCTTCGGCTCGCGCACGGTGCGCGCACACACTGGCCTGTGCCCACTGTCTGGCACTCCCTAGTGAGATGAACCCGGTACCTCAGATGGAAATGCAGAAATCACCCGTCTTCTGCGTCGCTCACGCTGGGAGCTGTAGACCGGAGCTGTTCCTATTCGGCCATCTTGGCTCCTCCCTCCACATCTCTTATCTCTTATCAATAACAGGGGAATCCTCCTCTTTCTGCAAGGAGTGCACAAGGCAAGTTGTTCCATGCTGTCTCTGGGAGTTTCCCTGGGGAAAAATTAATATTAAATTTCCCCAGGAAAGAAACAAACACATCGATAGTGTCATTTCAAGCGTAACTGATCAAGAATGCTGCGTGAGAATAGGACTTGCAAGAAGGTTCTGTCTACAGAGATAATGTCAATGAAAGACTTAGGCCAATAAGTTACTAAGGACCTACAATGAGGCCCCACTGTTACTCAGACAGAGAAAATAACAAATGCAGAGATACCACCAATCAAATCATGCCCCTCAAGCATATCAACACTTAGGAGAGTAGAATGGTGGCCACCAGAGGCTGGGGTGGGTAATGGAAGGCAGGGAAATTGTAACGGTTAATGGGTACAAAAATATGGTTACATACAGTGAATAAGATCTGGGATTTGATAGAACAACAGGGTAACTACAGTCAGCAATAATTTGTTGTACATTTTGGATTAGCTGAGAGAATACAATTGGAATGTTCATAACACAAAGAAATGATGAATGCTTGAGGTGATGGAAATCCCATTTATCCTGATGTGATTATTACACATTGCATGCCTGTATCAAAATATCTCATGTAACCCATAAATACATATACCTACTATGTATCCATACAAAATAATTTTAAAAAATAACACGCAAGACAGATAACCAGCTCTTTTCAGAAGCATTGAAATAATTTTTAAAATTGTTTCTTTTATAAACAGGATTTAAGGCCATGTGCAGTGGCTCACAGTGTAATCTCAGCACTACAGGAGGCTCAGACAGGAGGATTGCTTAAGTCTGGGAGTTCAAGACCTGCCTGGGCAACAAAACGAGACCCTGTCTCTAAAAAAATAAAAACAGAATTTAAAATGGAATTCTTTCCACCCTACTGTTGGCTAAGATTCTTCTATTAATTTTCTGTGGCTGCTGTAACAAATTACCCCAAACTGGGTGGCTCAAATTTATAACAATTTATTATTTCCCAGTTCTGGAGTCCAAAAGTCCCAAATCAGTATCCCTAGGATGAAATCAAGGTGTCTGCAGGGCCGCACTGCCTCAGGAGGCTCTGGAGGAGAATCGATTCCTTGCCTCTCCCAGCATCAGGTGCCGCCAGCATTCCTTGACGTGCGGTTGCAGCACTTTCATCTCTGCCTTCATGCACGCTGCCTCCTCATCTGTGTGTCAGCTCTCCCTCTACCTCCCTGTTCTAGGGATTCTTATGATTTCGTGAAGAGCCCACCCAGGCTAATCCAGGATAATCTCATCTCAAGATCTGGGGCAGCCCTGGAGAAACACCTGAAAGAGCTCATTATTTTCTTTAGCAGTAGATAGCTGAGAAAGCTCAGTATTATTTCTTTTTTTTGTATTGTTTTTTTGAGATGGAGTCTCACTCTGTCACCCAGGCTAGAGGGCAGTGGCTAATTTTTGTATTTTTAGTAGAGATGGGGTTTCACCATGTTGGCCAGGCTGTTCTCAAACTCCTGACCTCAGATGATCCACAGATATTATTTCTTAAACAGCTTATTTTATTCTCTGGATCTCTTGGTATGCTAGCTCACAAGGACTCCTGATGGTCCAGCAGCTTCAGAACATTTTACCAGTTATCAGAGGAAGATAAAGCCTGCTCAAACCCAGAAAAAACCAGAACCAGCAACTCCTTGTTGCCTTTAGATCATTAACATATCATTATAATACTAAAAGCCCCACCCATGGAAGAAAATCGCCGCCATTTTCTGAACATGCTTTGTATGAAGAGGCATGTTTATGATTTGCACCTGCACATACTTACAAACCTCCCACATCCATAGCTAACGCCTTAAAATCCCCCAGCTTCCCACAGCTTGGGGAGTAGGAGGTGTCTTGGGAGCGAGAGCTCACTCCTTCTCCTTCTCTGGCCAGAGAATAAATCCTGCTTGCCTTTTTTCCAATTGGGTATTCTTTCCCTGTGACCAATGTAAAGTAGGAAAGGAACTCAGTTTACCAGTGACAGATGCTCAGTTTAACCACATTTTTTTGCCAAATAAAGTAATATTCACAGGTGAGGATTAGGACCTGTAATATTTGAGGAATGTTTTCCATTCTACTATGGCTCCCAAAGGCCAGGGACAAACCACCAGGAGCCAGGCTAATGCCAGACTCAAAATGCATCAAAGGGGTAAATTAAAAAAAAAAAAAGAGTCAAATGCCGTCACCTGCCTACATGTACAGCAGGGGACACTGAGGAGGCCCAAACAGGGGTATAGCTTGTGCAAAGTCAGCAGGATGAGTTTCCTCCCATCCCCACAAAGGAGGAGAGGGGACCTTTTCCCCTTTTCCCTTCCCATCAGGCTATGTACAGTGCTGCTGGGAACACAGGGGAGCAGGGTAGCCACTTTTAACTTGATTTGCATCCCCTAAAACTGTGCAGAGTGCAGACATTGGCACCTGACTTATTTCTGGGGAAAACTAACAGCAGAGACTGTGACCACTGGCCTGACCTAGAAGAACCGAGTGAGAGAGGGGTGGGACTGCTATGGATAGAGAAGAGTCTCTTATGAACCACATGAGAAGCCATGGAGGACCCTGCCAGCACAGATGGCTTCCTGGAAGGCACCATGACCCAACAGAGGGACCGACACACAGAAGCCCCAGGATGGAGGGAGGAATCTTCATAAAGCTGCTTGCCCAGAACACGGCACTGCCTGCATCAAGAGATTCACAATCCAAAAGGTCCCGGAAGGGAGAGATGTAGAACTGGTCATCTCTACACCCCATGTCTCATTACAGCTGTGCCCGCCAACGAGGACTTTCTGGTCCCTTCCCATATCTCCTTCCCCTCAGCTCCAGCCCCAGGGAAGCCAGAATCAATATCACGAGGCAGCAGGAGGAGGAAAGAATCTCCAGTCACGGATCTTGAGCCTCAGGCAGGCACAGAACAGAAGAGGAAAAGAACTTTGGCTTTAGATAAAGCTTTCTGTTTTGATGCCTACATTGCCTTGGCCATTTTATTTATTGAAATGCTTGATTTCCAGGAGACTCATCTTGGATTTTAAACAACCTAGAAGACTTTTTATTACCAATAGCGATAAAGTTATTTGATTTGCCTGATTTTTCATCCAGCGTTGCAGAATGTACAAAATTACAACATGGATTCTAATGCATTGGAGAGAGAAAATAAGGTCGTTTTCTGCAGGTACCTTATCAAGGCTGGTTCATTCACTGTATTTGTTGTAATTTCTTTTTATCTTTCTATCTCCTTTTATTATTTAAGCCAGAAAGCTATATTTCACAGATGTTTCTAAGACACCAGGCAAGGCTACTATCAGTATGTGTAGCAGCCAGAGCTTCCCGCGTCTTTCTATTTTCAAAGATGAACTGTAAAAATCACCTTCACAATGTATGTCCCTAAGCCATAGATTACAAAGATTTCTGGGTCTGTGGGGAGTGCCCGTGGTTCCACAATTAGCTGAACCCCTGACCTCGCCGCTTAACAGCAGTTCATTTGGCTTCTAAATGCCATCCAGCCGGCCGATGTCAGTTTAGATACAGCATTTTTCTGTAGCCTGGGAACAAAGGTCACTGTTTTCCTCATTCTTCCGGTGCCTGGGAATCCCCTGTCTTTTCTCACCCTTTGTAGGTGCTGCAAATATGTCCATCTCTGCATTGATCTGCTTCTAGGGTAAGCAGCCCTCACAGTTGGAGCAGATAAAGACAGACAAGAATGGAATGAAAGAGTTTTACACCAGGCTTCCCTCTTCTGTTTCTCTTCTTTGTAGACTCAGGCTGTGAACATGAAATTTGAATCAAGGTGATAAACAGCATCAAGGTTTCCCATAATCTCTGGTGGGCCCAGGCACATCATTCTTTCCCGTTTCAAGTGTTGTCCTCGGAATAGCCCAGGATAGCATCTGAACACGTGGAAATGGCACTGGGTTAGATGTCAAGAGACCTGCGACGTGGTCTCGGCTAAGCGCCCTATTATTCCCGTGGGCATATGAAGGCCTCCTGACCTATCTAAAACGGCTGTGAGAAGCAAGTGAAGCAGGCTTGTGGAGGTGCTTATACACACTCTCTAGCAGGCAGACAGTCGATTTTCTATCATTTTAATAAAAGTGGTGATGGGGCGCTCTGATTCCTCCATTAAGGATGATGGATTGAGCACACTCGTTTAGCTCCACTCCTATCTGTGTCCCCAGTAAAATGAGGGTAGAAAGTTTCAGTGAGGACATAAAGTCACTATGACAAAGAGATTGAGTCACAAGGTCATATAACAGATACATGTGTGTAATATAGATACGTGTGCATACTTTTTTTTTTTTTCACACAGAGTCTTGCTCTGTCACCTAGGCTGGAGTGCAGTGGCGAGATCTTGGCTCACTGCAATCTCTGCCTCCTGGGTTCAAGTGATTCTCCTGCCTCAGCCTCCCAAGTAGCTGGGACTACAGGCACACGCCACCATGCCTGGGTAATTTTTGTATTGTTAGTAGAGACAGGGTTTCACCATGTTGGCCAGGCTGGTCTTGAATGCCTGACCTCGTGATCCACCCACTTCGCCCTCCCAAAGTGCTGGGATTACAGGTGTAAGCCACCGCTCCTGGCCCGTGTGCATGATTTTTTTTTAAAGCAGGGGCATAACTAACTGATCACTGGCAGAGTGCATTCTGGACAGATGCATTCTAAGTCAGCCAATGGGAAAAGCTGAGATGCAACTCAATTTGCATCCAGGTCCTTGAAAAGCCTCAGGAATGGATAGCATGGGTACCTTTGGAAGGGAGGGTAAACTAGGAGCTTAAAAGAAGATGGTTGGTGAAAAGTGTTTTCAAAACATTTAGATGCACAGATCCCTTTCCTAACTCTGCATGTTAGTGATACCGATGCTGGAGTTTCCTGAGGAAACGTTCAGTGAAGCCAGAAGAGACAACCCTCCTTCTCCCCATTTATGCAGTTTCCAGTCTGCTTTCTGCACCTCTCTGACACTCACGAGCAAACAGCCAAAGATCACAGAACATCTGAGGCGGATTCCAGAAGAGACAAACAAAAAAGCAACTTGAAGTAAACAGAAACTATGCAAGAACATGAGATTACACCTCACCCACCAATGAAAGCAAACAAACAAACAAACAAACAAGAAACCAACAACCATGATTACTCTGAGAGAGATAACAGCAGATTCTACACCTTGGTAACAAAATAGAGTTGTTTAAGAAAGGAAAGAATAGTCATATGGTGAACATATTGCATAGCTCTGCTATTTACACAATTCATAATACTTACACAGTCCAAATAATGTAATCCACTCTGGTATCATCAAAGGTAGATCAGGAGAAGTGGGCAGTAATGGGCAATGAAATCTACACCCTCATTTTCCATTTGGGAAGGTAACAGCCAAGCCTTGAAGTGAAAAAAGCAAAAGTCACATTATAAACAATGATAGAGGCATAGATATCAATATGAAAAGAAATAGCCAAAATGATTAAAAGTGATCACCTTGAGGATGAGGAAATAGATCAGCTGGGGGATAAGAAGGGGACTGGTAGACTGGTATTTTTGGTAATGAGCTTTGGAGAACTATTTGACTCCTTAAATTATGTATATTTCAGCTGGGTGTGGTGGCTCACGCCTATAATCCCAACACTTTGGGAGGCCGAGGCAGGTGGATCGCTTGAGGTCAGGAGTTCGAGACCAGCCTGGCCAAAATGGTGAAACCCCGTCTCTACTAAAAATACAAAAATTAGCCAGGTGTGGTGGTGCACCCCTGTAATCCCAGCTACTTAGGAGGCTGAGGCACAAGAATTTCTTGAACCTGGGAGGTGGAGGTTGCAGTGAGCCGAGATTGCGCCACTGCGCTCCAGTCTGGGCAACAGAGAAAAACTCTGTCTCAAAACAAATATAGGCCGGGTGCGGTGGCTCATGCCTGTAATCCCAACACTCTGGGAGGCCAAGCCGGGCAGGTCACGAGGTCAGGAGATCGAGACCATCCTGGCTAACACAGTGAAACCCTGTCTCTACTAAAAAATACAAAAAATTAGCTGGGCATGGTGGTGGGTGCCTGTAGTCCCAGCTACTCAGGAGGCTGAGGCAGGAGAATGGTGTGAACCAGGGAGACGGAGCTTGCAGTGAGCTGAGATTGCACCACTGCACTCCAGCCTGGGTGACAGAGCGAGACTCCATCTCAAAAAATATATATATATTATATATAATTTATATATATTATATATAATATAATAATATTATATATAATATATAATAAAATTGATTATGTACATTTCATGTTTTAAATAAAAAGCAAATTGTGAAAGAGCTTTGCCTCTGAAGTCAGATTGTCTAGATTAGTAACTGGTTCTCTTCACTGGCTCCCTGCAAAAAGCCTTGGAAAATCTACTTAAACTCTGTGCACCTCTATCTAGTTCCCCTTCTGTTTAGGTGGGATAGTAAGAATACCGCCTTATAGAAGAATTGTTAGGATTAAATGAGATCATTCATGTAAAGCACATAGCTTGGAACCTGATAGGCAGTATATGCTCAGGACTACCTGCTGTTGTTCTCACTGATGTTTTTCCTACCCCAGAGATCTGATTTAATTGGTCCAGGGTGCAGCCTGGATATAAGGAGTTTTCAACTCAACGCAGGTGATTTTAAGGTACAGCAAAGGTGGAATACCAGTGGCCTGCAGCCTAGAGGAAGCTTCCATGCAGAAGTGGGTGAGGATATGTAATTACTGCCACAAAATAGCTGATTCCAGATGTTTCCTTGTCGGTCATTCCACTTCAGCCCTACACTACCCCGATGATAAGGAAATGGAGTGTTAACACCACCGTACTCCTCATTTTATGAGTTACCCATCTGAAAAAGTTGACTGTAAGCAGTTATCTAAATTGAACCCCATGTACTCTCTTAATTAGGTTTGATTTCAGAGATAAATTCCCACAGGAGAATGCTGACCCTAAGAGATACCAAAACTCAGGCTTAAGAATGTAGCAAAAAAATTTAAGAATGTACAATTTAACAAGAGACAATGATATGAAAACTATGAATAAGCTCTACATTTGTGTTGGATTCAGCTATTGGCATCTTGAAAGCCCATAGTTTGAACCAATATCAAAAGCTTGGGCGGGGGGGGGGAAACCAATGTATTTCATCTTTAGACATTTTACAGATCCGCCTCCAAATTTCCAGGTTTAAAAATGGCAGTACTCCAACACAAGTCAAGTTAGCCTGTGCAAAAGTGGGAATTAATAGGCTCTGGTAGCTGGGAAGGCCGCTGTTGAAACCAGCAGAATAAAGGAAAGAACAGCTGGGACCAGCACCCGGAATGCCAGGATTGCAACTGATTGTAGTCACTAGGTTTCAGGGGCCATTCAGTGTTTCAGCTGAGCGTTTCAGGTTTCAGCTACACGGTGATGAAAATTATGACATCAACAACAAACAGAAAAATAAATATATAGTGTGCAAAAATTACAAAAAAAATAGCCGTGTCAGAAGACAGAGAATTGTGTGAGTGGAGGGGAGGGGTGTGGTGGGGTAGGGAAGGCCCTACTACTAAGGTGACATTGAATAAAGGCCTGCAGGGCTTAGGGGGTGAGCCCTGCCATCTTCCAGGCAGATAGAATAGCCAATACAAAGACGTGAAGCTGGGAACGTGCATGTTCTGTTCAAGGAACAGTGGGGAGGACCGTGAGCAGAGGTGGACAGCAGGTTGCAGGGAGTGGCAAACTACCGTAAGGCATTGGCTTTTACTGTGAGTGAGATGGGAATCATTTGGAGAGTTTGAGCAGAGGAGCGACAGAATGTAAGGACTGTTTCAAAGCTCTCTAGCCAAGCAGACAACAACCAAATGACCTCTTTGCTATATGGAAACTAGCCTATGCGGAAGCAAAGCAGAGAGCAGGGAGACCAGATAGAACACCACTGTTGTTTTCTAGGAGAGACCTTCTGCCCTCTGGACTTAAGATTGTCAAAGTGGGCCTGGTGAGATGTCATTACATCATCAGAATTTGGTTCTCTTTCAAAGGTGGAGATGAAAGACCTCGCTGATGGGTTTCACATGGGGTTGGGGAGAGCGAGGAGTTGTGGTCGACTCCACACTCCCAGGACTCTCCCTGTCATGCAGCTTCATGCCCGCCTGCATTTATCTTTCATCCCTGCCACCTGTCTGTCGGCCTCATTCCAAGTCTCCCCATGTCAGGTAATAACACGGTGCCCAAGAGCCCCAAATTCACAGCCTCCTATGGAGCAACCATGGATATTTACTTTATATTTATCGGACCTTGGCAAGACCCAGTTTGACCCTTGGGTCAATCACTAACGTCAGGACAGAATGATTGGTCACACCTGAATACATACCTACCCCTGTGGCCAGGGAAGCAGGCAGCCTTCTGGAACTGGTGAATTAGGAGAGGCTTTCTTGGCGAGCAAAACAAACAAACAAAAAAAAACAAAGTTAGCGTAGTCTCACCACCAACTACAACCCAAGTTGTTTTTCCTTTGAGTTCAGTCCTCTTCCCTTGGATCCTGAAGATTCTACCCCAAACCCAGAGCAGCTTCCAATATGGGGAACTCACTCACCTCAAAAAGAATATTGCTCTTTCAGTATAGAACAATAAGAGATCAAATTCAAAGCCATAGTAATTCTGAATCTGGCTTCAGGGCTCAGGTTAGCCTGTCACTCAAAAGCAACTGGAACTGGGAAAGAGGAAGAGGGAGAAGGTTTTTCCCTAACTGCAGGAAAGCTCTTCCATCCCACACCAGCTTAATTGTTGAAAGAGAGCCGCCTTTAAACGCTTTAGACAAAATCTGGATGGAGAGGCACTTCCAACGAGTTCTTTCATCCTGAGATGTTTTAGGGCAAGACACACCTGCATTTTTTATCCTACCCAGGGCTTACTGAGCTCTTTGTCAGTTGAGGATTCTTGGCCTTAAACCAGCTCCACCACTAGCATTTGTGTGCTTTGGAAAAAACCTCTCTGCTGAAGAATTGAGAAAGTAGTCCATGGTCTCAAAGTAATGACACACTGTGGCGATACAGGATCTTGAAATGTGTGGGTAAGATGTGGCAGGGGCCTCGTGTGCTGTGACGTTGGCTGCCCGGCCACATTAACCCTCAGTGACTTCCCTGAGCCCAGGGTCTCATTGCCCATCCCACTGCAACTGCTATCTTCATCCTTCCTTTTAGAACACCTGCTCCCACAGTCCCTGAGAAAGAACTGTTCTATGTTGACAGTTCACCCCAACCCCAAACCACCTTGGGCTGTTTACAGTAAATACTGCACACTAGTGAGGTCTTATTGATCTCTTTCTTCCCAGACACCTTCCCAGCCCCTCCCTCCCTGCTCTCATTTCTGTGTCTGCCACCTGGAAGCAGCAAATGCGGCTCGGCTTGCTTTTCTGCATACCAGAGGCAATGATAATATTTACCGTGGCAGTTGGAGGACTTTGCTGCAGTCTTCACAGCTCTGGCACTCAGGTTGCAGTGAGATCCAGGGAGAGCCAGAAGTGAGGCGCCCAGAGAAGTGTTCACTTGTGGCTCGAAGTCCAGGTGTGATACTGCATGAAAACCCCCCGATTTGGCCATCCAGAGCATGGTAATCAAGAAACGCCTAGATGTTTCCAAAAATGGATTGGGTGTCCCTCCAAGTGTTCATGAAAAGGTTGAATTTCCTCTTGGTGGGGAGTTACAGAGGAGATTAGCAGATCAGGCTGAATTAGGTAAGTTGTCTCCAAAACAGATTCACATATCCCAAAAGGAACAAAGCTAATCCATTAAGGCACAGGAGAAAATATTATCATTTTATTTATTTTTCTTTTTAAATATAATTTTTGTATATGTCTTAAAGTATGTTGGTACAGAAGTATGTCATTTATAAATGAATAAATATACATCAATTGAGGTTACATACTCAAATTATTTTTATTGCTTAGGACAACTGAGCCAAACCATTTGAAGCCCATTAAATTAGGAGATGCCTAGGCTCTTTTCTCACACCGAAACTGGGGTGTTCTGTAGTTTTATGTTCTGGGACAAATTCTGCCATGATAGACCTGAGAAGGGGAGAGAGGAGGAAACTGACAATTGAGGCAACTGGTCTCGGCTGGGCGCAGTGGCTCACACCTGTTCACACCTGTAATCCCAGCACTTTGGGAGGCCAAGGTGGGCAGATCACTTGAGATCAGGAGTTTGAGACCAGCCTGGCCAACATGGTGAAACCCTGTCTGTACTAAAAATACAAAAATTAGCTTGGCATGGTGGTCAGCACCTGTAGTCCCAGCTACTCAGGAGGCTGAGGCAAGAGAATTGCTTGAACCCTGGTGGCAGAGGTTGCAATGAGCTAAGATTGTACCACTGCACTCCAGCCTGGGTGACAGAGGGAGACTCTGTCTCAAAAAAAAAAAAAAAAAAAAAAAGGGCAACTGATCTCCCGGTGGTAGCCAGATTCTGTGGGCTTTCTGCTCTCTGAGACTCTTGATCCTCCCGGCCTCCTGGAACCTGGGATCATGGCGAACACTTGAGATGGAGATGAATGAGTTTACAGGCACAGGACAGAGGATGGGCTGGTTGTTGCCCCTTGGAGACATCCAGGGGCTCTGTCTCTTCTGGGGGTGCAGCTTCAGCAGGCAGTGGGACCAGGCTGGATCTGATACAAAGAGAATGATGGCTTCTAGTCTTAGAGACTGTGCCGCCTAGATGGCATCATCCTAGTTCTGTTGAGGATTTTTGCCTGATTCAGGCCATGTTATCTCCAGCTTTAAAGTGGAAAGGTTAGCAGGAATTTCTGATGTCACAGAAAAAAATTAAAAATGAAAACATCAACTGGAAAGGCCTGTCTGCTGATCATTTGGCTTAACTCTGGGTGCTTTGTAATTCCTCTTCGGAGGTTTAATAGAAGATTTTTCTTAACCTTTCCACTTTTTTGTACTCTTTTATCATCCAACTACTCTCATTTATTGTTTCATCACTTTTCTTCTTGCCATTATTCATTCCACCTTCCTCCTTTCTTCTGAGGATGCCTGACCATCTGTGCCCCTCTCCCCCAGGCAGTACATTTTGCCAGTGACTCCATTCCATTCAGCAATCATTTCATAAAGAACCTCTGGGGAGTGTGAACCTTCACTTCAGTTGCTCAACATTGATATGGATTGGCGGTGTGTCCCCATCCAAATCTCATCTTGAATTGTGACTCCCATAATTCCCACCTGTTGCGGGAGGGACCTGGTGGGAGATAATTGAATCATGGGGGCAATTTTCCCCATATTGTTCTCATGGTGGTGAATAAGTCTCACAAGATCTCGTGGTTTTATAAGGGGAAGCCCCTTTCACTTGGTTCTCATTCTCTCTTGTCTGCTGCCATATAAGACGTGCCTTTCAGCTTCCGCCCTGATTGTGAGGCCTCCCCAGCCACATGGAACTGCGAGCCCATTAAAACTCTTTTTCTTTATAAATTAACCAGTCTCGGGCATGTCTTTATCAGTAGCAACAAATACACCATTCCCTGCAGTGCTTCTCACCTATCCTCCCAAACTGCTCCTGCCTGGGAAATTCTCACTGATATTTTTAAAAACACAGCTTAGACATCACCTCTTGCAGAAGCCTTCTCTACTTCCTTATACACCATCCAAACAAACTAATCACTCCCTTCATTATACTGTCTGCGTATGTGTCTTTCATGGCATCGATGATGTTTGGTTGCACGGATACATTGGCGTATCTGTCTCCTCTCCCTCTGCTGGTCTGTAAACTCATTCATGGCCAAGCCTGAAACCCTTTTTACCATCTTCTAGCACAGTGCCCGGTGCATAGCAGGTTCTTAAGAAAGTGAGTGAATAAAGGAATGAAGGAGATTTGAAGTCAGCTACTCTTTCTTGGTCTTCTTGTGGGTTCACCAGAGCTTAGCCAGCTGCAGAGCTAATAACAACAACAACAAAGCTAGCATTTATTGTGTGCTTTCCTTTGTTCTCAGTGAGAAACCAATTACACATATCACTGGTTGAGTGGAGACCACCAGACCAATTAATTATATACTCCTTTCACTAAGAAGCAGCGCCCTTCTCCCCACTTACTTGGAAAGGATGTTCCAGGCTAAATAACAGTACCCTGCTGGCTTGGTTCTAATTGCCAGACTGTTTCTCAGGTTCATTTCTGTCTTTTAATCAAAGTTTACATACATCTTTGTTCCTGGATCTTAGTAATTCAAACCTTGCACCAGGAGCAGTAACATGTTCTTGCTCCCAGAAATGTATTGTACAATTTTCCAGTAACAAAAAGACTAAGTCCAATTGAAATACATTTTTTTTCTTTGAGACAGGGCCTCACTGTGTTACCCAGGCTGGAGTGCAGTGGTGCAATCACAGCTCACTGCAGCCTCGACTTCGCAGGCTTAAGCACATCTCCCACCTCAGTTTCCCAAGTATCTGGGACCACAGGTGCGTACCACCAAGCCCAGCTAATTTTTCTTATTTTTTGTAGGGATAGGATCTCCTTAAGTTGCCCAAGCTGATCTTGAATGCCTGGGCTCAAGCAATCCGCCTGCCTCGGATTTTCAAAATGCTGGGATTACAGATGTGAGCCACCATGTCTAACCTGAAACACAGTTTTAAATGAACACAATTTGTTGTTGTTGTCTTCTCCACCAAAGAAAATTAGTTCTTTAAAGACTCACCAAGTTAAAAAATAAATAAATAATACAATTTATCAACTTTAGTTTCTAATTTCTTCAACTGATCCCTCATTCACAGCCAGGAAAAATCACACTTTTTTCTTTTATATCTGATCTCTCTCTCTCTCTCTGTCTCTGTCTCTGTCTCTGTCTCTCTCTCTCTCTCTCTTAGAGACACACACACACGCACACAGGCTGGAGCCATGAAACTTTAATTCCCAGGCAATGAAAGCTTTTGCACAGGTGAGAGCTTTACTCTCGGCCTTACAACCGAGTCAGGTCTTACAACCCAAATCCTCCTATTAGCAGCTGCCCAGAAACCGACAGAACCTGGGAGAATAATCTACCCCACTCTGGCCTCTGCCAGAACTTGCCTTTTCTTCCCAGTCCCCACTCCCAGACTGACACACCCATCCCAACAATGTGTCCACGAAGAAAAACCCTCTTGAAAGGCATGGAGAGCCCCTTTTTAATGTTACAGGCATGGCTGTCCTGTAACATTAAAAATATATCCTCCCCTCTCTGGTTGAAGCTGTAATCACCCAGTGACATCATAGTGTAGCCTGGAAAACTAAAAATTGAACTAATAACCAAACATCCAGGTTCTAAGATCATCATCCATGCGATACCTGTGAGACCCATGATGTTTCATTAAGCCTCTCTGAGCCTCTCTGGGTCATTTGCAAATTGGGCAAAATTGCATTTTCTCCTCTTTTTCCTTCTTTCTCTCTGTCTCAACTGACCACTCTCTTATTCTCTCTGCTTCTGTCTAAGGCCATTGCGAGGACAAACAAGATAATGTTTGTGAAATGCCTTAAATTCCTCCAAAGGAGGTTTATCAATTCAAAACACTATTGATTTTTGAGATGTTATTTTTAGTGCTATGCCAACGCTGCTAAAATATTTGTATTGATGAAAAGAGTTCTGTGGACAGATGGTGATGGTGGTACAACACTGTGAATGCCCTTGATGTCACTGAACTGTACACTTAAAGATGGTTAAAAGAGTAAATTTTACGTTATATGTATTTTACTGCAATTTTAAAAATAAATGTATGCAGCCATGAAAAAGAATGAGTTTTTGTCCTTTGCAGGGACATGGATGAAGCTGGAAACCATCATCCTCAGCAAACTAACACAGGAACAGAAAACCAAACACCGCATGTTCTCACTCGTAAGTGGGAGTTGAACAATGAGAACACATGGACACAGGGAGGGGAACATCACACACCGGGGCCTGTCAGGGAGTGGGGGGCTAGGGGAGGGAGAGCATTAGGACAAACACCTAATGCATACGGGGCTTAAAACCTAGATGATGGGTTGATGGGTGCAGCAAACCACCATGGCACATGTATACCCATGTAACAAACCTGCACATTCTGCACATGTATCCTAGAATTTAAAGTAAAATTAAAAAGTAAATAAATAAAATAAATGTATGAAAATAAATCACTGCAGCAACTAAAATCTTTATATTGTTCAGGTAACTCTCTGTGCCCCCATGTTTCTCAATTTGTGTGATTGCTCTTGTGTTTGGTGTAGAATTTTCACAGAGGATAAGAAAAGGGGTTTATTTCACTCCTTCTTCCCATGTAATAGATGAGGAATGAGGCCCATTCGAATGAAAGGGCCAGCTCCAATGTAAGTTTCCTAATTCAAGGTCAAATGCAGTCGTCATAGAGGAAAGTAACACATCATCCTATGTATTGTCAGTAGCAACAACTCATGATATTAGTAGCTATCATAACAAAAATCTGTAAGAAGAGCCCCCATCAGCACACCCACTCCTACTGGCCCTAGGAGAAGAGAGAGCTACAGAGAACTGCTCCCAGCTTGGTGCAAGCTCGCAGCATTGCCCCATCCCCTCCTGGGAGGGCACACCCCACAGCAGCTGCTCTGGGACTGACAAGCAAGGGCGGGGCTGCCACCTGGAGCGGACCTGATTTCCGTCCACCTCTCCCTCAGCTTTCAAAGTGACCAGTTCGCAATGCTCTGCCATCTCAGAGAACTGAAAGCCAAGTTTCGCCCGAGAATGGGCACTTTACAACCGGCTTATAAACTGTAATCAAGGGGCTCTCCGAGACGTTGACACAACCTCCAGCTAGCCTGACCAAGTGGCGCCACAGGAGCTGGCCCTGGTTCCTTCTGGAGAGTGCTCTCCCTGGAAACAAATGTGCTGAACGTGCTGTGTCATCACCAGGCAGGGCAGAGTCCTGGGAAAGGAGGCACAGCTGCATGAGTCACAGAGAGACTTCTAGAAAAGCAGAGCAAGAAAGGGCTGCAGTGATCTAGACAAAGCCCATCTTTCTGTAGATAAGGATCTGAGGACAGGCACCCAGGGTGGGGTCAGGCCAGCAACCTGCCCAGGGCCGCCATCCATCAGCTGCATCTAGGAGTGGACACCACACCATTTAACAGCCGGCGTCCAGCGTTCTTGCCCCCAGTGCCATCCCACCCGTAGCCCGAGAGGCAGAAGGGTACGGTGGGAAAACACGCACTTATAAGCCAGACGCAGCTATGCATCCCATCTCCCTTCATGGCTCCAAAGCTTTGGGCAAGTCACTGTCTCTGAGCCTCAGTCTCCTCATCTATAAAACGGGCATAATAATTCTCATCTTTCAAGGTTAACGTAGGATTAAATTAAGTGATGTGTGTAAAGTGTTGGTGCAGTTTCTGGCAGAACAAGTGTCCCACAAGTGGTAGCTATGACTTATGACTATTAATATTACCTTGGCCACTACAGTTCTCTGTGCATGATGGTCCTTATCTGGGGCAGGATTCCCAATGCCCTGTGGGTCCTGCTTATTGGATTAGGCCAGATTCAGAGCGCAGAGTGAGGCCGCAGATCAGAATGGGGCAGAGGACAGAGAGAAGGCTTCCCTCGATAGATGGAGTGCCAGTAGGTAGGAGGGACTCCAGGCAGCTGGCTCATGTATGCCCAGGACACCATGTTCTTTGGGATTATCTGACACCACAGGGGAAATTAGATGGCTTCTAGAAAAATAAATAAATAAATAAATAAAAAACAAGAACAGCAAAGACTGAAGCCCCTATATTTTGAGACTGGAAAAGAAGAGGCTGTCCCACTTCACCAGGCTTCAGTGACTTGAGCAAATAAAATGCACAACTTGCCCTTCAAGCACACGCAAAAGAGCATCCAGGGAGCTCTGTCGCTGATTTGAGAGGGCCACAAGGAATGCTGGATGGTTTCCTTGTCTCAGCACATGGTAACATGGTACACCTCGGCTAGGGGTCCTCAAAGCGTGGTTCTCAGTCCAGCAGCATCAGCATCACCAGTGAGCTTGTTAGAAATGAAGAAACTCCTGCCCCACCTTTACCTACGGAATCGGAAACTCTGAGGATAGGCTCCAGGAAACTGTTTACCAAGCCCTCCAGGCAATTCTTAGCTCTGTTCCATGGCTGTCAATCTTGGCTGTACCTGAGAAGTCAAGGCTACACCCCAGGCCAATTTAATCGGAGTCTCTGGGATTGGACCAGGCACCAGGTTTTTAAAAAACTCCACCAGTGATTTCAATGTGCAGCCAAGCTTGAGTCCCACTGGTTCAGAACAAGAATTTGAATGGATCTGTAAGTAATTCATAATGTTTGTTAGAATCCCGCAACATAAAACAGTAGCCATCAACTCCAAATACTGGGGACCTACCTCTTTTCCTGTGTTTAGTGTTTCTGTTTTATTCCTGCCACTACTTCTTCAACGGTTCTGTGCAAATTCCGTATCCTAGAGAAGTTTCGAATACACTTGTTACCCCTACATATTCACCCACCAGTACCACTGTTGATTCAATGAAGTTGAATTCTTTGGCTCATGCTAAGGAAGACTGAAGAGGAGCCTCCATTCATTCCAGACCCTTAGGATGCCACGCAAATTTGCACACTAGAGATAACTATGTTTCTGACATGTATGTCTCTTTTCTGTTGGATTTTGTCTAGTGTTCTTGTTATGTTTATGCATTTATTCAGCTTTTAATTCAGATCAGCACCAAAGCAGGCTAATAAGGCCGCCTTTTTTGTTGTTGTTGTTGTTGTTTTCTTTCTTTCTTTTTTTTCTGAGACAGAGTCTCACTCTGTTGCCCAGGCTAGAGTGCAGTGGCGCGATCTCCGCTCACTGCAAGCCCCGCCTCCCGGGTTGACGCCATTCTCCTGCCTCAGCCTCCCGAGTAGCTGGGACTACAGGCGCCCGCCACCACAACCGGCTAATTTTTTGTATTTTTAGTAGAGACGAGGTTTCACCGTGTTAGCCAGGATGGTCTCGATCTCCTGACCTCGTGATCCACCCGCCTCGGCCTCCCAAAGTGCTGGGATTACAGGCGTGAGCCACTGCGCCTGGCAAGGCCGCCTTTGTTTTATGTTTTCTTCAGCCTTTGAAACGCATAAAGGTTTCACCTGATACTTAACATCAGTGAGAGGGGGTGATTCTCACCAGTGCTTCCTCAGCTGGGGGATCAAGGGGCAAGGATAGGAAAACAGAATCAGTTATTCTTGAAGTTTTCTGTGGATTATACTGCAAGAAAGCTGGTCAGTAGACTTAGGATCAACTCTTTCAGGTCCTAATGAAAGTACTATATTTTTTATATATATGTAAAATATATATATATATATTTAAAAATAGGGCAGTAGAATAGTACAAGATGTTGTCATAAAGGCTAAGCTTATGCCCTTAGCTTCAGATCAATTACTTGGAAGGTTTAGAAGTCCTCCAAGAGCCCAATTTAGAAATATGTACAGTTTGTGGAGTTAACAATCTTCAGTCTGCCAATATAAAACAAATGTTAATTCACAGAGTGTTTCCCAGGGTGCCATTTTCCACGAAGTCTCCAGGAGTTCTGAAAAGACTCTATTTATGCAGCAATGAATATTGAGTATTATTGGCCATGTTTCTCCTCACACGTTAAGGTGAAAAATCATTCTGAATCAGAAACTCTGCTGGGCTCCTGGAAGCTGTTTACCAAGACCTCCAGGCCATTCTTAGGCACATTGCAATTTGAGAATCACTGACCTAGGCTGTGTCTCCTGAGCTCTGCTCAAGGGTTGTCAATCTTGGCTGCACGTAAGAAGTCAAGGCTGCACCTCAGGCCAATTAAATCAGAATCTCTGGGAACTTTTCCATTTTAGCACGGAAAGTCCCACATCCTGGGAAACCCTTCTATCCCAGGCAAACTGAGACAGTTGACCACCCTATATTCTCCCCAGATTTCCTCGCCCACCATCTCATTCTTTTTTTTTTTTGGTTCATAAATCCTTTCTGTGTATGATTCATGATGCACTACCTCATCTCAGAACATCAGCACTTGTGCTTAGAAGAAAACACACACACACACACACACTCACACACACAGTCACTAAACGTTCCCAGTTCCTCAAATGCTACTGCAAATATATTCATGTATTTGTTTCTAATTTCTACTTTGCATTTTCCCATTGCCATCACCACCTTATCTCTCCACAGGGATGATTCCGAAAACATCTTGTTTTTTTTTAAATCAGATCGACAGAACAAATGTAGGAAAGAAAGAAAAGTGACTCCTACGTGTCAGAGCTGAATGTGGATGAAAGAGTCCATCATAAAAATTAAAGAATGCCTTTTTTTAATCCAGTGAAATAAATCTTTATTGCCTGACCCTTCTGTGCCAGATACTGTGCTACTCAGCATCTGCAGAGCACCAGACAAGTCACCTATGTCAGGCTGAGAAATGAGACAAGTGTGCTCCCTTAACTCAGTAACACTCACCAGTACCCTAGATTGCTTTGTTCCTTGACTTCCCATCAGACTGGAAAAACACGACTGTGCTTTTTGCCATTTCTTATCTTGGGCTGTTAAAAAATCAGCTGGATCTACTACCAATTCATGCTTTCTAACTTCAGGGCTTCTCCAAAGTTATAATAAACTTAATTTCTCACAACAGTTCCAAATATTTTCTACTCAGCACCTTAGCCCTCTGTCAGGCAGCCCATGACTTTGTCACCTACCTTCCTGAGATCAAAATCCTTTCTTAAAAATAATTTCAACTTGTATTTTAGATTTAGGGGGTACATGTGCAGGTTTGTTATGTGGATATATTGCATAATACTGAGGTTTGGGGTACAATTGATCCTGTCACCTGGGTAGTAAGCATAGAACCCAATGGTTAGTTTTTCATTTCTGACCCCTTTCCTTCTCTTCCTCCTCTAGGAGTCCCCAGTGCCTATTGTTGCCATCTTTTAAATTTTCTTTTGAGACAGGGTCTCTCTTTTGTCACCCAGGCTGGAGTGCAGTGGCACAGTCTCAGCTCACTTCCGCCTCTGCCTCCCAGGCGCAAGCGATCCTCTCACCTCAGCCTCCCAAGTAGCTGAGACTACAGGCATACCTCACCACACCCAGCTATTTTTTTGTATATTTTGTAGAGACAGGGTTTTGACATTTTGCCCAGGCTGTTCTCAGACTCCTGGGTTCAAGTGATCTGCCCAACTTGGCCTCCGAAAGTGCTGGGATTAGGGATTACAGGCACGAGCCACTGTGCCTGGCCTGTTGCCATCTTGATGTCCATGAGTGCCCACTGCTTAGCTCCCACTTATAAGTGAGAACGTATGGTATTCGGTTTTCTGTTCCTGCATTTGCCTAGAATTATGGCCTCCGGTTGCATCCACGTTGCTGCAAAGGACACAATTTCATTCTTTTTTATGGCTACATGGTAATCCATGGTGTATATGTACCACATTTGCGTTATGCAGTCCGCCACTGACACTACCGTGAAGTCCTGCGATGAACATACAGGTGTACATGTCTTTTTGGTAGAACAGTTTATTTTCTTTTGGGCATATAACTAGTAATGAGATTCCTGGGCCGAATGGTAGTTCTGTTTTAAGTTCTTTGAGAAAATGAGATGGAGATCATTGGATGGAATTTCAGCTAACATTGACTCTTCTACATTAAATTTTCTCTGGTTCATCATGGTCATTTTCTCTTGCCCTTTTGTCTTTTTTTTCATCTTTTAACACCTCTCAGATATGTGTAGCCTCTCTTGTCTTAAATAAGGAAATATATTTTCCCCTCCTTGAAGCTACTTCCTTTTTCCTTTATCACTTCCTCTTTTAACTTGTTTTGTCAATAATTACTCGTCTGATGTATTTTTTTTGTCTTTTGACTTCTCTTCAACATGCAAATGTGTTTACATCACAATTATTCTTAAGAAAAACAAGAGGCGATCTGATTTCACCACAACTCTGGAATTCCCACACCTTTCCCTCTTTTTTGTGCCTCCCCTCCCCCTTCTCATCTCCCATCCTTCTCAGCCTTGTGCAGTCTGGGATTTGCTCCTGCTAAACTGAAATCTTCTCTCAGGGGGTGCCAGTAAACTACTTGTAAAATGCAATGCCTCTTCAAAACTCTCATCCATTCCAGTGTCTGCATCCAGAGAAATGCAATGCCTCTTCAAAACTCTCATCCATTCCAGTGTCTGCATCCAGAAAAATGCAATGCCTCTTCAAAACTCTCATCCATTCCAGTGTCTGCATCCAGAGAAATGCAATGCCTCTTCAAAACTCTCATCCATTCCAGTGTCTGCATCCAGAGTGCCACGACACTTTTTTTTTTTCTGAGATGGAGTCTTGCTCTGTCACTCAGGCTGGAGTGCTGTGGCACTATCTTGGCTCACTGCAACCTCTGCCTCCCAGGTTCAAGCGATTCTCCTGTCTCATCCTCCCAAGTAGCTGGGATTACAGGCACCTGCCATCATGCCCAACTAAGTTTTTTGTATTTTTAGTAGAGACAGGGTTTCATCATTTGGCTAGGCTGGTTTTAAACCCCTGACCTCAAGTGATCCATCCGCCCGCCTTGGCCTCTCAAAGTGCTGAGATTACAGGTGTGAGCCATTGTGCTGGGCTTTTTTTTTTTTTTCAGAAGAATCTCACTCTGTTACCCAGGGTGGAGTGCAGTGGCATGATCTTGGCCTCACTGCATCCTGTGCCTTCCAGATTCAAGAGATTCTCCTGACTCACCCTCCTGAGTACCTAGGATTACAGATGTGAGCCACCATGCCTCGCTAATTATTATTATTATTATTTTTTGTATTTTTAGTAGAGATGGTTTTTTACCATGTTGGTCAGGGTGGTCTCCAACTCCTGACCTCAAATGATCCACCCACCTCAGCCTCCCAAAATGCTGGGATTACAGGTGTGAGCCACCACACCTGGCCAAGAGCACAACAACACTCTATGTGTCATTAGAACTACCCCTTGTGACTCCTCTCACCTTACACATGCCGATTCTCCTTGTCGTGCTCCCACAAGGCCGTGTCGCCTGCTTCTGTTCCTTGCCCAGTCCTT
The DNA here is from genome assembly GCF_000001405.40 of Homo sapiens. Classification (NCBI taxonomy): domain Eukaryota; kingdom Metazoa; phylum Chordata; class Mammalia; order Primates; family Hominidae; genus Homo; species Homo sapiens. The sequence goes on from NW_018654717.1 coordinate 4,902,264, forward strand.
GGTCTCCTTCTAGCCCCACTCTGTTCCTCTTGCAGTGTCATGGCCTTCAGCTGCAGCTCCGTTCAGTTGGCTCCCAGATCTACAGCTTCATCCCTGAACTCTCTGCTGAGTTTTCTATCCACGTTTCCAAACAACAAATGGAACAGCTCCACATGGGAAAATTCAAAGATCCTCAAACTCATTTTGCCCAAAACTAAGTTCATCATTATTATCATCATCATCTCCAAAACCTGTCTCCGTGTGTTTTCTATGAGTCACTGAGTCCACCTTGCTCGATATTCCTGCTTGATTCTTGACTCTTTTCTCTTGCTCACATCTCAGCATCTGCCAAATAACAGCATGAACTTTATTATTATTAGAACTTTTTTATTACAAATGCAGAATTCCAAATCAAGTTAGATTAAACAAGGAAAAGGGATGTATTGGCCCATGAAAACAAAACGTAGAAAGGAAGTTTTCCCAGGAATGGGGGCAGATTTCTGCCTTCGCCTCTCATCTCAGCCTCTGTTTTGGCATGGCCTCATTCTTTCCAGCTTCTTCGTGTGGACGGGACCCAGGGCCACTGGCAGCTCTGAATGCATCCCCTGATAACAAGAATGAGAAGAGACACTTAGCATATACCAAGTACCATTCTAGGCATGAATTCTAGGCAGAGCTCATAAGGCAAGAAGAAAAAAAATTCTCTACTTCAGATTTATTTCTCAAAAGAAGACATACAAGTGCCCAAAAACTATGAGTACATGCTCAGTATCGCTAATCATCAGAGAAGTGCAAATTAAAACCCCAATGAGACACCATCTCAAACCAGTCAGAATTGCTATTATCGAAAAGTCTAAGTACAACAATTGGCGTGGATATGGAGAAAAGGGGACATTTCTACACTCTTGGTGAGAATATAAATTAGTACAACCTCTGTGGAAAACAGTATGGAGATTCCTGAGGGATCTAAAAATAGAACTACCTTTCGACCCAGCAATCCCAATGCTGGATATCTACCCAAAGGAAAAGAAATCATTCTATCAAAAAGATACCTGACCTGGCATGGTGTCTCACACCTGTAATCCCAGCACTTTAGGAGGCCGAGGTAGGCAGATCAAGACTGAGGTCAGGAGTTCAAGACTGGCCTGGCCAACATGGTGAAACCCCATCTCTACTAAAAACACAAGAATCAGCCAGGCATGGTGGCAGGCACCTGTAATCTCAGCTATTTGGGAGACTGAGGCAGCAGAGTTGCTTGAACCCAGGAGATGGAGGTTGCAGTGAGCTGAGATCGTGACACTCCACTCTAGCCTAGGCAACAGAGTGAGACTCTGTCTCAAAACAAAACAAACAAACAAACAAAAAGACACCTGCACTCATATGTCTACCAAAGCACTATTCCCAAGAGCAAAGACAGAATCAATCTAAATGTCCATCACTGGATGACTGGATAAAGCAATGTGGTATGTATACAACATGGCATACTATGCAGTCATAAAAAAGGATGAACTCATGTTTTTTTGCAGCAACATGGGTGGAACTGGAGGCCATTATTTTTTTCCCCCAAGGACAGGGTGGTGTTCTTATTTTTTAAAATTTTTATCTCAATAGCTTTTGGGATACAACTGGTTTTTTGTTACATGGATAAATTCTATAACGAATTCTGAGATTTTGGTGCACCTGTCACCCAAATAGTGTACATTATCCCTAATATGTAGCTTTTTATCCCTAGCCTCCCTCCCTACCCTCTGCCTTCTGAGTCTTTAAAGTCCTTTATAGAGCTCTGTATAAAACCTCTGAGTACTCATAGCTTAGCTCCCACGTAGAAGTGAGAACATGCAGTTTTTAGTTTTCCACGCCTGAGTTACTTCACTTACAATAATGGGGAGGTCATTATCCTAAGTGAATTAACTCAGAAACAGAAAATCAAACACTGCATGTTCCCACTTCTAGGTGAGAGATAAACAATGGGTACACATGGACATACAGAGAGAAGTAATAGACACTGGGGATTTTAAAAGCGGAGGAGAAGGGGAGGGAGGCGAGAGTTGAAAAATTACCTGTTCGGTACAATGTCCACCATTCAGGTGATGGGTACACTAGAAGCTCAAACCTCACCATTATGCAATATATCCATGCAACACACCTGCACATGTACCCCCGGAATCTATAATTTTTTATAAAGGCCTGGCCGGGCGCAGTCACTCACACCTGTAATCCCAGCACTTTGAGAGGCCGAGGTGGGGGGATCACCTAAGGTCAGGAGTTTGAGACTAGCCTGGAGAACATGGTGAAACCCTATCTCTACTAAAAATACAAAAATTAACTGGGTGTGGATGAATGTGCCTGTAATCCCAGCTACTTGAGAGGCTGAGGCAGGAAAATTGCTTGAACTGGGGAGGCAGAGGTTGCAGTGAGCCGAGACCGTGCTGTTGCACTCCAGCCTGGGTGACAAGAGCAGGACTCCATCTAAAAAGACAAAAAAAAAAAAAAAAAAAAAAAAAAAGGCGGGGTGCGGTGGCTCATACCTGTAATCCCAGCACTTTAGGAGGCCGAGGCGGCTGGATCACGAGGTCAGGAGATCGAGACCACCCTGCAGTGAAACCCCGTCTCTACTAAAAAAAAAAAAAAATACAAAAAATTAGCCAGGCGTGGTGTTGGGCACCTGTAGTCCCAGCTACGCAGGAGGCTGAGGCAGGAGAATGGCGTGAACCCGGGAGACGGAGCTTGCAGTGAGCCGAGATTGTGCCACTGCTCTCCAGCCTGGGTGACAGAGCGAGACTCTGTCTCAAAAAAAAGAAAAAAGAAAAAAAATTACGAAGGCCAAATGGATAAATATTGGTATTGAACTTAGAAAACTGAAATTTAGAAAATTCACTAATGGAATATAATCTGGACCAGCATGAAATATAATCTGGTCCATACCGAATGGAACAATCACTGGGTCTGGAACCAGGAAGTAGAGTCACTTATCAGGCTTGGTGCATTTTCCCACCTTAAAGATTGGGTGTTTCAAGTAAAAGAGCCCTCATGAGGCATAGTAGGAGAAAGTGTGCATGGTGGACTCTGGGGCAAGAAACTGAAATCAGAAGCTCAATGGTGCTAATTAAAGTACACATGTCTTTGCATTATTTTATGAAAATTAAGGGGCCCAACAAAAAATGATTTCTAAATACATGCCTCACCCACCAAAAACAAGCAAACAAACCCATACAGAAGAGAAACAAGACTTTCCTCACAACAGTTTTGGGAATACACCAAAACACAAATAAATGAATCATCAAGGCCTAAAGTTCTATGCCAAGAATTCCTAGCCCTTCAAGTACAGAATCCTCCTTAAAAATATTTTTTAATGTTTCAAATTTCTAAACGCTAGTGGCTGTCATGAGAAAATGTGTGATGCTGAGAAAAGAGTGCACCGTCGTGTAAGATCACTGGTTCAGCTTGCAGGCGATGGCTGATGCATTCCTTGTCGGCCTCTTGCACTGACTCCAAAGTCCCATGGAAGTCTTACAGTCACGGGTGAAATTTCGCTTTTCTTTCGTAGAGCGTTGGGAGGATTTGTACGTGGAAAACATTCAAAGTGCATTCTGAAATTGCCCACTGCAGCCATGCAGATCTCAATAATGTACCCATAGGATGTCTGTTCTACACAATTTTTCTTTCTTTCTTTTTTTTTTTTTTGAGATGGAGTTTCGCCTTGTTGCCCAGGCTGGAGTGCAATGGCTTGATGTCAGCTCACTGCAACCTCTGCATCCTGGGATCAAGTTTTTCTCCTGCCTCAGCCTCCTGAGTAGCTGGGGTTACAGGCATGCGCCACCATGCCGGGCTAACTTTGTATTTTTATTAGAGACAGGGTTTCACTATGTTCACCAGGCTAGTTTCAAACTCCTGACCTTGGGTGATCCTCCCACCTCGGCCTCCCAAAGTGCTGAGATTACAGACGTGAGCCACTGTGCCCAGCCTTTTTTTTTTTTTTTTTTTTTTTTTTCCAGACAGGGTCTCACTCTGTCGCCCAGGCTGGAGTGCAATGGAGATCCTCCCACCTTGGCCTCCTAAGTAGCTGGGACTTTAGGGATGCGCCACTGTGCCCAGTTAATTTTCGTATTTTTCTACAGATGAGGTCTTGCTATGTTGCTGAGGCTGGTTTCAAACTCCTGGGCTCAAGCGAGCCTCCTGTCTTGGCCTCCCAAAGCGTTGGGATCACAGGCTTGAGCTACCACACCTGGCCTCCACTGTCCCTTTCTAAGATAAATAATTACAAATTGCAACCTTAGGTAACTGCACAAGTGGAATTGATGTCATGGTTTTAGACCCCAGAATACTGTGCATGCAGATAGCACTTACGGTCGTGGATGGTATACTCTGTTTTTCTTCTGGTTCTACATTCACAGTTCCTCTGGGTGTTTATTGACTTCTCATTAATCAGAAGAGAATTTGTAAACATAATGAAGCCTAAATGGCGAGCACATGAATATGAATTCCACAGCATGTATAAATTAAGCCTCCCACTGCAGCATCTGGGGGAGATAGTTCTCCCGGGACTGAATGCTGCCAACTGGCAGGTGTGTTATGAGACGCTATTTTCATCTTCCATGGTTTAGGGTTTAGGATGTGACTGGAAACATTCCGTGTGCTTGGGGAGGAGCTAGCCCAGTGATCCTTGTGGGAACTGTTATTCTACATCATGCCCCACTGGGCTTGGGAGTGAATAAAAACCAATGTTCAAGAATGCCATTTCCACATTCAGCTAGTTCATCTGTTTTCTTGTCCTCTTGCACCTAAATGTGGCCAAAAGATCTTCTAAAATAGAATGCAGTCAGCCTTGTATGAAATCAAATTAATTGCTTATTTTTATTTTACCAGAGAATATTTGTCCTGAGTATTATTAGCCTGCAAAGCTATTCTATTAATATTTATGAATAATAAAGAACAGAAATAGGGAAAGCCATTTGAGTTAAACATTAAAAAGAGAAAGCTATATAGTGTGTTCTACATTTGCAGTTCTGCGAGCTGTCAGGAAACTGAATTCTTCCGGTAAGGAGAGAAAGGCATCTATTTGTTGGATTTCTCCACCTCAGTGTTCACTTTTACCATGCCCAGTCAGATGTGTATGAAGTTCAAAACGTTCTAAGAAATGCCCTGCCCTAGCCAGGATCAAAGAGAAAGCTTTCAGAATGGAATATCAGCTGTGCAGCTCCCTTTGTTCATGTTTTCCGCTCCATGTTATTTTTTTTTACTATTAGCAGTGACTACGTTTCAGAAACAAAGCCGCCTGCTATCTAACACAAGTGAAGGAATAGGCTTTGTGTGTGTGCATGCAGGCATGTGTGTGTGTCTGTGTTGGAGAATATCGATCTATGTGTTTCCATGTAAGAGGTGTTATTTACATGTCTAACCTTCAATAGTGTTACTTTCTTTAGGCTATTACAAAATATTCAGCAGGCTGTAATTAACGTCTCTGGAGACTGCTAAACCCCAAACAGACGTGTCAGAGAGTGACGGCTCAGTCACCTCTTCATAGGAAGGGTCAGAAGTTGTGTCGTGAAGGCACTCATGCTGAGAGGCTTCTAGCTTAGCAGACAGAGCATTGGCCTGGGGTTAGGAGACCTTGTTGGGGGCTGCAATTCTTCTTCTTTTTTTTTTTTAATCTGGAAGATGAAAAGTTTGGATTAAGTCAGGAGGTCTGCAGTCTGGCTGCACATTAGACTCACTTGATTTTTTTTTTTTTAAATAGTAATGCAAAAGCCTTACTCCAGACCAATTAAATTAAACTTCTGGGGCTGAAACACAGATCTGGGTATGTTTTTTAAAGCTCCCGGTTGAGTCTCCGTGCCCTCTGAGGTCTCCACAGTGCGAACCCTACTTAGATTTGCTCCTGTCAAGTCAGGTGCCCATGGGGCCGGCTCTATCTCCTCAGCTGTCTGCCTTGCCCACCCGTTCCGTCTTTAATGGAAGGTTCCACGTGCATAAGACATTAGGACCGCAGCCCCAGCAGAATCTGCTGGAACGATCAACGTAATTAGCTGGACTACCCAACCTAAAGGGTGAAGAGATTGAGAGAGTGGAGTGAAGCAGCTATTGTTAAAGGAAATCTTCATGGTTCCTAAGAAAACTACGGGACGGCAGCAGCGAAGCCAGCTCTTTTCTCCCTTGGAACTCTGCACAGCAAGCTCATTTGCCAGTTTGCATGGGCTACGATTCCTCTTTTGCAGCGCAGCGCTGTGCTGCAGAGATAAACTAACTTAATCAACAGCAAGAGCTGCATTTTGATCTCGTAATCATGTCACATAATTTCCTTTTCCAGGGCAGTGCCACACTTCTCTCTTTGAGTCCTCTCATCTCTCAAAGCTTTTTATTTTTTCTCTGACTTCTTTTCAGCCCATCCATCCCCAAGTCATATCATCCGCAGACCTGCCCTACTGCTGCGTGTCCCCAACACCTTCTGCGAGAATCTTTGATTCTCGCCCCCTCTTTTGTGTGCTGCCCCACTTCTTCCTACCCCTCCGTTTCCCAGCCAATATTGCTGGGCCGCCAATGGCTGTGAGGATGTGACAATCTGAAACACAGGCATGAATAATGAATTGGGAGAGCCAGACTGAAGCCAGTGGAACTGAGAACAGTATTTCAGAAATGCAGCCAAATCATTTAGAGAGAGGCAATATTGAGTTCCTGCAATCCCTGGAAGACCCAGACACACTGTTAATTATGAAAACGCAGTTCTGACTACGTAAGAATCCGCCTTCTTCCAGAGGCCGACTAAAGCTTCCTCCCATGCTTTGGGGCTGAAACTTGGAGCTTGCCTGACCCCATTGCCCTGACCGGCTAGAGAGCCTGCTACCTCATTCCAGAGTTATCACTGCCACACCTCGGGGTCGGGGGTGGAGGCTGGATAGGGCTGGTTAGAGGGTCTGGAACTAGAAATTCCACATAGCAGCCAGATGAGGAAACAGGGAAGACGAGCAATCTAGAGCTTGAGGTTGCCAGAGGGGAAATAGGCCAGAGCTCTGGAAGCCAAGGAGGGCACTGTTGCTCTTCCCAGCTATTAGGAGTCAACCTAAGCACCGGCCCTGGGCTCAGAGCATTTCTTTTTTATTTTTATTTTTATTTTTTGGGGACAGTTGCCCTCACTATGTTGCCCAGGCTGGTCTCGAAATCCTGGACTCAAGCGATCCTCCTGCCTTGGCCATGCAAAGTGCTAGGATTACAGGCGTGAGCCACTGCGCCCAGCCTCAGATTATTTCTGATTCCAGACTGTTCCCATCTAGTCTGAGCCCTCCTTTGGACCTCCTTCAACAAGCAATACTTGGTGATTGGTCTGTGAAGCCCTTGGTTTAATCTGGGGACTTAACTGGAACTGGGATAGCACAAGAGGACTTCAGGACAATCATCTTGGCTTAGTATTCTTACTGCACCTCTGCATCCAGACACATCTTTGTAAAATGTAAACTTGGCTATCCCGCTCTCTTGCTGAAAACCTGTCAGCAGGTCCCCGTCAACTACAGAATAGAGGCTAAATTCCTAATCATGGCATTCAAGACCCACCATGACTTGGCCCAAACTTCCATCTCCAACCTCATGTCTCCCCGCTCCCTAACCTCACCTGACAATCCTGCAGCGCCAAATGCCTTGTCCTTTCTGCATGCTCTGCCTCCCTCCCTTGCATGCCTTTGCTCAGGCTACGTCCTTGGCAGCAATTTCTTCCCCAGTCATCTTGTCTGGTGTAATGAGCTCCTACTTAGCCTCCAAGAGTCAGGTTAGGAGTCCTCTTTTCCGGAAAGGTCTCCTGGTCCCTCGAACTAACCAAACTCTCCTCCCCTCATGTTCCCACCATGCCTACTCCCCACTGCACATTGAAAGCATCTGTTTGGAACCCTGGAATGGATACTCTGAGGCCAGACACCATGTCTTTTTCACCCTTTAAGGTGCCTGGCATCCGATACAATGCCTGGAATATAGTAGACACGGGTTTCTATTTGTCTAGAGAATCCTGGCTGGGGTAGGAGTATAGGATAATTCCAGTCTCATAGGCATGGATATGACCATAGTCCCAGCAATCTGAGCAATGGTCCCCTTCCCTGCTCCTTCACAATAGAGAGCTCCCCAGCACCCACCCCACAATTCTAATGTGCCACAGCTGTGATCTCATGGTATCAGTTGCTCCCAGTTCCAGACTCTTTTCATCTTTATTCTGCCTTGGCAGGCAGCGGAGACACGCCCTGATGACTCCTGCATTGCCAATGGTGAGTTGAAGTTTCCAAGCCAAACCTGACTTCATTTTTGCTAAATAAGGGCAATGCTTGAGTCATGGAGGAACAGGTAGAGCAGGTTTGAATCTTTATCTGCGAATTCAAATGTGCAAAAATATGTATCTTGATTTTTTTTCATAGCTCAATTTAACTTCTATTTAACGTCCCATTTCTTTTCCTGGGGTGGCAGAGTCAGTTTTCATCCTCTCCCTTTTCCCTAGGGTGGCATCAGAGCCCCAGGGGGTTTGTGTGGTGCTGGGTGGGATGTATCTTGTCCTCATCCTCAGCATCGTTTGTTCACTCTGGTTCTAGCTGGGAGGCCCGGTCTTGTCAGATATCACTGTCCATCCAGGTGGCTCCTGAAGGGTGGCCTCATTCCCACCCGCTGTCTGCCATTCTACAGGGCCAAGAAGCCATGTGAAGGCCATGATAGGTCCTAGAGAATACTGTAGGCTGATTAAGGCCATGTTCCTCTATTCTCAGATCCCATAAACTTCTATGTGAAGGTTTTCTTTGTTGTTGTTTTTTTTTTTTTTGTTTTGTTTTTTATGGAGTTTTGCTCTTGTTGCCCAGGCTGGAGATCTCAGCTCACTGCAACCTCCATTTCCCACGTTCAAACGATTCTCCTGCCTCAGCCTCCCAAGTAGCTGGGATTACAGGCATGCACCACCATGCCAGGCTAATTTTGTATTTTTAGTAGAGACAGGATTTCTCCATGTTGGTCAGGCTGGTCTCCAACTCTTGACCTCAGGTGATCCGCCCGCCTTGGCCTCCCAAAGTGCTGGGATTACAGGCGTAAGCCACCGCGCCCAGCCCTATGTGAAGGTTTTTAACTGGTTGGCTTGCTGTTTGCTTGGTTTGGTTGGTTTTGGCTCCAGCATCCCTAAAACTTGACATGGGACCCAGGGTTCATGGACCTCTTTCTCAGGGACCTACCACTATCTACACTCTCAACTCCCAGACCCAATTCATTCTCCTCCCAGTCTTAGGCAGCCTTTTCTAGCCTATATGTATGCAGGCGTGAAAGGCAGAACCTCTTCCTATTATTCATTTGATATTCTATGTATCTCTTGTCTCTGTCCTGTCTCCGTTTCCCTCAGAGCTTACCTTTGAAACTTAAAAGCCAGAAGAAGACTTTTTTCTCTCTCTGATCTTTGCCGTCACGTCCCTTCCCTGTGTCAATGATCACAGACTACAGTCTAGTCATTGGCTGGAGAGAAGGAGCAAAGTGTCAAAGGAAATTCACAAGGGAAAATACATTTAAGAAGATAAGCAGGCATTTCTCTAGTTTTACAAGGAATCAGGCACTGCTGTAAGGACTTTGCAGGCATTAAGTCATTAAATCACAGCAGCTCAATGGGGCATATATTGTTATTCCCATTTTACAGATGAGAAAACTGAGTAGGAACCAAGTGGGGGAGTTAGAACTTGAACTCAGGCATCTAGCTCCAGAATTTGCACACTTAACCACTAAAATGACGGCTTCTTATACATCATTGCCCCAACACACATGTTATTCCATTGTAGATTCTTCTTCCTTGAAGATGTATAGGAAAAGGAAAGTTTAAAAATATAATAGAGGCTTCTTATTCAATTCAAAGTGCTTTTGCTGGGATTTAACAAATTTTGGTTTTTATGAGAAATGTATCAGTCATTTGTGTGCCTGTTAAAGAAAGAAAAGTGTAGACATCTTTAAATACAATCTCCTACCACGAGCAACACCATTGCCTTCATCTGCTTGGAAGTATTTATTAAACCCTTCAGCAGTGGGGTAAGAATTAGAGGGCTTTACTTTGTTTTGTTTTGAGACAGAGTCTTGCTCTGTCACCTGGGCTGGAGTGCAGAGGCACCATCTCGGCTCACGCACTGCAACCTCTGCCTCTTGGATTCAAGTGATTCTTCTGTCTCTACCTCCCGACTAGGTGGGATCACAGGCATGCATCACCACGCCTGGCTAATTTTTGTATTTTTAGTAGAGACGTGGTTTCACCATATTGGCCAGGCTGGTCTTGAACTCCTGAACTCAAGTGATCCATCTGCCTCGGCCTCCAAAAGTGCTGGGATTACAGGCTTGAGTCACCATACCCAACCCTTTGAGGGTTCTGTCTAAGAACTATGATCCTTTTTAATGAAAAGATGTCCAAGAAACACTTGTGTGCTTCTAATTCCTCTAAAGCAATCATTGTTAACATTCTGTAGATCAAAGGATTTTTGCAATCTCTAAGTACCTTCCCAGAAAAAAAAAGATGCATAGATCCAAATGCATAAACAGTTTGTCATAAAATTTTAGGCAAATTACTGAGCTCTCTGCTCTGAATTCTTCTCAGAGAGAAAGTTACTTTACTGGTTCCTGTACCTTCAACAACTAGAAGAGAATAAACTCATTGAGATAGACCCATTCTCCTCCGACTCCAGCCCATGGATAATGTCTTTCTATAGTACCATAGGAGACAGCAAATCTTCCCCCACTTCTTTGTCCACCTCAGATTCTCTGCACATGCCTGGTGCTAACAGAAGACAGTTCTTTGTGTGTTGCTTGTCTGGGTACTTGTCTCAGAGAGCCAAGCACTGACTTTTTGCAGGAACTGATTAGAAGTGGCCACTCTGGTTCTAGACAATTTGGGGATTGCCCACATAACTCTACATGCCTTGTAGGAGCCAGGTAGGAAAGCACAGACACTCTTGTCCTCTAAGCCTCTTTATGTCTGCAAGGTAGACAAACCCATGACTGGGATTTCCCCTTTCAGGAGGAAATTATTTAACAGCTCAAGTTTTAAAATATCTTCTCAAAACAATTAATGGGTTTCCCTGCAACTGAAGAGTATCATGGAAGTGAAATTAACTCAGCTTCTCAATTCTCTAATCAGGCAGCAGAGAGATGTTTGGCCAAGGCCAAACATTATTCTTTTTTGAAGGAAGCACAGAGATGGTTCAGAATAAACTTTCCATAAGCAATTCAGAGAGCTTTGCAAGAAATCATTGTACCAGCAAGTGCAAACACTTGCATGATTATCATTTGCGATTAGTTGGATTTATGCCACCAAGCTGATTATTAAGAATGCACAGGCCAAACAAAGCAGATAAAGGCAATATCTTCTTTCATTTCTTTTCTTCCTTTCCTCTGGTGTTGGGTGGCATGGATTATCTTTTTTGCTCCTTCCTGTCAGCATTCTCTTCATAAGTTTCTTCGATGATTTTTTTTCTTGTGATCTATTCTTGCTATCAAGTTTTAGTATCTTAACTGTGTTCATCAATTCCTGTATTATACCCGTAGAAAAGGCCACCTGATTTCTTATGTTGATCTCTGAGCCTTTGTGGTTACACATCCATCAGTAACTATTCTGGACATGTTCCCTGTTATGAGCATATTTATAACTATATAAAGTACATGCATATAAAATCGTACAAGCACATTCCATATATTATAAAATTCCACTGAAATAAATTGTAAAATGATGAGATGAAATCATTGTAAATAGAGCTCAAATATTTTATTCCCTCTCTTAATAGACTGTCCACTCCACCTTGGGGTTTAGGAATCCTGCTTTGGAACATAGGGCTAGTGTTTCATCAAGAAAATAAACATCAGAGCAAAATACTCCAAAATATTTAAAACTGACTGTCACTGCCTTCATCATGACATGTCCCTTAACACCTGACATGTATATAGGTGAATTTGTAAAAGACTTAAAAAAAACTTACCTTATTATATCTTTAGTGTCAACTTTATAAACATGGATTATTCCTTTACTCAAAACTCTGTGAACTCTACCAAGTTTGTCTTCTGGTACCAATTTTATGACCAGCTTTGATGCAAAAGTATGAAATGTGTATGAGTGTGTGTGTGTCTGTGTGTGTGTGTGTGTCAAGTAAAGAAATACTTCAGGTTTATAGCATTTAAAGTAAAAATAATCTGATGAGTTTATGGAGTTTCAGAAATGTACCAGCTTCCTCACTGTGCCATGGTGTAACCGCTCGCATGTCATAATTGATTTCAGCATATGCCTCAGAGAGGCAAAAATTGAAGTGGCTGTGAGAAGTAATTAGAAACTGAAGTTCAGCTGTTAAGAATTTTCTGGGCTGCTGTTTCTTGACATAGTGCTGAAGAGATAGCCTCATCTGCTGTTCCACTGAAAACAACAAAAATAGATACCAGTTTCATTTACTTATTTTTAAATAAATACACCTCTTTCTAAAGCATTTATGAACATACAAAAGAAGAAAAATCATTGGAGAGTATGAGTTAGTTGGGTGTTGGATTGTTTGTTTTGAGACAGAGTCTCACTCTGTCACCCAGGCTGGAGTGCAGTCCTGAGTTGAAGTGATTCTCCTGCCTCAGCCTCCCGAGTAGCTGGGACTCCAAGTGTGTGCCACCATGCCTGGCTAATTTTTGTATTTTTAGTAGAGACAGAGTTTCACCATGTTGGCCAAGCTGGTCTTGAACTCCTGACCTCAAGTAATCTGCCCACATCTGCCTCCCAAAGGGCTGGAATTACAGGCATGAACCACTGTGCCTGGCCAGAGTATGAGTTAGTTAAAAGAACAAATACTTATACACAACTGAGCACTGAATCCACCTTTTGTACTGGGAAAATATTTTAAAATGTCATTTATTTGAGTTCTGGTTTTGACAACTGTGCAAAGTGTGAGAGACGTAAGAAAAATCCTTGAGTCCAACCAAAGAGGAGAGTCTGTAAGGAAAAACCCACGAGCAATCTATGAACATGTGACAAAGCTAAGAACCCACAGAAGGAACTGTTAAGAAGTACATCTTTTTTCAATCTTGGAGCTAGTCTCTCTTACCGAGAACTCGCAACCATAATCCAATTTCCATAGGAATTTTTTTAGCAGAAATACTTCAAACCTAGAATTGATTTTAAAGTTTCCCTTTGAAGGGAGTGCCCTTCTGGTGCCAGGTAGAAGTAAATGCACATTCTCTCTGAAGGAACTTACCTTCAAACATGGTTTCAAAAATTACTAAATGTAAAGCACCAAGGAACATGTATCTACAATCAAAATTATAACAAATATATAAACGCAAGGTATCATGAGTGAAAGATTATAAAATCAATATAAAAGATCTCAAAATAATGTTTGAAAACAAAAATACAGTAAATTCAATTTAAAACTCAATATTCAAATTACATAACAAATAAAGCTTAAGACTAGGTTAGTGAAATGGAAAATAGCTCTTCAGGAATTAACCAAAATGCAGCACAAAGAGAAAATTAAATTAAAAATTTTCAGAAGATATTAAGAATTTTATAGTATGGAGTGAGTTTAAGAATCACAGAATCACAATCAGAATTACAGAACATAATAGAAAGAATGGGGAAGTAGCAATATTCAATTTGAAAATGGCTAAGGATTTTCAGCCGGGCATGGTGGCTCATATCTTTAATCCCAGCACTTTGGGAGGCTGAAGTGCATGGATTAGTTTGAGCTCAGGTGTTTGAGACCTGCCAGGGCAATATGGCAAAATCCCATCTCTACAAAAAATACAAATACAAAAATTAGCCAGGTGAGGTAGTACATGCCTGTAGTCCCAGCTACTCAGGAGGCTGAGGAGGGAGAATCACTTGACCCTGGGAATTGGAGGTTGCAGTGAGTTGAGACCCTGTCTCAAAAAAAAAAAAAAAAAAAAAAAAAAAAAAACCAAGAATTTTCTGTTACTGTTGAAAGATTCCAATTATTATATTTAAAACACATTCAAAGAAGATTAAATCTTTAAGAATCTACAGCTATACACATCATAATCAAATTGCAGAAGGAAAATAATGAGAAGATTTATCTAAAAGCAGCGAGAAAGAAGTATCAGCTACAAAAGGGTAACAATTAGACTGGCAACTGACTTCTTTACAGCAACAATGGAAGTCAGAAGACAGTGGAACAATACTTTCACTAAGCTGAGGGGAAAAAAATGCTCAAAACCTAGAATTTTACACCAACAAATCTATTATTTGAAGGTAGAATAAAGACATTTTAAGATACATAAAAACTGATAGTGTTTATAATGTTTTCATCAAACAGACGGTTGCTATAAGAATTTCTAAATAAGCATTTTATACAGAAAGAAACAAATGTCAGATATAAGATCTGGGATGAAAGAAAAAATGGTGAGTAAAGAAATTCATAAAATTGTGGGGATACATAAGCACATTTTAATGTGGAAGACAATAGTATCTTCTTTCAGAGATAAACAAAAAATATAAACTACACAATGGCATGGAAGTAAGAAAGAGGTGATTGGAGTTAAACATTTATAGATTGAGTTGTTTGCGAGAATGCTAAATATATTGGTTAGTTTTATAAATCATTTGCATTCATATTAAAAACTGCAAGGGTAACGACTAATGGAATACAATGCACATATTCAACAATTCTACTTTAAGAACTTGCAAGAATAGCAACAAACCTGAAACATTATAAATGACTATTAATAGAAAAGTAGTTAACATATTTATGTTATAACAGTAGAATGGTATGCAGCCATTAAAGATGCAGTAGAGGCCGGGTGCGGTGGCTCATGCCTGTAATCCCAGCACTTTGGGAGGCCAAGGCAGGTGGATCACCTGAGGTCAGGAGTTTGAGACCAGCCTGCCCAACATGGCAAAACCCTGTCTCTACTAAAAATACAAAAAAATTAGCTGGGCATTGTGGCAGGTACCTGTAATCCCAGCTACTTTGGAGGCTGAGGCAGAAGAATCACTTGTACCTGGGAGGCAGATGTTGCAGTGAGCCGAGATTGCACCACTGCACTCCAGCCTGGGCATCAAGAGTGAGACTCTGTCTCAAAAAAATGAAAAAAAAAAAAAAAAAATGCAGTAGGTACATATGTATTTCTTTGAAAGAGTCTCCAAAATAAAAGCAAAGTTCAGAATGGTGCATATCATGTGCGACTAATTTTAGTGGAAAAAAATTAGTAGAAGGGATAAAAAAATTATGTACGTACATAGATGCTTGTATTTTCATAGAATATCTCTTAAAGATACATAAGAAACTGACAACAGTAATTGTCTGTGGGTTGACTTTTGAATTTCCTAATGCATATATATTCAAAAGAAAGATTTCTTTTAGAAACTAATCAAATAAACAACAATAGCAAAAAGCAGGAGATAAACACACAGAAATCAACACCCAGAGAAAGATACACATGCACACATACAAATACACAAATATAAATTCATAAAGGAACCCATGACAAAACGTTCCATCTTTAAACGGTGTTCCTTTGTGGAAGAAAAGCAGTTAAAAGAAGCACTCTCACTTTTCCTCCTCTCATATATGATTACCAAGCTTTAATTCTTACATTTGTTGGAATGTCTAGTATAAACGTTACTCCTTCTCTCCTCTGCACCCTCTGTACATTTCTTGAGGGCCTGACTCAATTACATTATTTCCTTTCTCATTCTCATAAAACATATAGTATAAAGCTTTGAATGTCGGAAGGATTTCTAGGATCAATACAAAAAAAAAAGCTTTGTATAACATATAGTAGGTGCTAAATAAATAATTAACATATATAAGTTACTATGCACCATATTTTATGGGTTTGAAATTGTTTAAGCTACTAATTTTATCTGAATCATATTGAGATTTTTATAACATGATATGCAATGGAATGCAATATGAGTTTTGTTTGGCTTTAAATTTGAAAGTTTACAGGTTTCTTGCACTTCTAGATTGCTTGCTAAATTTGGCACAACAGGGAAGCCTTACTTTAGGCATTTAGAAAAGCAAAAAAAATGATATAAAATGGTCTTATAAGCCACCATATTAACATGTTCTTAATGTCTTCATTCTGTGTGACCTAAAAGTGTGCATACGAAATGCATTGCATGATCATGTTTGTATATGTCACCTTCTTAAATTTTATCTGAAATCAGGATCTGTTGGGCTAAAGGCCAGATTTGAGTATTAGCTGGGGGTAGGTTCTTGGGCGTGGAACTAGGGGTAAAGCATTAATTCTAGATACCCAAACCAACACTTACTGGGGTTTTCAGGGATCTCTGAGTTGTACAGATTAGTTGCAGCTAGAGATGCTGAACTGCATCTTAGTGGTAGATGAAGTAAGTAGCTTTCTATGTACTGAAGTTATCTGGACAAAATCACTTTCTTATGCCTTCATTTGTATTCTAAACAGAAAGAAATAGCCATTGAAGATAAGCATGAGACGGTCCCCTTCTAAATATGTATGTTGGAATAATTGTTTCTTACTTTTGTTTTTCTTGCCACAAAAGCATTTCTGCAAATGAAAGCATAGGGAGGAATCTGAAATATAAAATAGATAAATGTGGAATGAGGTGGGGCATCTGAGAACCCCAATTTCCAATTTCTAGCTCTATGACCTCTATGATTTTGAAGTGCCAATGTGAGTTTCTCTAGAAATACAATTTTTAGCAGCATCAGGATTAATATGAACATTTCAGAAGTTAAACTGATTGTTTAAAAAAAAAAAAAAGAGTAAGCCAAGCATGATGGCTCATGCCTGTAATTGCAGCACTTTGGAAGGCACAGGTGGGTGAATTGCTTGAGTCCAGGAGTTTGAGAACAGCCTGGCCAACATGGGGAAACTCCATCTCTACAAAAAATACAAATATTAGCCAGGCATGATGGTGTGTGCCTGTAGTCCCAGCTACTCAGGATGTGAGGTGGGAGGATCTCTTGAGCCCGGGAGGTGCAGGTTGCAGTGAGCCACGATCGTGCTGCTGCATTCCAGCTTGAGTGATGGAGCGAGACCCTGCCTCAACAACAACAACAACAAAAAAAAAAAAAAAAAAAAAAATAGAGAGAGAGAGAGAAAAGAAAGAGTAAACAGCAAGATATTATACAATTCTGAGGAACTCGGGTTCAAATCTCATCTTCCCACTCTCATGCTTTATGAAATTAAACAAGTTAACCTCTCTGAGCCTCAGTTTCTTCATCTGTGAAATGAGAATAATCTATTTGCCACATGAGTTAGAGGGATTCAATCTGTCGCTTCTTGACAGCCACCTGGGTCAGAGCAAGTGTTCCCTCGGTGGCAATGACCTAATCTCTCCTCCTCCCACAAAGGCACAGTCATCATTCCTTTGTGCCAGTCTGTGAGCTGAACACTCCTAGAGATGCAAAAAAAAGTCGCAGACAGGTTATAGTCTTCCAAACACCTGCATAGATTTATGTGGGCCCCTTAAAGAGATAATGATTTGTAGCAATAGAATTTTAGCCAGCTGGGCATTTATTGTTTAAGTGTGTCAAGTAGCAGAGTGTTTTGAATGTCAATGATTAGCTTACTTCCACCCAGAGTTTAGACACTTACTTCATGTGTTTGTTTGGAGATCAAGGCCTGCGATACCAAAAAAGGAAATGGAACATAGTTCTCTCACGTGCTCAATCTAGAGAATTAGTTGGAGCTAGGGTCTGTCTAGTCTTTTTAAATGAGCTGTTGTATATACCTTTGCTTTTTAAAAAAGAAAAAGAAAAAGAAAAATCTACATAGCTACAACAGCAAGTGTTATTCAAATGAAATTAAGCATTTTTAAGCACTTTATGAACGGTATGGAACTCTACAAATGTCTGGCAAGCTTCCACCCACACATTTGATTACCTTTCTTATTTTAGTGTGGGTTATAATCAAAGGTTTTAGGATTGTAAGAACGTAAGTCCCCCACCTGCACTGCGGATGCTTGAGAGACAACAGGGTATGTGTGCCTGGGAGTGCACAGACTCCAGGGCCTATGGGAAGAGGTCAAAAGGGAGATGTGGCACTTATGGGCTGCCATTAGCTTAAAATGTTTGAAATAGTTTTGTTTTGTTTTGTTTTTGTTTGTTTGTTTGTTTGTCTGAGATGGACATTCATTCTGTTGCCCAGGCTGAAATGCAGTGGTGTGATTTTGGCTCACTGCAACTTCCACCTCCCGGCTTCAAGTGATTTTCATGCCTCAGCCTCCAGAGTAGCTGGGACTATAGGTGCTCACCACCAAGCCTGGCTCATTTTTGTATTTTTAGTAGAGATGGGATTTCACCATGTTGGCGAGCCTGGTCTCGAATTCCTAACCTCGAGTGATCCACCCGCCTTAGCCTCTCAATGTGCTGGGATTACAGGCATAAGCCACCACGCTCAGCCTAGTATTTTATTTTTAAATGCTATTTTTTTCCAAGTAGGTACTGAATTTGTTTCTGATGTGCAATATCGTGCCTTTTATGGTAGAAAATTTACAAAAATGCGTTATGGAGAAGGGAAAACCTAAATGTAACCTCTGTGTCCCTGGTATTTCCGAACTGTGGCCTACAACTGAAATCATACTGTCTTTGCACTCCAAAGACATTAATGCATGAGCCTTCCCTGGTGTAGTTACTAGAATGTGGCCCACAGTGCATCCCCATCCATTGCCTTACAGCTGTTCTCAGGTTTCTCAAGGTGCTACAATATATGTTATCAGGGACAAGTTTGGGGGTTTGCTTAGTTTTCACTTCTTGGCCTGCAGCCTTTGCTGCCCCTTATAACAGTGCTGCTCTTTGAGGCCATGCATCTCTGTCATCACAAGCAACCCTTCCCAGCCTCCAGGAGGGATACAGTCTCTTCAACTTCCCTTAGTACATCGGTATGTAATCTATAGTACATCTTTGCTCAGGCTCGTAGTAGGATTTTACAGAAGTCTTGGTCATAAACTAACTTAATTCCCAACTGCTTTTAGAATTGGATGCCCTTAGAGTTTCAGGCTCAGACCCAACCTCTGCACCCTGGCCTAGTTTCCATAGATGTCCCCCAGTGCAAGGGCCCCCAGTGATCCCCAACACTTCAGAGCCCAAGCCCTGTTCAGTCTCCAAAAAAGGAAAAAGAGCCTGCTCTTCCTGCTCCAAAACCCCTGGACCAACTCCTCTCTTCCTTGGATTAATTGATCATTGTTCCTTCTCTTTTGATGCCCTTCTCCCAACCAGGTACAATCTGACCCTCAGAGCTCAAGCATGACAATCATAGCAGTCATGAGAACGTCCCAATGTCCGGTATATTTCACCTTTGATAACCACTCATATGGGCAATGGCAGCAGTGCAAGCTGCGTGAGCTTGGTCCAGCCATTTGCTCTCACATTCCTTCCTCCAGCCTGGAGGGAACAGATGTTCAGGGAAGCTTGTCCTTCCCAACTAAGCTGCTGATTGCTCCCAATTTTTCAAAAACTACTGTTTGTACAACAAAGTACACATACCTCTCACGAGCAAAAATAATAATCTGCAAAGATTTGGGGAAAACCTTTTTCTATCTCTGCAGACTCAGGGTGAAGCATCTGCCCTTGGTTTCCTTTCCTGTGTTCCAAGTTTCCCTAGAACAAGGGGCAGTTGTTTGCCTTATGATTTATCTTCCAAAAGGTCCTGCCAAACAGTCCCTCCTACCACAGGGGGACGCGCAACCCCCAAAATACTGTTTACATCTCCTAGTGTGGCAGTGTTTTACACATCAAAAGATACATTCCAGTGTCAATTGAGCGCCCTGTTATATTACATTAATGTTAAGATTTTAAGTAAATCTTTGTTCAACTTTTCAACTCAAACATACTATTCCAGAGTACAGCTCCTACCTTGTCTCAATCATATACACCTGCTGTGGCAGTTGTAGTAATGGATATGCCCCCATTTAAGACTACTTTACAGCCGGGCGCAGTGGCTCACGCCTGTAATCCCAGCTCTTTGGGAGGCTGAGGCAGGTGGATCACCTGAGCTCAGGAGTTCAAGACCAGCCTGGACAACATGGTGAAACCCCATCTCTAGTAAACATACAAAATTAGCTGGGCATGGTGGTGCATGCCTGTAATGCCAGCTACTCAGAAGGCTGAGGCAGGAAAATCACTTGAACCCAGGAGTTGGAGGTTGCAGCGAGCCGAGACTGCGCCATTGCACTCCAGCTTGGACAACAAGAGTGAAACTCCATCTCAAGAAAAAAAAAAAAAAGATTATCTTACAGCACTATAGGGTGGGCGGCCATCCTGGGAGTTGGGCAAGGGGAACGTGGAAAGATTTACAAAGCATTAATATTCTTAAGGAAGATAATCTATTGGTTGATTTGCTAATGCCAGCAAGCCCATTCCTCCTCCCTCACCTCCCCGTGACTAAGAGCAACAAACAACAACTGTCTTTCCTTCCTTTATTGGCATAATTCTACATGAGCAATTGTATTAGCTGTTTAGCTAATGTGGTTGGCGTAACAAATAAAGCCTATTAAAACAAAAAACAATATCGTAGATCACTTGCAAGTGTAGATTGGCTTAATTGTTGTTTTCAGCAATCCCAGATTGACAAAGGGGGTTATAATTTAAGTTGTGCTGATGGCTTTTGTATTAGACAAAAGCTAGTGTTGATTTTAGTAGTTATTATTCTCCCCTGCAGTTTAAATTGCTTTTTTTACTAGGAGCAAAAGAGCAGTAGGAGAAAAACAATTCTAACCTTACATAAATGCAGTTCTACAAATAGATTATTTTCGCAGATTCTGGAACCACTGAGGGAGGCATAGTCACAGATCTAAGGAATTCTAGAATTCTGGAGATGTGGCCATAAATATAACAATCTAGTTTCCTTATTTGGTGCTTTTTAAACTGTCATACCCGTGCCCTGATTATGCAAAGAGGTACCGGGGACAAGAAACTATAAGATAAGATCCCCCAGAGTGACACTGGTACAGAACCTAACACAAGGTAAGGCCCTTGGGAAATATTTGTTGAATTAATGAACCCCCTAGCTAATCAGTTTTACTGGATGTTAAGTAATTTAAAATTTTTTTTTCCTATTAAAACAAACCTGCACAAAGAGTGAGCCTTAGTGTATCCAGATTTTTAAAAATCAGGAGGTGGAGGAACTCCAAGATGGAATGCAGAAAGTAACAAAACAAATTTCACTGTATTGCAATCTCACTGTATTGTGATTTAACCATATTATGATCTAACTGTACTGTATGAAACAACCTCAGTGAAGGATGTTGGGGGAAAGGTGCCGGCCTTAGTAACTTTGGAAATGAGTGGAGTCTGTGAGACTAAAGGCAAAAGAAGCTGCACCTAAGCATTGCACTCTGGTTGATAAAGTAGTTACCTGTGGGGTATGAGTTAATAATTCAGATACTGCTGTACATGTATTCTGGAAATGAACAATTTAAGTAAATGAATGACAGATGGTGGGAGTTAGATTTATCATTGCTGAATGAGAGTTTAGCAAAGAGAGAAGGCTAGAAGAATCCATGTGTTAATGCAGGGGTTCCCAAGTCCTGGATCACAAAGTCTCTTGGCCTGTTAGGAACCAGGCTGCACATCAGAAGGCCAGCAGCAGGTGAGCAGGCAAGGCTTGATCTGTACAGCCACACCCCATCTCTCGCATTACTGCCTGAGCTCCACCTCCTGTCAGATCAGCCGTAGCATTAGATTCTCATAGGAGCATGAAGCCTGTTGTGAACTGCACATGCAAGGGGTCTAGGATGCGCACTCCTTTTGAGACTCTAATGCCTGGGCCACGTGCGGCGGCTCACACCTGTAATCCCAGCACTATGGGAGGCCGGGGCGAGTGGATCACCTGAGGTCAGGAGTTTGAGACCAGCCTGGCCAACATGGTGAAAACCTGTCTTTTATAAAAATACAAAAATTAGCCAGGCATGGTGGCGGGTGCCTGTAATCTCAGCTACTCGGGAGGCTAAGGCAGAAGAATCACTTGAACCTGGGAGGCGGAGATTGCAGTGAGCCAAGGACGCACCAGTGCACTCCAGCCTGGGCAACAGAGTGAGACTCTCTCTTAAAAAAAAAAAAAAAAAAAAAGCCTGATGATCTGTCACTGTTTCCCGTCACCCCTAGATGGGACCATCTAGTTGCAAGAAAACAAGCTCAGGGTTCCCACTGATTCTACATTACAGTGAGTTGTATGATTACTTCATAATGTAATAATAATAGAAATAAAGTGCTCAATAGATGTAATGTGCTTGAATCATCCTGAAAGCATCCCCGCATCCTCCCACCCCGTTCGTGGAAAAACTGTCTTCCATGAAACCGATCCCTGGTGCCAAAAAAGTTGGGGACAGCTGTTTTAATGGATTTCATTTGGAAACATTGTATGAAGATTAATTTAATATAGATACAAATGTATATGTACGGATGGAAATATTTTTAGATATGTTTCCTTGCTCCATCAGCTAAGAAGGACTAGAAGAAACAATTATCACACATACCTAGCAAGTGGATATTGGTTTCTAATGCCATTCACCAGTAAAAAAACACACAGGACTACTTGGAGAAATTGACTGATTCTAGGACTGAGGCTAGAAATACTCAAGATCAGCCTGGAGTTTCTTATAGTGCCAGAAAGTAAGAAAGTGCTTGAAAAAAAAGAACCACAGAGTCCCACAATAATAGGAGTATGTCAAAGACATGAAGGAGCCAACTGAAGGAGCTCTTAATGGCCAAAACTCGAAAAATTGGAGCAATGAAATAAAGTAAAGCAGAATTGGATTATAACCTAAAGTATAAAATAAGTATTCATAAGTCTATGCCAATAGAAATGATTGAATAAATAAATGAGGAAAAGGGGCAAATTTCCTGTGCAGAGAAATTCCAGCTGATTTATGTACTCCTCTCTCAAGTTGGAGTATAACACCTAACTTCTTAAGTGTCGGTTGGACTTAGTGACTTCCTTCAAAACTATACAGTATGAAAGGGGAAGGAAAAGGTAACTTTACCTGGAAAAAGCTGACACATGCTACCTCAGCCAGGAGATCAAGTTCAACATCAACAGTGATAAGTCATATTGATGGTATGTACATTTATTTATGTATTTATTTGTTTGTTTGTTTTTGGTAAGAGACAGGGTCTCACTCTATTGTCCAGGCTGGAGTTCAGCGGCAGAATCATAGCTCACTGCATTCTCAACCTCCCGGGCTCAAGCGATCCTCCCACCCCAGCCTCCCCAGTAGCTGGGACTACAGGTGTGCCACCACTCCCAGCTAATTTATCTAAAAATTGTTTGTAGAGATAAGGTTTCACTATATTTCTCAGGCTGGCATACTCTTGATATGATGTGCTGAGAGATGTACTTCGTCTGACCTCTTCCTCCTAAAAACCCACAACCCCAGTCTAACCATGAAAAAAATAGCAGTCAAATCCCAACTGAGAGACATCGTACAAAATACCTCACCATTCTTCAAAGTTATCCAAAATAAGGAAAGTCTGAGTATCTGTTACAGCCATAAGGAGGAGTATTTGAAAACTTGGCTGTTAAATATAATGTGATATCGTGGCCAGGTGCGGTGGCTCATGCCTGTAATCCCAGTACTTTGGGAGGCTGAGGCAGGAGGGTCACTTGAGCCCAGGAGTTCAAGACCAGCCTGGCCAACATAGTGAGACTCCTGTCTCTCTCTCTCTCTCTCTCTCTCCATATACATATGTATACACACACATATATACACACTCATCTATACAATATATTATAAAATATAACAATATACTATATGTATATAATATTCATATATGTATATATGATATAAAAATTGTATATGGTATATGTGTATTATATATGTTATATTTAGTATTACTATACATATATGTATACACTATATATATGTATAATGTGGTATCCTGAACCAGAAGAAGAATATTAGGTAAAAATAAAGGAAATCTGAATAAACTATAAACTTTAGTTAATATTATATCAATATTGATACATTAATTATAACAAACATATTATACTAATGTAAGATGCTAATAATAGGGTGACCTGAGTACAGGGTATATGGCAACTTTCTACCCTATCCTTGTGATTTTTCTATAAATCTAAAACTATTATAAAATAAAAAGTGTTTAAAGCTGGGCACAGTGCCTCACACCTGTAATCTCAACACTATGGGAGGCCGAGGCAGGAGGATCACTTGAGCCCAGGAATTTGAGACCAGCCTGGGCAATGTGGCAAAACCCCATCTCTATTCTTAAAAAAAAAAAAAAAAAAAAAAAAAAAAAAAAAAAGTGTTTGAATCTCTAGATAGGGCATGGGTAAATGCTAAATATATATGAATCTTTAAAGATAATAGGATGAAGGCAAGCTGGGTGAGAACTGCCCCAGAATGTTAGGATATGCCTTGACTCTTCAGTGGTGGCAACGTTTATGGTTCATAGAACAGCTTCTTAAACTTTGGACTTTGCCTGAGCTAACTCCAAGGAAACTTCAAGGATTTATGATCCTTTTGTTGTTTAAGGCGTGGAATAAAGCGAAAGACTTGGAGTTCTGTAATGATTAACCAAGATGTTTACATTATCCAGGTTTAGAAAGAACTTCATGTATAAAGAATTAAATCAATCACTTAACAGTAAGACTTACTAAAATATTTTGTTTTTATAATTCATGAAAGTGATAAGTAAAGCTACTTTATTCTAGCAGTATTTTCTTGCTCACTTTTAAAGTCCTTTGGAAGTTTATAATGACTGCATATATTTATTCAAATAATTCACTCAACCTCATTTCCCTCTTTTCACTTTTCTTTGCAAATCTAATATCCCAGGTAATTCTTGGGGATGAAAAATCTTATCCATTTAGTTTATATTTAATATAGATACTTAAAAGCCTTTTAAAATGTATTATACTTACTTTTCTTTATATAAGGCCCATCGTAGCTATTGTGTTATAACTTGTGTTTTAATCCTAAGTAAATCATACTTAGTTTTGAAAAAAAGTCTCATCAGACTAAATACATGTTCTATTTTGTTTAATAACATTATAGACATTATAAGTGAACTTTTTTCTCTCCTTCCTTCCTCCCTCCCTCCCTTCTCCGATCCTGCCTCTCTTCCTTCCTATTAAAATGCTTATTGAGCATCTGCTTTGGTTGGGATTTAGGAAAATCAATATAAATAACATATGGTTGGTATCAAGGAGCTCACAGTCTAGCACAAGAAGCAGATGAATGGGCAGATAATTACACCTCATATTATGATGAGGTTTAGGCTAGAGAAGTGCCAAGATAGGCATGATGAAACACAGGACAGAAAGCTGTTACTCAGACAAGGAGTCCTTTCTGTCCAGTCCCCTCCCCTCACAGAAAATGTGGCTGTCACTTTCAAGAGGTTGCCTCTTCTGCCCTGAGGTGCATCTGAAATGTGATCACTTCAATCAATTTCCAAATGCATCATATGTAATGGAATCAACCTTCTTTCTTACTATGTTCCAACTTCTCTTTGCAACATCTTCTACGAGTAAAAACTAAGATGTTTTGACAAATCCTTGTGAGGGTAATGAAATTCTTTCTGTTCTCCAGGTCCTTTCCACATTAAATACATAAAGCAAAGTGGTTTAGAAAACTGATCAGGTTTGATGGCGTCATGTACTATTTAGCTAAATATTTGAATAGAAAGCCCGATTCTTTTAAAGGTTTAGAAAGCTAATGAAATAATTTTGAATATTTCTATAAAACTGTCTTCTCTGATAATATTTTGGCTTTTTAAAGTTGTTGGTGATTAGGGACGCCTGGTTTTCACAACAATCCAAAGTGATAAATAGCTATCAAGCCATAATCTGTTAGTGCTGGTCTCAATGACTGTCTCAGAAAAAGAATGTCCCCATTGTAATGTTGCAAGGGGCAAAGTGGACGCATTTCAGAGGGTCTTAGTGTCACATTTACTTCAAAATGTGCTGAATATCATGGTCTCGTGTTATATTACTGTGTAAGGCAGTGCCTGCATCAATACACAAAACCTTATTATGTAGAATAGATAAGCACTACCAACAAATACTAACGCTGACATATGAGCTGTTAAACTGTCTCTCAGCTCAGTCTTCCAGCCATCAAACTCTGCAGTAGACTTTCTAAGGATTTCATGTAGAAAATGTTTTATTAAAATTCTTATTTATTACTTAATTCAGGACAGAGATAGTTTTAATTTGTGAACATTGGAAGAAAAAAATATGTTATTTATGTGTAAATTAGAAATACCCCACCATGCTTTATTGAGTGTTTAAATCGTATCCTGCAGAGAGTCTGCTAATGCTGAATCTTAGTGGAAGATATTTATGCAAGTGCCAGGCCGACATCTGAACTCTCCTTTTGTGAGAGCCAACCATTTCTGAAAAGAAAGAGACTACTGCTTACACAAAGCACTTAGTATATTACCTGGCTTGAATAAACTGTGGGTGAAAGTCTGGGTGCAGTTTTGGTTTGTCAACAATAGTTTCACTAAATAAGGAAAGTCCTCAAGGCAGTTCTTTGATTCAACAGCACACTGGCAGATCATGCCTCAAATCAAATGTAGATAAGGAGAGCTCTGCGGAGGAGCTGTAACTGGCACCACCCAGGGTGAGCGCACCCTCCCCGGCATGTGGAGGAAAAACCTGATGCTGTTTCATACTGAGTAAGGTGCTGTTACCAGAAGAAGAAACAGACAGGATTTGGGGCTTCACCGAGGTCCGTGATTCAATAGAAGACACTTCGTCAGTTACAGGGCTGGGCTTCATTCATCTCCCAGAACACTGTTCTGCAGAAGTGTGGTGGGTAGTAGGCTGAGGCAGGAATTACCTCCCGGGAAAGGCTATCCAGAACGCATGGCCAAGTGGCTGCCCAGGTCTCCAGAGCATTTGCTATTCTTCTTCCTTAACTTACCTCCTTTTCTCTTTTCTCCCCTTCAGTTTGTTGGGAGTAACCATTACTCATCCTTTATGATTCTAATCAGACACCACCTGTGCCAGGAAATATTTCTTGTGACCAGCCTGGCCAACATGGCGAAACCCTGTCTCTACTAAAAAATACAAAAATATTGCCAGGCGCGGTGGTTCAGGCCTGTAATCCCAGAACTTTGGGAGGCTGAGGCGGGTGGATCACTTGAAGTCAGGAGTTCGAGACCATCCTGACCAACATGGTGAAACTCCGTCTCTATTAAAAATACAAAAATTAGCTGGGCGTGGTGCCAGGCGCCTGTAATCCCAGCTACTTGGGAGACTGAGGCAGAAGAATTGCTTGAACCTGGGAGGCGGAGGTTGCAGTGTGCTGAGATTGTGCCATTGCACTCCAGCCTGGTCGACAGAGCAAGACGCGGTCACAAAAAAAAAAAAAAAAAAAAAACCTGGGCGTGATGACACATGCCTGTAATCCCAGCTATTTGGGAGGCTGAGGCAGGAAACCTGCTTGAGCTTGAACCCTGGAGGTTGAGGCTGCAGTGAGTTGAGATTGTGCCACCGTACTCCAGCCTGGGTGACAGATGTGCCAGGATAACTTAGTTGCCCCCATGGTCCCACCACACGCTGTAGCAGTTACCACCTGCAGGGTGGGTGGGCGCCCCTTGAATTCTCTTTATGATGTTATTACTCCAGCAGTGCATGGCGATCGCAGTCACTACTTGAACATTTGTCCAGACAAAAACTTTAAAGAGAAGCGAGAATGTGATAATGAAGGGTGATGGGGAATTGGTCGGGAGGAGAATGATTTGCAAGACAGAATGCAGCCTGCTCTGAAATCACCAGTGTGGATTTCAGCACAAGAGGAAAAAGATGAAGGCAAATGTAGTCACTCCCAGACTGGAAGAGAAGAGGAACAGAGTGAGGACAGGAACAACTCTTCCTCTTGGAAGCAAAAGAGGAGTTATGACAAAATAAATCTCAACAGGGAGAAGGCTGGAGTGCCTGAAATATGTGTGCATGTGTACATATGTGTGGATACATGTGTATATAGACAGCATATACATGACACTGAAAGTGTAAACAATTGTGCCAGCCATTCTTGGCATGTTTCCCTTTGCTTTCGAGAGGAATTTTCTGGGTATGCCATGACTGGCGTTAATTCAAATGAGATAATCCCAGCAGAAATACTTACCACGTCACTCCAAAACCCAGATAACATTCCAAGTTTTAAGGTAATTATTTCTGTCCTTCTCTCAGAGGTGATTAGGCCACACTACTACTTCCCAACCTTATCAAAAAAGAGATCCACGAGAAGTCTGTTACTCATGATACTGGCACTGTTAATAGATTCAGAAGGATCCTACTCAAGAAGCTATAAGGATGACTAATTTTTGTTCAAATATGATAAACTGGGTCACAGAGTTCTAGCAAGACTGCCTGGTATCTCTAATCGGGGCCAAGCGTGGTGGATCATGCCTGTAATCCCAGCTCTTTGGGAGTCTGAGGTGGGAGGATTGCTTGAGCCCAGGAGTTCTAGACCAGCCTGTGCAACATAGTGAGACACTGCCTCTATTAAAAAAATAAAAAGAATAAAAAATAAAATCTTCTAAATCTAATATTAGGGAAACCAACGTAAAGATAGCTATGTAAGAATGTGGCTCCTGATTAAAAAGAACATTACCTAGTCAAATTACTTGTGAGTTATTACTGTCACAATTTTCCCTATCATAGGTCAGAAGTCAGGAAACTTACTCTAGAAAGGGCCAGACAGTAAATATTTTCAGCTTTGCACACCGCACTGTCTCTGTCACCATGACTTAACTGTGCCATTGTCGTGTGAAAGCAGCCACAGGTAATACACAAACAAATTTGTATGGCTGTGTTTCAATAAAATTGTGGGAGTATAAGAAAGGGTTTCTAGCTCTTTGGGGTTTTTTAGTATCCTGTCTGCATTTTAGGCTGCAATAACATATACAGGGTAAAGGATTTTGATCTAGGTAGGATCAGGATTTGAATGCTTGCTCTGCCCCTAATTAGCTTTGTGACACTGGGTGATGTCATTTAACTTTCTATGCCTTGATTTCCTTATCAATAATATAGGTTAACACTGGTAGTTATGTCATTGGGTTGTTGTGGGAATTAAATACAATAGGTGTCAAGCACAGAGCATGGTAACTGCTTAATAATGTCATCTGTGGGCAGGCACGTTCGCTGACACTCATAATCCCAGCATTGTGGGAGGCTAAGGAGGGAGAATTGCTAGAGGCCAGGAGTTCCAGATCAGCCTAGGCAGGATAGCAAGACCCCCATATCTACAAAAAGTAAAAAAATTAGCCAGGCTTGGTTGCATGCGACTGTGGCCCCAGCTACTCAGGAGGCTCAGGTGGGAGGACTGCTTGAGCCCAGGAGTTTGAGGCTGTGGTGAGCTATGATTGCAGCACTGCACTGTAGCCTGAGTAACAGAACAAACCCTATAAAAATAATTAAATAGCCGGGTACAGTGGCTCATGTCTGTAATCCCAGCATTTTGGGAGGCCGAGGCGAGCGAATCACTTGAAGCCAGGAGTTCGAGACCAACCTGGGCAACATGGTGAAACCGTGTCTCTACTAAAAATACAAAAATTAGCTGGGTGTCGTGGTACGTACCTGTAATTCCAGCTGCTTGAGAGGCTGAGGCATGAGAATTGCTTGAACCCAGGAGGAAGAGCTTGCACGGAGCCTAGATCGCACCACTGTACTCCAGCCTGGGCGACAGAGCAAGATTCCGTCTCAAAAAAAAAAAAAAAAAATAAAATAAAATAAATAAATGTTATCTGTGACATGCATTTACAATGTCCTCAAAAATGCCACATTCATCACCAAGAAAGCCAAGCACTGCCTCACCTGCCTGTGAACTCAGCAATTTTAAATTCTACAGAGTGATTCCCAACCATTATAAATGTTGGCTGCCTATAAGTTCTATACACGGACTAGCTCCTTCAGGGGCTCACCTAATGATTACTTTTAAGGTTAAAAATTAAGGTAACCAGGCCGGGCAAGGTGGCTCACGCTTATAATCCCAGTACTTTGGGAGGCCAAGGCGGGTGGATCATTTGAGGTCAGGAGTGTGAGACCAGCCTGGCCAACATGCTGAAACCCCATGTCTACTAAAAATACAAAAATTAGCCGGCTGTGGTGGCAGGCACCTGTAATCCCAGCTACTTGGGAGGCTGAGGCAGGAGAATTGCTTGAACCCGGGAGGTAGAGGTTGCAGTGAGCCAAGATCGTGCCACTGTATTCCAGCCTGGGCAATAGAGTGAGACTCCAACTCAAAAAAAAAAAAAAAAAAAAAAATTATCATAAATGCCTTTAAGCAGTCCTGCATAGCAAAAAGACATGAGACCTTTTTACATTTTTAAAATTAATGTAATGGTGTCATTTAATTGCACTTGCTCACAATTTCGTGTTCTCTTCCAGGGAACAAGGCTCTTTTGTCTTTGATTTTCCAATCAAACCAGAACATTTGCATTCTGGTTTGCCTCTTCTCCAAAGAATCACAACTCCTCGCCAGCAAGGGAGAAAAACTGGGCAGAGAATGAATTTAATGAGTTGACAGAAGTAGGCTTCAGAAAGTGGGTAATAACAAACTACTTCGAGCTAAAGGAGCATGTTCTAACCCAATGCAAGGAAGCTAAGAACCTTGACAAAAGGTTAGAGAAATTGCTAACTAGAATAACCAGTTTAGAGAAGAACATAAATGACCTGATGGAGCTGAAAAACACAGCACGAGAGAGAGCTGGTGAGGCATACCCATGTATCAATAGCCAAATCGATCAAGCAGAAGAAAGGATATCAAAGATTGAAGATCAACGTAATGGAATAAAGCATGAATACAAGATTAGAGAAAAAAGAATGAAAAGGAATGAACAAAGCCTCCAAGAAATATGGGACTCTGTGAAAAGACCAAACCTACGTTTGATTGGTGTACCTGAAAGTGACGGGGAGAATGGAACCAAGTTGGAAAACACTCTTCAGGATATTATCCAGGAGAACTTCCCCAACGTAGCAAGACAGGCCAGCATTCAAATTCAGGAAATACAGAGAACACCACAAAGATACTCCTCGAGAAGAGCAACCCCAATACAGCAAGCGCTTAGTAAACGTCTTCTGAAGGAATACTCGTAACCGGATAGAATGGAGACGAGGAACCAATTTAAAATAAAAGTACCTGCCTGTGATTCCCAGCGTGTTTCCCAAGGCCATGGTTTCCCATTCTATATCCAGACCCTTCCAGGGACAGGACTATTCTCAGAGCAAAGAGTCATTTTCTCTAGCTTCTTTGCAGTGATGAATAAAAGCCACTGTGGAACTCATTCTATTCTCTCAGTAGTGAAGAAATGTCACTAGAAATGTAAGACATGTAACTGGCTAGATTTTTCTATAAACCCGACTAAAATTTTCTCTCATGCCCCTATTCAGTGGAAGAGATTTAAACCCAGCCAATTCCAGTTTTCTTCTTTCTTGCTTGCTCTGTCATTGTGTCTATAGCATTGTGGGAGCTGGGGTTCATCTAGTCCCTGGCTATTACATCTCCAAGCCACATCCCTGAGAGACGCATCATCTGGCCTGGCCCTGGTCACCAGGTGCACAGTCCATGTGTGCTGTGCTCCATTGCCATCTGGGCAATTCTCTCTGATGCATTGCCCTTTCTGCTCTGTCCCTCCTCCCCCCAGGCACCCAGAATCGACTCTGTCCTCTATGTTCCACCATCTTCCCTTCCATGGAGCATTAGGCATGGCTGTCTTAGGTGATTTAGAACATCCTAAATATGCAAACGAAACTCGTTAATATTCCAAAATTATTCTGCTGCATAGATTATTCAAATTTAGATCAACTGGCCTGGCGCTGTGGCCCATGCCTGTAATCCCAGCACTTTGGGAGGCTGAGGTGGGTGGATCACTTGAGGTCAGGAGTTCAAGACCAGCCTGGGCAACATGGCAAAACCCCTTCTCTACCAAAAATACAAAAATCAGCTGGTTATGGTGGTGCATGCCTGGAATCTCAGATACTCAGGAGGCTGAGGCAGGAGAATAGCTTGAATCCAGGAGGCAGAAGTTGCAGTAAACTGAGATCACGCCACCACATTCCAGCCTGGGTGACGGAGCGAAACTCCATCTCAAAAAATACACATAATTAGTTAATTAAGATTAACTGGACAAGGGGAATGTACACCTGTGTACAAGCAGCCTATGCGACTGCCAGACACCATTTTGGGCCAAAGGGTAAAAGACATTGGGAAATAGATTGGGCTTGCCATATAAAACAAACAAACAAATAACCAAAACAAAAGAACTTGAAGCAATTAAAGCTATCCAAAAATAAAAGTCGCTGCCTCTTTAGCTAGTGGTTTACTGGGCAGAAAATATTCAGCTGCAGTTCAATGCTTGCTTAGGCAGATGTTAGAGAAGAAACTTATGGGTAAGGGTTGGAATAAATTGTCTTTAATACTTTCTAAAATATAGAAGTTCTGCGATTTCTTAGGAAGGGTGTGTGTGTATACAGAGGGAAAGAGAAAGATGAATTGGCTCACACAAACATGGAGGCTTAGTAAACTCAAAATCTTCAGAGGAGGCTAGCAGGCTGGAGACGCAGGGAAGAATTGCTGCTGAAGTTCAAAGGCAGAACTCCCATCTTGACTTGGGAGAGGTCAGTCTCTTATTCCATTCTGGCCTTTAACTGACTGGATGAGCCCTACCCACATTACAGAGGGTAATCTGCTATATTCAAAGTCCAACAATTTAAATGTTGATCTAGGCCAGGCGCGGTGGCTTACGCCTGTAATCCCAGCACTTTGCGAGCCCAAGGTGGGTGGATCCCTTGAGGTCAGGAGTTTGAGACCAGCCTGGCCAACGTGATGAAACCCCACCTCTACTAAAAATACAAAAAATTAGCTGAGCATGGTGGCGGGCGCCTGTAGTCCCAGCTACTTGGGAGGCTGAGGCAGGAGAATGGCGTGAACCCAGGAGGCGAAGCTTGCAGTGAGCTGAGATCTTGCCACTGCACTCCAGCCTGGGTGACAGAGCAAGTCGCCATCTCAAAAAAAAAAAAAAAAAAAAAAATCAGCCAGGTGTGCTGGCGAGCACCTATAATCCCAGCTACTTGGGAGGCTGAGGCAGGAGAATTGCTTGAACCTGGGAGGCGGAGGTTGCAGTGAGCAGAGATCACACCACTTTACTTCAGCCTGGGCGACAGAAGGAGACTCTGTCTCAAAAAGAAAAAAAAAATGTTGATCTTATCCAAAAAAACACTTCACAGAAGAAACATCCAGGATGACGTTTGACCAGATATCCAGGTGCCCCACAGTCCAGCCAAACTGACGCATAAAATTAACCATCACTCTGTGGTTCGCCACCATAACTCATTCCAGTTCCTACTTAGTTTTCCATGTCCTATCCACCCAGTAACGTTCAATAAGTCTGATCAAGAAAACAGCTTTTGAGATTCTGAGATAAAAGGTGCTGTATCATTACCCAGGCTTTCTGCTTCCTTCTTCTCCACTCTCCCCGCTCCCATTTTCTTTCCTTCTTTTTTTCCCTCCACCTCCCCTTTTGCTGGGCAGAGAAAGAGGTTAGAGAAGGAAAGATAAGTTTCAACAGCAATAGGTTTGCAGCAGTGATATGGTAGCATGTTGCAACACTATTATGCCTGAGGCAAGTGTATCTAAAAGACAAGCTTTCTTAGATGCATGTTAACTATATAATAAATCAGCACTTCTGGATCTTAGAACTTTGATGTCTTTATAGAGATTTCTCTTCTCCCTTCTCAGGTAGGTAATTTTAAAAGTGAAGCCAAGTCTGATGTATTAAAGTTTGGCTCCCAATTTCCTATAGGTAAAGTTTAAAAACCTTTTACATATGATTACTTACATCATTGCTTTATTGCAAAAGGGACTACTAGATCTCAGGCAATCATCCTGTTCTCTTCTGAGCCCTTCAGCTAAGAGTAGCTTTGCCAGTTAAGATGTGGACAAGAACCAGGGTTCTCGTCTCCACATGGAAAGTTACAGGCCTGGAATGACAAGTGCAGAAAGAGGGATACCTTTTGGAACACCTAGGACAAGGCTGCCCTCATAATGATTATATTTTAGAATGAATGCATTAGCTGAAAGGGCAGAAGAAAATTCTTTAATTTCAAATCAAACTAAAAGTGCAATTGCTAACTGTTAAATGAGTAAGTTTTGATATGTTGCTTGATAAAACAAGGTTGATTTAATTTAACAAAAAAAAAACTTTCAAAATAAATTTTTGTTTTAAATCGCCAAACCCCATAAACAACTCATCTGTCCACCAATTGGCAAATGGATAAACAAATTTGGTTCATCCGCATAAAGAAAATACCATGTAACAATGAAAAGGAGCTAGGCGCGGTGGCTCACGCCTGTAATCCCAGTACTTTGGGAGGCCGAGGCAGGTGGATCACCCGAGGTCAGGAGTTCAAGACCATCCTGGCCAACTCGGTGAACGCTGTCTCTACTAAAAATGCAAAAATTAGCAGGACATGGTGGCGGGCGCCTGTAATCCCAACTAATGAGGAGGCTGAGGCAGGAGAATCACTTGAACCTGGGAGGCGGAGGTTGCAGTGAGCCGAGATCGTACCATTGCACTCCA
This sequence comes from Homo sapiens, assembly GCF_000001405.40. Classification (NCBI taxonomy): domain Eukaryota; kingdom Metazoa; phylum Chordata; class Mammalia; order Primates; family Hominidae; genus Homo; species Homo sapiens. The sequence continues at coordinate 4,936,739 of NW_018654717.1, forward strand.
GCCTGGGTGACAAGAGCAAAACTCTTTCTCAAAAAAATTAAAATTAAGACAATAAAAAGAAACAAATCACGACTACTTGTAACAATTGGATAAATTTCAAAAGCATTATGCTAGGTGAAAGAAGCCAGACTTAAAACACTACCTACTATACAACTCTACTTATATAACTTTTTGGAAAAAGTAAAACTATAGGAACAGAAATCAGACCAGCAATTGCTAGGGAACTGTGATGGCAGGATGGGGTAGCCTATAAGGTGTATGAGAGATTTTGTAGGGGTTATGAGAATATTCTGTATGTTGATTGTGGTGGTGGTTACATGACTGCTTAAGTTTGTCAAAATTTATAAAATAGTAACATCTAAAAGGGTATATTTACTGATTATGAATTATGCCTCAATAAAGGTGAGCTCTGAAAACATGATGTAGGATGATGCAAATGTCCGCAAAGAGAGACAATGATTTCTAGCAAATGGTTTCAGCAGGGAAAAGATGGCAATTATGAATTACCAACCCCTCATGCTCTCCTGGAGCTCAATTCAACAAGGAAGGGCACTGAGCAACTGGTTGGAGAAGTAGGAGGAAGGGAAGTGACAGAGCACAACCCTGTTCTCTGTGCAATTCTAGACACTTCTGCTGAGATTTGCTTGTGCTTCAGTTTCTTCATCAAATACTTACCCTATCTTGTTTTTTTTTTTTTTGGAGATGGAGTCTCACTCTGTCACCCAGGCTGGAGTACAATGCTGTGATCTCCGCTCACTGGAACCTCTGCCTCCCGGGTTCAAGCGATTCTCCTGCCTCAGCCTCCCTAGTAGCTGGGACTGCAGGCATGCTCCAGCACACCTGGCTAACTTTTGTATTTTTAGTAGAGACATGGTTTTGCCATGTTGGCCAGCCTGGTCTCGAACCCCTGAGCTTAAGTGATCCACCCGCCTCAGCCTCCAAAAGTGCTGGGATTACAGGCGTGAGCCACCATGCCTGGCCTCACTTGCCCTATATGAAGATTGAAAACATACACAACAATTTAAAGCTTCTTGGTGCATGAAGGTGTTGGACAGGTGATTCCCCCAGAAGAGAAGCCATGTTCTGTCTGGAACTTTCTTCATGGGTGTATTAAGTGGAGTTAGTTGTGTTTCCTTCTTTCTGTTTCTGGGCGGTGCCTTTTGGTGGTACATAAGAAAAAAGAAAAAATATATAAATATATAAAAAAATATATATATATATTTTAAAGGAGTCTTCTATTTGCCTTGAAGAGCTAACCAAAAAGGGGGGAGGGTGCCAGCATAAGTCAGCAAAGGAGTTTTAGGGCAGTGACGTGCCACTAAAAGTGCCAGCCAGTGTTTCATTTGGACTCAAAGCCAGCGAGAGGTAGCAGAAACAGCATGATTGAATCCTAATTGTCAGCAGAAGGGGAGGAGTAGTGAAATAGAAGCCCTGACGGTGAGAAAAGAAAGTTAAAAGAAAAAGACGGCCAGGAACTGTGGCTCACGCCTGTAATCCCAGCACTTTGGAAGGCCGAGGCAGGCAGATCATTTGAGGTCAGGAGTTCGAGAACAGCCTGGCCAACATAGTGAAACCCCGTCTCTACTAAAAATCCAAAAATTAGCCAGGCATGGTGGTGCACGCCTGTAATCGCAGCTACTCGGGAGGATGAGGCAGGAGAATTGCTTGAGCCAGGCAGGCGGAGGTTGCAGTGAGCAGAGATCATGGCACCGCACTCCAGCCTGGGCGACAGAGCAGACTCTATCAGAAAAAAAAAAGAGAGAGAGAAGAGAATGTAGGTCTTAATAGATTCAAATAGGCATCTCAAATTGCATCCACCAGTGACTTGAACTACTGAGCTACCTCCAAAGTATACTGTGTCATTTAAACATCTCGTTTCCTAGTGCCATATGCCCTAATTTGCTAGGGCCTTAAATCCGTTTTCTTCTCTGCAACATACAGTCATTAATGCATACTCTGCATTCTCCCCACAGGGGAATGTGGGAAAGCCATTTGTGCAGCCCTGACATACTGCTGACTTGCACTGGAATTGCAAGTCAGATGTTACCTCAAGATCCTCTGAAAAATACACGGCATCATTACTGCTAGCTTGCTTATCAGCTCAGTCTTGCATTGTGAATAAGCTGCAGATCTCTGGCTTTTGCAAGCTGTGTGCTTTTTCTCTTCCCTCACCTGAGACCACTCATTGTGCACACCTGTGTTAATCGGACAACGAGCATTTGAGCCCTGTGCTAGATGCTGCAAGAGATAGGGAAAGATTATCAGAGCTACCTATAGAGAATAACCCCAGGCAAAGAAATCAGTTGGAGCCAAGGAGAGTTCCACTGTTATCAGTAAGTCTAGCTTCCCAGGAATAGTTTGCTTGTCCTGCCTCTCCTCTCCTGGGATGCTTCCCCATAACTTGACTCTTCAGGAGTATCTTTTGAGCCCACCAGTAACCTTCGGTGTAGGGAGATAAAAAAGAATATATACTCTTCATAATAGCTAAAACTTACTTCCTATGTTCATATGGTGCTAGGTGCTTTCCATGTACTATTTTATTTACTATTAAAAACAGTCCTGGCCTGGTGCAGTGGTTCACTCCTGTAATCCTAGCATTTTGGGAGGCTGAGGTGGGTGGATCACCTGAGGTCAGGAGTTTGAGACCAGCGTGGCCAACATGGCAAAACTCCGTCTCTACTAATCATATAAAAATTAGCCGGGCATGGTGGCACACGCCTGTAGTCCCCGCTACTTGGTAGGCTGAGGCAGGAGAATCACTTGAACCTGGGAGGCAGTGGTTGCAGTGAGCCGAAATTGCATCACTGCACTCCAGCCTGGACAGTGGAGCGAGACTCTGTCTCAAAATATAAAAAAATAAAAAATAAAAACAGTCCTATAAGGAAGGTGCTATTAGCACTTCCATTTTCCCAGTAAGAACACAGAGACCTAGAGAAGTGAACGTATTTGTTGAAGGGCATTCAGCTACTTAGAGGGCAGAGCTGATATTTAGCCTGTGCATTGACAAGACTAGAGTTCTTATCCATTCAGCAAAGACTACTCCATCCTTGTAAAGTAAAGCCGTTTTTTTTTTTGTTTTTTTTTGTTTTTCTGAAGTCATGGACATCTCTAAACATGGCCTTTTATCTTTCAAAATATGAAGGATTTATGATTAGGGACTATAAGATCCTGTGCAAAAGGGATATAGCATCAGTTTGGCCTAGATTCAAATCCTGGCTCAACAACTTAATGGTTGTGTAAACACAAGTGAGTTGCTTGTTCTTCCAGCTCTATCAACTGTAAAATTAGAATAACAATGCTTATCTCGTAGAATCATTTAAGAGTTCGATTGTGGTAGTATGTGTGAAATTAACTCAACAAATGATACTTTTTCTGCCAAGAATAATACCATTCCCTAAAAGTCAAATTATTTTCTACTCCCAGCCATTGTACATAAACATGCCTGGACATGTGTAAAGCAACGTGTGTTTTTCAAACTTTTAAAGGTTGCAGAATGCCTAAAACCCTGGTGTGTGTATTGAGTTGTGCATTGGACGTGAAGGAAGGAACAAAATTGGTATTGTATTGTCTTCTGCATGACTGCCATCTTTTCAAAAAGACTACCTAGAATGAAGACATCAAGACTGATTTGGGGCAAGACTCTCCCTTTCCCATACACAGACCTGCAAATCCTGCCTTTGTATAAAATCTTGATTCATTTGAAGCTGGAATTCTATTTGTTTACAGCTGTATATCTCATGAAAGACATCAATGAATTGGAAATCATCACAGGTTTAAAGAAACTTGGAGTCAGATTAATTTGCCTATGTCATTAGGGAGCATTTAAGTTTTAGTTACATGCAATGTAGGAATCTCTTCCATTATATCTCAATTAATTATCTGAACTCAAATATTTATTTATTAGTAGAGTTGGGAGCTCACTCGCTGTGTTCCTTCAATAGTAAGGAACAGTTCCTTCAATTTTTAAACACATTGAGCCTTTCTGTAACCTACCCTTACTAGTTCTAGCTTTTGTGTAAACTAAGTCTCACTTCCGCATGTGTAGATGAAAATGCAAGGTCCATCTCTATCTCCAGCCATCTTTTCTGGGTGAAACAGCTTCCAGTTCCTTACTGCTTCCTATCAACAGCGTCCAGTCTCCTGGCTATATCCATTACCTCATCCCTCAGCTCGACACCCGACATTATAAGGAGGCTAAGATTGTATTCACTTATTTTAGGAACCCATCACCTTGTTGTTGGCTTACCACTGAGCCTGTAATGATAGAAACTGCATCAGGAAAAAAATGAGGTCCACTGACTCAGAAAAGTGGTGATGAGAGCCTGGTGTGTGTGGTGAATTTGATTAGGACAGAGGACCCAGACTGTATTGACACCCTGAAGGTCAGGAATGCTGTCAGTGGGAGGATGAACCTGTGAGACTCATACAGTCTACAAAATCCAGAAAGCTAGTGGATCAATTCGCAATGACTAATAACCGGCTGCTTCAGCCAGAAATGGCTCCAATTGATCACAAATATTTATTTTCCCTTCTATCACACAAAGTTAAAATGAAATTCTTGGTCTATGCCTCCATGAAATCTGTCGATGTTCTATATACTGCATCATTTTCACCCACCAACATGATCATCCATTGAACCCCTTTCCTGCAACTTCATATGGAAATAACCAACTTCCATAGTTATCTCAGATGTCCTCGTGTGCACAGACAGCAATACAAGTGATCCGAGTGGGAAATGAACTTGGCAAAGGGACCAAGTTGAACTCAATGTCTGGACAAAGATTGACAGGGAAGCATCAAAGACTGACACATGGCATATAGTGCGGCTCACCTCTACAGGTTAAGAGGCACACAATATGAGGTGTAAATCAGGACTTCTGACCTCTGGGCTCTTATTGTTGAGACAAGAGCAAGAGAGAAACCTGTAAAATGGTTGTGAAAAATAAAAGAAGGTAGAGAAGTAAACATTAAAGAATCAACGTAGGCTGGGCGCGGTGGCTCACGCCTGTAATCCCAGCACTTTGGGAGGCCGAGGCGGGTGGATCACTTGAGGTCAGGAGTTCAAGACCAGCCTGACCAACACGGAGAAACCCCATCTCTACTAAAAATAGAAAATTAGCCAGGTGTGGTGGCACATGCCTATAATCCCTGCTACTCTGGAGGCTGAGGTAGGAGAATGGTTTGAACCCGGGAGGAGGAGGTTGCGGTGAACCTATATTGCACCACTGCACTCCAGCCTGGGCAACAAGAGTGAAACTCCGTCTAAAAAAAAAAAAAAAAAAAAGAATTAATGTAAATGGTAAAAACATTCAGAATGCATTGGACCAAGGAGGAAAGGACACAGGGACAAAGGAGGGGAAGAAATGACCTAAGATGAACTTTGAAGGATGAATAAAATTAAGTGAGATGCTGTGTGTGTGTGTGTGTGTGTGTGTGTGTGTGTGTAAAGAACTCTAAAGGTAGAACTGACTAAAATAGAAAACGTGGAACAAATACCCATCGGTGAGGGTAAATACATTCCATCAATGGTGACGGGTTTAAGGGGGTGTTGTCTAGAATGTACTGAAGCTTAGAGAAGAACAAGAGAGATTTGAGGAAATCCTGCAGAAGCGATTAGAGAATATGAATTGCTTCCCTGGACCCCAAAGGGGAAGCAGGATTACCCCCTGAAGGTTGAAAAACACAGCATTTGGATTAAGTAAAATACACTGATACTTTGCAAAGTAGGTGGAAACCTTATAGAACTTCTTAAGCTATTTATTTTGTTTTTATTACTATGATTCTTTTTCTTTTCTTTTTTTTTTTTTTTTTTTGGTTTTTTTGGTTTTTGTTGTTTTTTTTTTTGTCTCCATCTCCCAGGCTGGAGTGCAGTGGTGCAATCTCGGCTCACTGCAACCCCCACCTCCCGGGTTCAAGCAATTCTTCTGTCTCGGCCTCCCAAGTAGCTGTGACTACAGGCACGCACCACCACGCCCAGCTAATTTTTGTATTTTTAGTACGGACGGGGTTTCTCCACATTGGTAAGGCTGGTCTCAAACTCCTGACCTTAGTTGATCCACCCGCCTCAGCCTCCCAAAGTGCTGGGATTACAGGTGTGAGCCACCGTGCGTGGCCTTTTTTTCTTTTTTATTAGGCTGTAAGTTCTAAAAGCTTCTTAACCTTAAAACACGTGGACTACATATTTATTTTTCCAAAAAGCATAAATATAAACTCATGGTTCATACACACCTGGTCGGTCTCTTAATAAAGAGAAACCAGGAATGTGTCCACACCCTGACTCGTGTCAGCATCACAAAGATTAGCAATACCTTTTTTTTTTTTTTTTTGAGACGAAGTCTCACTCTGTCGCCCAGACTGGAGTGCAGTGGCGTGATCTCCGCTCACTGCAAACTCTGCCTCCCGGGTTCACACCATTCTCCTGCCTCAGCCTCCCGAGTAGCTGGGACTACAGGCGCCCACCACGATGCCCAGCTAATTTTTTGTATTTTTAGTAGAGACAGGGTTTCACTGTGTTAGCCAGGATGGTCTTGATCTCCTGACTTCGTGATCCGCCTGCCTTGGCCTCCCAAAGTGCTGGGATTACAGGCGTGAGCCACCGTGCCTGGCTTAGCAATACCTTTTCTTAAATTACCCGTGGAGTTTACTAACCCCATTGACAAGACCTCATTGAGTCATTCTTGAGTTACGTCTTAAGCTGGAGATTCCATAGAACATAGATTGCATTTCTGAAAAGAAAGTTTTTCTAATGGCCTAGTACCCAAAAAGCGTCACTTGATCCTTCAAAAGTGTCCAGTTTTCTTCGAAGTAATGTGTGTATCAATACAAACTGACCGTATTGTCTCTATTTTTATATATATATATTTTTTGAGATGGAGTCTCACTCTGTCGCCCACTGCAAGCTCCATCTCCTGGGTTCACGCCATTCTCCTGCCTCAGCCTCCGAAGTAGCTGGGACTACAGGCGCCCGCCACCACGCCCGGCTAATTTTTTGTATTTTTAGTAGAGACGGGGTTTCACCGTGTTAGCCAGGATGGTCTGGATCTCCTGACCTGGTGATTCGTCCACCTCGGCCTCCCAAAGTGCTGGGATTACAGGCATGAGCCACCGCGCCTGGCCCCCTTATTGTCTCTCTTGATTGCCTTGTAAATCCATTGTACTTTCTAATCTGTACATTTCTACACTAGTGAGACAGAGTCACGCTCTGTCGCCCAGCCCGGAGTGCAGTGGCACGATCTCAGCTCACTGCAACCTCCGCCTCCCGGGTTCAAGCAATTATCCTGCCTCAGCCTCCCAAGTAGCTGGGATTACAGGTGTGAATCACCATAGCCGGCTGATTTTGTATTTTTAGTAGAGACGGGGTTTTACCATGTTAGCCAGGCTGGTCTCGAACTCCTGACCTCAGGTAATCCAGAAGCTTCCGCCTCCCGAAGTGCTGGGATTACAGGTGTGAGCCACTGTGCCTGGCCTAGAAAAGTCTTAAACAATAGAATTTGGGATAAGTGTTGAAAAGATTGTTTTACTGTAGATTTGGCTAAAAATAAGTGCACTATTAATATGCTGTCCTTTTAGATGGTTTATTCTTGTATGTAGTAGCACATCAGAGTATCTTAATTTTGGTTACTTGCTTTCCATTTCTAAACCACTAACTTTCCCTTTCAACAGCAAGAGCCCAAGGGCTGTTGCAATTTATTACTAATAAAGAGTTTCAATGTGACCCCTGAGTCTATTCCACCAAAAAAGTGGATTCCACTTTTTGAAACTTTTGTTTTATAAAATGAGGGGTTTTATGTTGATGTTGATGTTTGGGCTTTTTGATGTTGATGATACCAACATTTTATGCAGAAAATATTTAAATTCCAATAGAACTGCAAAGCACAATTTTTACCATGATTCCTTTCTTCTGATAGAAAACTGGAGATTAAAAACCCCAGAGCCCTTAATACCTCATTTAACTGGCAACACATTTAAATTCTTTACAAAAGCGTTAACAGAAAACTTGTGTGCGGGTGGTAGAGGCTGGCAGGGAAGCACACGCTGGCATGAAGAACGGTGTCTTTGGTCGCTATGGCTTAGGGATTAAGGAAATGCCAAAAAGGCCTTCAGGAAAAGTATATTTGTTTTGTATGTGGAGCAGCCAGAAGAAGATTTGGCACAAGTCATAAAAGGGCAAGACATTTTCTGGTATCCTGGAGAGCCTAATTTCAGCCAGGTGACTGAACTTGCTGTATGGCCTTGGTGCAAAGTGAACGGTTTCTTTGCTTTGTGCTTTTTCCAAGCTCTTACCTATAGGCTCAAAACAATAACATGGAAATGCATAAGGGAATGGCGCTCAGCAGAGCACCTCCAGCACGGTTGCTTTTGGAGCTGCGAGGATATTAGAGCTAATGACTCAGAACGGTTTTGAACTCTCGGAGGGGTTCATGTTTCCATGGCTTGGCCTGCACTGGGCACAGATAATGAAACATTGGCTGAAATAAGCATTATGATGATAGGGCGGAGAAGTCCCACGTCTCTCCTAGCAATTGCCCTTACAGTGGGATGGTGACAGAATGCTCTACTGGTGGTGGCTCTGACATGGATTTTAATGGTCTAGAAATGATTAAATTGGATATATTCCAGAGGGAAAAGACCATGGAGAAAATTAAGGATTTTTTCTCTTATTTTATCCTTTCTGTTTCTTTCTTTCCTTCCTCTCTTACCTTACCTTTCTTTCTCTCTTTCTCTTCTTTTTTCTTTTCTGCTCTTGAGGAGGTACTATTCCATACTATTATACTTTATTTAGACCTGGAAGGGACCTTAGCAGTAGTTTCCTTTTTTTTTTTTTCTTTTTTCTTTTCTTTTTTTTTTTTGAGACAGAGTTTCACTCTTGTTACCCAGGCTGGAGTGCAGTGGCCCGATCTCGGCTCACCTCAACCTCCGCCTCCCGGGTTCAAGCGATTCTCCTGCCTCAGCCTCCTGAATAGCTGGGATTACAGGCATGAGCCATCACGCCCAGCTAATTTTGTATTTTTAGTAGAGGTGGGGTTTCTCCACATTGGTCAGGCTGGTCTCGAACTCCCAACCTCAGGTGATCCACCAGCCTTGGCCTCCCAAAGTGCTGGGGTTACAGGCGTGAGCCACCGCGCCCGGCCAGCAGTTGTTTTCTTAAAGCTTTCCGTTTTACAGACAGCCGTGTGGTATAGTCAAGAGACCTAGAATAAAAAGGCCTAGATTTTAGTCTAAGTTTCACCACCTACTAGGTGCATATATCTTGGGTAAATACACAGTCTTTGTGAGCCCGTTTTTTTTTTTTTTTTTTTTCTTCATCTGTAAAATAAGAATGCTGGCCAGGGAAAGAATTCAGCCCTCCTGACTCTCAGCCCAGTGCTCCTTGGCCACTTTGCTCCAGTATTCCACTGGCATCTTCCTACTTACCTCCACAATCCTCCAGCCATGTGTCCTCCTTGCAGACCCCTAACCTTCTCCCCGGCACTGTCTGTGTCCCCTCCAAACCCATCCCTGTGATGCCAGAGGATAGCTACTCACATACTAGAAAAAGCACTGGAATTCAGTTCTTCCAAGTTCACAGCCAGCAATATTTTGATCCTCTAGGAGTGTGAAATTAAATGACAGACCAGATACCCTTGCCCATTTTCTGCCTCTTTCCCATGTGTCATACTCCAAGGGGTCAACCCTGATCTTTGGAATCTCAGCTCCAATGTCCATTGATAGGGAAAACTGCCTTGACTCCCTAGAATATAAAGCCCCCTGCTCTATGACCTTATAGTGCACTGGCCTTTCAGAGCACCTGTCACAATGTGTCATCAGAAATGCATGGGTGGCCGGGTGCAGCAACTCACGCCTGTAATCCTAGCACTTTGGGAGGCTGAGGCCAGAGGATCACCTGAGGTCAGGAGATCGAGACCAGCCTGGCCAACATGGTGAAACCCCGTCTCTACTAAAAATACAAAAATTAGCTGGGCGTGGAGGCACACGCCTGTGATTCCAGCTACTTGGGAGGCTGAGGCAGGAGAATGGCTTGAACCTGGGAGGCGGAGGTTGAGGTGAGCCATGATGGCGCCATTACACTCCAGCCTGGGAGACAGAGTGAGACTCCATCTCAAAACAAAACAAAACAAAACAAAACAAAACAAAACAAAAACAAAAAAGAAATGCATGGGGGCATCTGGTTGTGTCCCTACCTCTCGCTATGCTGTCCTATTCAGAAAGTCAGGAAGCATATCTGTTGGGCTTGTTGCCGCATCTTCGGGGCTTTGCTCAGAGCCTGGCACAAGGTGTTTCCTGGATCAAAGGCTGCTGGTGAGCGAAGGAATGGATTTAACTTTCTAATGAATGCCCTAGCACCATCATTTATTGAGAGCATATGATAGGCCAGGTTCTGAATTGGGCACTTTACATAACTTAGCTTATGTAACTTCCAAAACAACCCTCTAAGGAAGGTGTCACTAACTGCATTTTATATAAAAGGAAACTGAAGCTAATGGCAGCACCAAGAAAAATCATCCAGCCAGGTGTTGTGGCTCATGCCTGTAATCCCCACACTTTGGGAGGCCGAGGCTAGCAGATCACTTAAGCCCAGGAGTTCAAGGCCAGCTTCTGCAACATAATGAAATCTCACCTCTTCCAAAAAAAATTTAAAAACTATCCACATGTTGTGTTTCATGCCTGTAGTCCTAGCTCCTTGGGAGGCTGAGGTGGGAGATTCATGGAGCCCAGGAGGTTGGGGTTGCAGTGAACCATGATTGTACCACTGCACTCCAACCTGGGCAACAGAGAAAGATGAGAGAGAGAGAGAGAGAGGAGGGGAGAAGGGGAGAAGGGGGAAAGAGAGAAGGAGAGAAGGGGAGGGAGAGAAAGGAAAGGAAAGAAAGGAAAGAGAGAAAGAAAGGAAGAGAGAGAAAGGGAGAATGGGAGGAGGAGAGAAGGAGAGGATAGAAGGGGAGAAGGGGGAGAAGGAGAGAAGGAGAGAGAAGGAAAGAAAGAAAGAAAGAAAGAAAGAAAGAAAGAAGAAAGAAAGAAAGAAAGAGAAAGAGAGGGAGGGAGGGAAGGAAGGAAGGAAGGAAGGAAAGAAAGAAGGAAGGAGAGCAAGAAAGAAAGAAAGAAGGAAAGAAAGAAAAGAAAGGAAAAGCATCCAACTCAGCTTCCAGAGTTGACAGGAGGTGACAGTGATGACACCCTTGCCTAATTCCTTCCAAGTCCTGCTGAAATCAAATTCAAGTGTTCTCCTTATCTGGTAACTTAGCTATCTCAGTGGGAATTTAATATATATAAATTGATCACACAATTGCTATTTACCAAGGCTCTATTAGCTGTGGGAAATATCAATGAATATAAGACACAGCCATCTGGAATGGATCCGGTCTAAGCTGATTGACCATGGGAGGTACGGGGATTTTTTTTCTTTGCTCCCCCACTTCCACCTCACCCAAACCTAGCTCCTTGGAAACCAAGAACTGTGCCCTTCTGGCTCTCTTAAGATACTGGTGCCCATCTGTCAAGCACAGATTTCGCCGTGTTAGAGCCCCAAAGATGTGCATCTCGTAGCACAATAGCATTGTAATGCCTGTTCTTTAACTGAATTGCAAACAAAGCAACACTCTGCCTTGATATGAAAAGTCACATTTATTTTCATTTTGGACACTAGCTCTGTGGGATCTTGCAAGTGAATGTTGCTGTCATCCCCACTAGGACTTAGTCAGCTGAGCTGGAAGAGATTTTGTGTTTGTTTTATTTACTTATTTAAAAGAAAGGAGATTAGTGAATACATGTCTATTTGAGAGCAAATTCCATTTTGATCAAAACACCAGCTCCATGCCCTGGCGATGAGTCCTCTTTCATGCGTCTTGTGATGCTGACCTAGGGTTGAGAATATTAGATAATGAAAGTCATTTAAAGGAGAATCCCAAGATAAAACTCTACCATTCCCTCATCTCACAAATGCACATTTTTCTTTTCCTTTTATGCTCTTGTGCTACATCTTTTTGGAAGCTGTTTTCTCATTCAAACAACCCCTACTGGGCAAGCCTGTCTGCAAGAGCTGCAGGTGTCCCCGCAGCCCAGCTTACAAAGCCTGCTTGTTAATCAGCCCCATCACATGTCTTTTGACCGCCTTCCTACCCAGCTTTCTCCATATCTCTCTCCCAGCCAACCACTACTACTACTTCTAAAAGAGAAAAAAAACCAACAGCCAGTCAAAAGAGCTATTATCCTAAAGATTCCTTAACAAGGCCTGTGGCTCTCCAGGAAATTAGTCCAAGTTTTGCTCCCCTCCTCCTTCCTCTACATGGCACCCCCTCCTCCCATTCATTGGTGGCTGCAAAACTTGTTGACCCTGCTACATTCTGTGACCACTGGACATGCTACCAAGTGTCTCTCCGGAAGCCTCTCAGCCACCATTATTATATGGTGTGGCCATACGATAATGTATGGCCATTACTGTATGGCTTCCCCATCAGAACCAGTTAGGAATATAAATACACAAGGAGATCATCCTCTGACTAAACAAAGTCCAACAGTGGTGACACTGTGCAGTGCCTTTAGAGAGTTTCAACAGGGGATCTGGAAGACAAATAGGTCACTTTCTTCCAATCTTCTATGTTTGATAACTGACTGTTTGACTCTATTAGTCCTCCCCGCCTCAATTTCCTGAGATGGAAAATGAGAATGTTAATTCTATGCACCGTGACTGGGGGAGAAGTAATTTGCTAATAAGAGCCAGTGTTTGTAGAAGGCTCTGGGGTTGGCATAGGTAGGTCATAACTAATCTATGTCAATCACGTACCGTGGATCTGAAATTGAAGGAAGGCTGCACGTATCCACAGGCCCTAAAGGGGAGGTTTATTTGCTCTGCACTATCACCTCGTCCCACTCCACCCCACGCGGAAATCAGACATCTGTCTCATGACCGAATTAGTGCTCTCAGAAACTCAAAAAGAGGAAGCAAATTATGTCTTTTGGGGGGTTTTACCGTCTGGTGTACTATGCAGAGAAATAAGTTTTCCCAGAGTTACTTGTGTTGTATCAAAATGGGATTTCCTCAATGCTTTTTATTAGCAAAATGCTCTAAGAGTCCAAAGGATTGTCTTAAAATACTTTCATGGCCTGTAATCCCAGCACTTTGGGAGGTGAAGTGGGTGGATCGCCTGAGCTCATGAGTTCGAGACCACCCTGGTCAACATGGTGAAACCCTGTCTCTACTAAAATACACAAAATTAGCTGGGTGTGTGGCATGTGTCTGTAGTTCCAGCTACTCAGGAGGCTGAGGCACAAGAATCGATTGAGCCCCAGAGGCGGAGGTTGCAGTGAGCCGAGATCGCACCACTGCACTCCAGCTTGGGCTACAGAGTGAGACCCTGTCTCAAAAAAAAAAAAAAAAAAATCCTTTTATGGCTATATTTATTATAAGAACCATAAGAAAAAAAAAGGGAAAGAGAGAAGGCCACTCTATTTCAAGGATGAATAGGTCAAAGAAACACCATTTTTCAACAGGTTTATAAAACTATTAAAAATGGCAAATGACACATTCTTTTTAGATAAATAGAAACTTTCCTTTTCCTGCCACTGAACAAGCAGGCCTCAGGAAAACTTGATTTAGAGCATCGGTTTACTTTTGCAAGTAAAACGCCCTAAGAGATGGTCCATGTCATGACATTTTCACAGCTGGATTTTGGCACATTTAGGTCTCAGAGGTAACATCACACAGAAGCCTTCTTGTAGAAGTCAACAAAAACCACCCAGAAGTCAGGACGGACTGAAGTCTACTGACCTAGTAAAACCGAAAATACACAGCTACCTCCGGAAGGACAGAGGGAAAAGCAACATTCAGGGATGGGACTGTTGAGCCACAAGAAATCATGTGACAATTTTTCATCCATGGTTTATCAAGCAGCAATAGGCCTGAACTTTAAACAGTTTACTGACAGAAACATATGTGGCCTCTCTCTCTATAATTATAGTTTAATTATATTAACTACAATTGTGACTAGTTGTAATTATGTGTGTGTGTGCGCATGTGTATATAACATGATAAAATTCATTTTAACCATTTAAGTGCACAGTACATTGGTGCATTCATTAGTACATGCACATTTTCGTGCAACCATCACCTGAATACTTATCATCTTCCCAAACTGCAGTTCTGTACCCACTAAACATGAGCTCCCCACTCACCTCTCCTCCAGCCTCTGGCTACCAACATTCTGTCTCCATACATTTGTCTACTCTAGGTCCTTCCTATACGTGGAATTAAACAGTATGTATCCTTTTGTGACTGACTTATTTCACTTGGCATAATATTCTTAAGGTTCATCCATGTTGTAGCATATTAAGCATGAATAATATACCTTTCCCTCCCTTCCTTCCTTCCTCCCTCCCTCTCTCCCTTCCCTTCTCCTTCCTTCCTTCCCTTCCTCCCCTCCCCTCCCCTCCCCTCTTCTCCCCTCTTCTCCCCTCTTCTCCCCTCCTCCTCCCCCTCCTCTCCCCTCCTCCTCCCCCTCCTCTCCCCTCCTCCTCCCACTCCTCTCCCCTCCTCTCCCCTCCTCTCCCCTCCTCTCCCCTCCTCTCCCCTCCTCCTCTCCCCTCCTCTCCCCTCCTCTCCCCTCCTCCTCTCCCCTCCTCTCCCCTCCTCTCCCCTCCTCCTCTCCCCTCCTCCTCTCCCCTCCTCCTCTCCCCTCCTCCTCTCCCCTCCTCCCCTCTTCTCTTCTCTTCTTTTCTTTTCTTTTCTTTCCACGGTCACCCCTGTTGCCCAGGCTGGAGTACAGTGTTGTGATCATGGCTCACTGCAGCTGGGCTCAAGCGATCCTCCCACCTCAGCCTCCCAAGTAGCTGGGACTATAGGTGAGCACCACCACTCCAGGCTAATTTTTGTATTTTTTTGTAGATACGGGGTTTCGCCATGTTACCCAGGATGGGCGCAAGTGATCTTCCCACCTCAGATTCCCAAGGTGCTGGGATTACAGGCATAAGTCACGGCGCCTTGCCACATTCTCTCTTCATATAAACAGTGTTACTGAAATGTAATTTACATATAAATTTCAACCATTTTGAGTCTACAATACTTTTTAGTAAGTTTGTCAAGTTCAGTAATCATTGTCACAATCCAGTTTTAGGACATTTTTATTCTGCAGCAGGAACCTTTGTGTTCATCTCCAGCCCCATATCCCTTTACCACCCCCAGCCCTAGGAAACCACTACTCTACTTTCTAGATTTGTCTTTTCTGGATATTTCATATAGAAGGAATAATACCATAAGTAGCCTTTTGTGTCTGGCTTCTTTTTCTTTCTTTATTTTTTTTTTTTTCTTTTTTCGAGACGAAGTTTCACGCTTGTTGCCCAGGCTACAGTACAATGGCATGATCTCAGCTCACCATGACCTCCGCCTCCCGGGTTCAAGTGGTTCTCCTGCCTCAGCCTCCCGAGTAGCTGGGATTACAGACATGAGCCACCGCCCCCGGCTAATTTTGTATTTTTAGTGGAGATGGAATTTCTCCATGTTGGTCAGGCTGGTCTCAAACTCCCTACCTCAGGTGATCCTCCCGCCTTGGCCTCCCAAAGTGCTGGGATTACAGGCTTGAGCCACCATGCCTGGCCATGTCTGGCTTCTTTCACTTAGCATAAGGCTTTTGAGGTTTATCCATTCTGTAGCACGGATCAGTATTTCATTATTTTTTATTTCTGAATAGTATTCCATTGTATGGGTACATCACATATTGTTTATTCATTCACTAATTGATGGACATTTGGGTTGCTTCCATTCTTTCGCTATTATAAATCATGCGGCATGAATATTTGTGTGCAAGTCTTTGTGTGGACGTGTTTTCATTTATCTTAGGTAGATACCCAGGAGTGGGGCTGCTGGGTCAGACCACAAATTTATGTTTAATCTTTATGAAACTGTCAAACTGTTTTTCCAAAATGGCTGTACCATGGAGAGGTTTTCTTTGGGGTAACTGAACAGATTCTTCAGATGGATTAGTTTTTCCCTTTGGGACCCTTCCTAATGTGAAATACTTTGCTTTTTTAGACTCTGACCTCAGCTCAGTCAGAAAGCCAAGCAGTGGGAGTCATGAATTAATTCCTTAAATATTTCTCATTTTCATATTCTTAACTCATTGCTGAGTTCATATTAAAACCAAACAACCTTGAAAGCTCAGAAGAATAGTGTTGTGAAGGTGAAGGATCAGGGCCAGGTGCCGTGGCTCATGCCTGTAATCCCAGAACTTTGGGAGACCAAGGTGGGGAGATAACTCAGGTCAGGAGTTCGAGACCAGTCTGGCCAACATGGCGAAACCCCCGTCTCCACTAAAAATAAAATATAAAAATTAGCTGGGAGTGGTGGCAGGAGCCTGTAATCCCAGCTACTCAGGAGGCTGAAGCAGGAGAATCACTTGAACCTGGGAGGCAGAGGTTGCAGTGAGCCAAGATCAAGCCACTGCACTCCAGCCTGGGCGACAGAGTGAGACTCCATCTCAAAAAAAATTAAAATTAAAATTAAAAAAAAAAGGAAGTGAAGGATCAGACCTGGATGATCCCTAATGTTTCCCCCATCCATTAATGCATCTCTAGAAGTGTCTCTAGAAGTGTTTGTGGACCAAGAGTAGTCTCTTGATGGGCTTTGAGCTATGTCTCACTCCACACTATCTGAAAGTAGAGGTGGAGTTTCTAATCATTCATGTGCCCATTCAGCTAAGGAACAAGCCCTTTCTCCTGACCATAGACCCTAACATTTGAGGAGGAGGGAGCTGTAGATGAAAGGATGACCATTCTCCTTGTAGGCCAATCAAAGCTCCCACAGAAAGAATAAAGGGATATCCCACTTTCCTACTGTGGTGAACTGCCTGGCATTCCACCCATAGCAGCCATTAACATGTCTCCTGTATGCCACTTCCTTATGAGCTGATTTTTGGAAAAATATTAACTTTCTAACTAAGAGCATTAGTGTATATCAATCATTGGCATACTTTAATTTTTTTTTTTTTTTTTTTTTTTTTTGAGACGGAGTCTTGCTCTGTCGCCCAGGCTGGAGTGCAGTGGTGCAATCTCGGGTCACTGCAAGCTCTGCCTCCCAGGTTCACGCCGTTCTCCTGCCTCAGCTTGCCAAGCGGCAGGGACTACAGGCGCCTGCTACCACGCCCGGCTAATTTTTTGTATTTTTAGTAGAGACGGGGTTTCGCCGTGTTAGCCAGGATGGTCTCGATCTCCTGACCTTGTGATCTGCCCGCTTTGGCCTTCCAAAGTGCTGGTATTGCAGGCATGAGCCACTGCGCCCGGCCGGCATACTTTAATTTTAGTACCTTCACTCCTTTGCTAGGTTTTTGGTTTTTTGTTTTTTGTTTTTAAACAAGGTCACACTCTATTTTCCAGGCTGGAGCACAGTGGCGCAATCTCAGCTCCCTGCAACCTCCACCTTCTCAGCTCTCTGCAGCCTCCACCTCCCTGGCTCAAGTGATCCTCCCACCTCAGCCTACCAAGTAGCTGGGACCACAGGCAGTGCCACCACGCCTGGCTAATTTTTTTTGTATTTTTGGTAGAGATGGGTTTTCACCATGTTGCCCAGGCTGGTCTCGAACTCCTGGACTCAAGCAATCCACCTGCTTCAGCCTCCCAAAGCACTGAAATTATAGGCACGTACCACTACGCCCAGCCCCCTTTATTAGTTTTTTAGGGCTACCATAACAATGTACCAAAAACTGCGTGGCTTAAAACAAGAGAAATTGTCTTATAGTTCTGGGGACTAGAAGTCCCAAATCAATGTGTCAGCAAGGCCAGGCTCTCTTTGCCGACCCTAGAGGAGAAGCCTTCCTTGCCTCTCCTAGCTTTTGGTGTTTGCTGGCAGTTCTTGGTGCTACTTGGCTTGTACCTGCATCACTCCCCTCACATGGCTGTCTTCATGTCTCTCTACAGATGAACACCAGTCATTGGATTAGGGCCCATCCTAATGACCTCATTTCAACTTGATTACATCTGTAAAGACCCTACGTCTAAGAAGGTCACATTCTGTAGCACTGGGGGTTAGGACTTCAACATTTATTTTCTGGGGGGTTAGGTAGGGGGAACCACGCAACTTAGCCCATAACAGTAACATTTTGAAAAAACGACGTTTGCAAAAACTTAATGTATCTGTCACTGAATGCACACCCACATATAGTTATATATTGATATGGGTTGGCCGTGTTCCCATCCAAATCTCATCTTGAATTGTAGCTCCCATAATTTCCACATGTTGTAGGAGGGACCCAGTGGGAGGTAATTGAATTATGGGGGTGGGTCTTTTTCATGCTCTTCTCATGATAGTGAGTAAGTCTAATGAGATCTGATGGCTTTTTTTTTTTTTTTTTTCAGACAGTCTTGCTCTGTCACCAAGCTGGAATGCAGTGGCACCTTCGCGGCTCACTGCAACCTCTACCTCCCAGGTTCAAGTGATTCTCCTGTCTCAGCCTCCTGAGTAGCTGGGATTACAGGCACCCACCACAATCCAGGCTAATTTTTGTATTTTTAGCAGAGATGGGGTTTCACCATGTTGGCCAGGCTGGTCTCGAACTCCTGACCTCAGGTGATCCACCTGCTTCAGCCTCCCAAAGTGCTGGGATTACAGGCATGAGCCACCGGGCCTGGGCCTGACGGTTTTATAAAGGGGAGTTTCCTACACGAGCTCTCTTTGCCTGCTGCCATGTAAGATGTGACTTCACTCCTCATTTGCCTTCTGCCATGATTGTGAGGCCTCCCCAGCCCCATGCAGAACTGTGAGTCCCTGAAACCTCTCCTTTATAAATCACCCAGTCTCAGGTACGTCTTTATTAGCATGTGAGAACAGACTAATACATATAGAAAAGGGGAAAAAAGTGTTTTTCTTCTTCACCACTGACATCTGTGCTCTGTGGTGCTTGAGCACAAAAGAAAGATCATAACAACCTTGAACCTTTGGCTCTCAGTCCTGTGTGGTTTGATATTCTGACCATCTGTAGTTATTACTTAAATAATATCTTTCAGTTTGGGCAAAAAAAATCTATTCAGTGCTTGGAATATGATACTATAAATTATTTAGAATGTTTTATCTTGCATAGTGCTGCCTAGAATTAATGTCTGAGAAGAATGGGATGTTGGATATGTTTTTCTTAAAAAAGGTGGGACATGAGGATGTGATTCCATAATCAAAGGACAGGGATTAACTGATAAGATATGTGAATTTCCACACCTCAGAGAAGAAAGAGATAGCTTTGGGGTGGCAAATGATAGAGCCGATTATCACTCTGAGAGGAAAGAGAGGAGTGGGGCTGTGTGCGTTTGCTAGACCAAGCTCTAACTGGCTTGCTGAGAATGTTATCTCCTAGCAGGACAGAAGGAAGCTAGAAGGGCTCATCACAGCAAGTTTTTGAAAGATCTTTTTCCTTCCCTCCCTATGCAGTCCTCTCCATGGTGGTTTTGGGACCCAAATTGCCACTAGGGCAGGCTTAGCTTTCAAGCCTGGAGCAGATGCCCAGGACGTCCAGGGCACCAACCTCTCCCATCTGCAATTACCCTCCTCCCCTTATGAAATACTCCCTTTTGTTTTGTTTTGTTTTGCTTTTCTTTTTGGAGTCAGTGTCTCACCCTTGCCCAGGGTGCAGTGCAGAGGCGCAATCATAGCTCACTGCAGCCTCAACATCCCAGGCTCAAACAACTCTCCTGCCTCAGCTTCCTGAATAGCTAGACTACAGGCACACGCTACCTGTATGTGCCTGGCTAATTTTTTAATTTAATAGAGACAGGGTCTCACCGTGTTGACCAGGCTGGTCTTGAACTCCTGAGTTCAAGCAACCCTCCCACCTTGACCTCCCAAAGTCCTGGGATTCCAGACATGAGCCACTGCACCTGGCCAAAATACCCCTTTTTTCTATCAGCATCCGTATCAAGCCTATCTTATCCATTCCATTTGTCCTCCCATCTAATTCCTTTCTTCCATGGGGTCCTTTAGAACCTCCTGCTACTATAAACAAAGTCACTAAGAGCTTAAGCTTGTCTCAGACACTCCCTGGCTCATGCAATTAACTGGAACCTGGAATTTCCGTGATAACATCTCTTGCCTTTTTGTCCTCCACAAGAGATCTCTCTTTAGACTGCTCTGCATTTTAAAAGGTCTGGAAGGGAAGGGGTCATGCTTCTTGTTTTTCTTATGGCCTCTTCTGTATTCCTGGGTCCCCCAATTCTTGGCCTCTTCCTATCACTTTTGCGCCTTCTTCACAATACTCCTGCAACCCCTTCATTTGTTCTGGGGGCTCCAAACACCACTTCTGGCAGGATGACTTCATTCACCAAACGGTGGCTACACACTTCCAACCCAACAGACCACAGACTGAATTCTGTGACTTTCCCGTTTGTAATAATGATACCATCATTCTACCGGTCTCTAGGGGCTAAAACTCTACTGGTCACCTTTGATTCCTTCCTCTCTGTCAGTAATAGCACCTACTCCTGTGTTTCTGCGAGGCTTACATGAGAAAAGCCAGGTACATCACTGATCACACAGGGCGTGATGCTGAGTAAGTGCTCCATAATGTAAGGCTTTATTCGTTAATAGATTATTGCTCACAGTGAATCCACGAAGTAACCAATCCCCATTTCTCCCTCTTCATGTCTCTCAAAACCACACACACCATCCATTCTTTCTGTTTCCCTTGCCATGTTCCTTATCAAAACACATCAACTGCCATCTGGACCAGGGATAGGAACGCTAAGCCAGACTCCTTGTCTCCAATCTCTTCTCCCACTTCCTAATCCATCTGGGATACAAGATCCAGAGAAAGCTAATGAAAAACCACCTTAGTGATGTCATTCTGCTGCTCGGAAATGTCAACACTTTCTTGATGGCTCACCTGGAAACGAAGTTCTTCTCTTCTAGTGCCACACTCCATTTCCAGGCCTGTCTCCAAAAACCATGATCCAGCCAGTCTAGAATGCAAAACCTCTGAAAAGTCTTCCGCCTCTCCCACGTCCATTCATTTGCAGATAACATTGTCTCAGTCTGGAAAGTCCCCATCCTCCACAGATTGAAATCGTTCTCATCTTCTAAAGCTCCCCTCCTCTATAGAGCCACTTTCTGTGTTTCTTCTGTCTGTTTCTCCCTTGAACCCCCACTGCCCCGACTTATCTTCCTCTCATAGAGCTTATTTTTTTTTTTTTTTGCTCTTACTCGTCTTTCTTTTCCCAGTAGGACCTCATGCAGTGCTTATAAGTAGAAGTCACTCAATACATATTCGTTGAGAAAACTGAATATCGTTCTCGCTTTTAGGTGAGATGCATGTCTCTATTATTTGAGATGTATGCTCTGGCTGAGGAGATAATATGTGTGGGATTTCTTTGGCTCAATCTTCATACTATCTGACCCCTCTCCAATACCCCAGCTTGTATTTTTGCAGTATAATTTAATGGCACATCCTTCCTAATCCTGCCATTTTGCCTAATTCCAAACTACCTTACTTTACTCACCCCGAAGCACTCCCAGCCTTGACCTCTTGTCCCAGTTTCCTAAAATATAACTGCTCTTGTACGGAATGGTGCCGCTGGACTAAAACTCTGACGAGGAATTGCTGTTCTTCAAGGTCTGGTCTGTATCAGGGAGCCCACGCCCTGCAGTTAAAAGTGTCATAAAAATGGACTGATAAGTAGCTAGAAGCAGAATGCTGTGTCTACACAAATTACACTGCATTGCAGGGTACAGTTTGGAAGTTCAAGCAAGAATTCTTTATGAAAATGAATGAGCTTACCGTAGCTTGACTGAGGATATCATATACTTAACAGTCACTGGTAGAGCACTGCCTAAGAGTGTGGGTATTTTATGTGCATCCCAGTGACTCCTTTGAAGTGTTTCTTGATTCTTTTCATTAGGCAAGATGAAGTCGTCTCTATGGCCATGTTGCTGGCTTTTAAAAAGATGCACATTATATGTCAGCAACTACAGTATAATGCATTTACTTTGTGTGAGCACAGCAAACCACTTAAGAACACACTTTATTTTGTAGACACACTGAATTTACCCTTCAAGTACTGCCCCATGCCACAGAACTACAAGTCTTGCCACATTATGGCTTTCTCTTATAATTATGCTCTTTAGCCTGTTCATGTATTAAGAATAAATTAGGGGCCGGGCGCGGTGGCTCACACCTGTAATCCTAGCACTTTGGGAGGCCGAGGCAGGCAGATAACTTGAGGTCAGGAGTTCAAGACCAGCCTGGCCCAACATGGTGAAATGCTGTCTCTACTAAAAATAGAAAAATTAGCAGGGCATGGTGGTGGCCGCCTGCAATCCCAGCTACTCAGGAGGCTGAGGCAGGAGAATGGCTTGAACCCGGGGAGTGGAGGCTGCAGTGAGACAAGATCTTGCCACTTCACTCCAGCCTGATTGAAAGATGAAACTCCATCCCAGGAAAAAAAAAAAAAAGAATAAGTTAGGTAAAGAGAAGAAAATAAAGTGCAAAAGTAAGTGCTTCTTTTATGTGTTCAGCACAGCCTTTATTCTGTGAGGTCAATGTCTCTCTTACAGAGGAAAGAAGTGAAACATTTAGCCTGAATCCTGAGAACCAGGAACTTCTCAAACATCTTAGTTTGCCCTCTCCCAGTGTAAATGAATTGCACACTTTCTGAAGTCACTTTTGTATTTCTCCATTGCAGACCACTTTGTACCTACCTGTTTAATCAACATCTTCCCCTCTTGAGTCTTGGTAGGGTCTGGATCTTTCAGCTCTGTTGGATGCTCATGAAGTGTAACCAAAGTTTCCCTTCCTTTTTTTTTTTTTTTTTTTTTTTGAGACAGGGTCTTGCTCTGATACCCAAGCTGGAGTGTAGTGGTGCGATCTCAGCTCACTGCAACCTCCACCTCCCTGGCTCATGTGAGTCTCCTGCCTCAGCCTCCTGAGTAGCCGGGATTACAGGCGCCCACCACCACACTCGACTAATTTTTGTATTTTTAGTAGAGATGAGGTTATACCACATTGCCCAGGCTGTTCTTGAACTCCTGGCCTCAGGTGATCTGCCAGCCTCGGCCTCCCAAAATGCTGGGATTACAGGTGTGAGCCACCGCGCACGGCCAGTATTTGTTCAAATGATTTCTCTCCACTTAGGGGAGAGAGAAAAATAGGGCTGGACTACCTGCACTTGGCAAGGGCAGAGTGGCAGAGTAGACTTGCCTACCAGCGAAGCCAGACAGCCTTTGGTTCCAATCTTAGTACTACCACTTTTCAGCTGAGGAACCCCAGCAAATTGTGAGGCCCCCGAGCCTCAGTTTTCTTATCTGTAGAATGGGGATAATGATGCTCTCCTCATAGGATTGCTTAGCGCTGGGTAGGTCCTTAAGGAATGTCCATTGCACTCCCATCCCTCTACAGCTTCCCCCAGATTCTGTCCTCTTAGGAGGCATGGGTGTCACTGGAACATGAGGAAGAATTCCCTGGATCCTTTTTTCCCTTTCCTCACACAGAAGCCAAACCTCAAATACACATCTTCCCTCTCTGTCCACACCCACAGCAGCAAAGAGGAGAGCCAGGGATCTGGGGGTGGGGGTGGGGGCCCATCTTCCTCCTCTCAGTGGGTGGGGGCTCGCAGGCTGACTGGCAGAGGACCTTCACTGGAGTCAAAATAAACTGCCTTCCTGGGGAGGGGATAGAGGGCGAGAGAAGCCGCAGGTATTGTTTTGTGGGGGAGGGGGGTCCTCTTCCTATTCCATTTCACTGAATTCTTCCCACCCGGCATGGCCCTGGGAGGTGACCATAGCCCTGGCTCCCCGAGTAAACACCCAGGTCAAGCTACAGGACTGACTGGGTCTTAAGCTATTATACTCCCAGTGAAAAGATTTTTTTAGCCCGAGGACTATCTCGAACTCGTTCTATCTCAGTGAATGACTCACTGGAAACGGTGTAAACACAGGTGTATTACTGGCCTGCGGAAGACTTGGATGTCCCAGCATGGTAGAAGGCCAGGTCCCTGCAGTGCAACGCTTGCATTCTACATCCAGAAAACTAAAGTTCAAAGAGGTTAAGCAATTTGCCAGAATCCTGCAGTCCAGGGACTGAGCGGAACCTGGAATCCGCCACCGGGACTTCCAGCCCTGCTCCCTCCGGCGCCACCCTCTTCCCAGAGGTAGGGAGAGCTGAGGCTCGCTGTGCTCACGTGGCTTTCAGAGCCCGCCTCGGACCCTGACCTGTATTCCACTCCCGACCCCACACTTCCTCGTTTCCCCTTCCTTCTCCCTCTCTTCCCAGGGTCCCGCAGGGCCGGCTGGATGAAGTGATGCCGGGCACCTATACACGCATGATGGCAAAAGGAGGATTGCAACGCCAGAGCTCGCCCCTCCAGAGCTGTGCAGGGTCCCCACCGAGGAGGGGGTGCAAACGGGTGCTGGGCTCGGGGGTCAGCCCGCGCCAAGTCTGGGGCTGGGGGCGGAGCCTGCCGGTCCGGGGCGGGAGGGTGGGCAAGAGAGGGAGTCCCGGGGCCTGGAGACTTTGGAGGAGTCGGGGCCCTGGGGGTAGGAGACCGCCGGGTGGGAGCGGCAGGCGCAAGCCGGGCGGCGGGGCGCGCGGGCCAGGCGGGGCCGGGCGGCGGCAGGGACTGCGGAGGTGCGGCGTGAGCTGGGGCGGGCGGCGTCACCGGAGGCGGAGGGGGCGGAGCCGCGCTCGCAGCTGCCACCCGGCCGCCGGGCCCAGGCAGAAGCCACCCGCCCGCGGCCGGGCACGCACCGCGCGCAGACCTTCTGCGAACAATGCTCCGGCCGGGCGGCTGGCGGCTCGGAGACCGACGGAGGGGCCGGGGGAGCGCAGCCCAGAGGTGAGCCCGCGACGCGCTCTCCAAATTCGGCCTCTTTTTGTCTGGCGAGCGTGGTCGCAGAGGGGAGCTTTGGAGGGGCGCTGCGATCGCCGAGCGGGCTACCCCCGGGGTGACAGGCGACCGCTCGGGAAGTGGGCAGTGCCGGGGCCGCGTGAGCCCCGGGTGGTGCCCGAGGTGCAGGGAGGCGCCCGGCCGGGAGGACCGAGGAGCTGGAGGGTGTTTTTGATTCATTCGAGAATCGCGCTCTTTAAAACGGGGAAACTTTCCTACGAGTTCCAGGAGGGAGGACCGACTGTTAGGATGGTTTCTCTGGTCTTGCTGCTCTGTCTGCGGCCGGAGGCTGAAGCGCTTTGAGGACTGCTTTCCACCGCTAGAGTATTGTCAAGGGGGAGAGAAGGAAGGCCGCCTGGCTGCTGGGACCAGGACCCGGGGGGATGGTTTGGGGGTGCAGGGTATGCAGCAGCGGGGCTCCAGAGGCAACGAGATGATGCCCTTTTCCCCGAGCCCTGGCTGAGCCCTCTGAAACGCATGCTGTGAGCACGTTATTAACCTTTGCTGGTATCCGGGGACACACACACTTAGAACATAGAATCCTCTGCTGGGCATGGAGGCGGCCGGGCATTCGCAGCGGAGAGCGCCAGCTCACGGTGTGTGCGTTTCTCTCAGGTAAGCTCTCCCTGCACATGGTTTTGCAGAGCCGATAGCAAAGCCCAATGGTCTAGGGGCGAGGAGTTTTGGCGATGCATTCAGTGCGGAGTCAGGCTCAGAAGACTTTCCTGATCACTGGCCTGAACTATTCTTAACAACTCCTCTCCCCTTCCCTTTCTGAGAAGAAAATTTGACAGAAAGCCCTAGGGAATTCCGCAGTTATTTTTCTCTCCTGAGGTCTGGTTGGTTTCGACTGTAGTGGGTGCAAAACCACATTCCTCCCTCTGAGATTTTCTTTCCTCCAGCACTGGAGGAAGAAAAAAGAAAAGGAAAAGTTGGGTGAATATCGTAATTTACCCTCTGCGTGAGTAGGGAGGCAGGGGGCTAGTGGGTGGTAAAGTTGTCACTTTCTCCTTTCTGCCTGGTCAGCCCTGGCCAGTGGAGTGTGCTGAAGTTCAGACACTTTCCACACATATTTCTTTCCTTTTACTGGCGTTGCATTAATTTAACTGTAACATACAGAAAAAAATTTTAGGTGAATGTTTTCTGCAATTCTGTCACTTCAGAATAAGGCATAAGCAACTTCTGATGTAAGTCTGAGGGGGTATTTTGGGCCAAAATATTTAATCTTAAAGATCTGGCCACCTTGATTCTTCAGATTCTTTTTTGAAATGGGGTGGGAGTGTATCTGACAGCTTCAGTCTTGCAAACTGTAGCCACAAATCTAGTGCAGAAGTTTGCAGAGGCAAAGACATTTTTTTCATGACTTGGATCAGAAAGAATGCTGAGCTCTTTTTTCTAATCTGACACTGCAGCCTCCTACTGAAATGGGGAGGATTTGCATAATTCTGGGGGCTGCCTCCCCTCAGAAGTAAGGAATGTGGGCTGCGAAGTGCCTTCCCCATGCTGTGGAGAGCTGGCACTGCTGCACCAGGCAAGGCGAGGCAAGGCTTTGTGGGTGCCACTTGTGTTTCTCACCATCTTTTACTTAAAACAAATAGGAGATAATTCCAGGCACAGAAGTGCAACGGGAAAAGAGGTTTTTTTTTTTTTTTTTTTTTTTTGGCTGCATGCGGTGGTAAATTCTGTTTGCTGCGACTGAGAAACCAGTTTTAACAGGATGCAGTGAGTCAATGACAGTGGGAAGCCCAGGGCTTCATTTGTTCTTTTCTTATTCAATGACTTCCCTTTAAAAATCTTTGCGTCCATCCGTCCCTGGCAGTCGTGTGATGAAAGTTGCCTCTCTAAACATCCAAGGATTTCTGAGCTGAGAATGGGAGCAAAGAGTGCTCGTAAACTGATGAGACATTCTCAAGGAAACTTCCCCCACGCTAGCAATCCAGATCCTTCCACACTCCCTTTGCACAGGGCTGTGCAAAGGTTGGGGAATCTTAGAAAGTAGGGCCTCTGGTACCAATGTCACCCCTTCCGCAAAAACAAGTTTGTGTTCTTACTTGCCTGTTGAGGAGGCAATAAGTCGCCAAGCAGAACTGCTGCTTTGTGAATCTGTGATAGACCCTGAGGAAGTGGTTGGGCACCCACCTCCTCAGATAGCCCAGTGTCAGGAGGAGCTGTGGGAACTTGCAGAGCCCACACAGAGCTGGTTTCCAAACTGTCTTCCTCCATCCCGCGGAGCAGGCATGGGAGCATCTGCCTGCAGTGGAGGTGGGCTGGACAGTGTCCTTTCTGTGGCCTAGAAGGTGTAGACAGTCTTCACCCATCAGCGTCCCAGGAAGGGACCTACTGCCTATTCCTGAAGGCTGGAATACTTCCTCTGCTTTTTCCCCCTCCCAAAACTTAGCAGCAAGGCTACAGTTCTCTGTGGCCTGAGATTATAAGAGAAAGACAAAACCTGGCTATTTCCTCCGCTTGTTGAAGCCCAGTGACCTCTTCTGGAGAACTTGGCAAAGAAGGAACCTGCTACTTGGGTGTATTTGGAGGAGGAGAAGAACCTAGCTAACAGTCTTCTTAAAGAAAAGGACCTGTGAGACCCTAACAATAACTGCTAAAAGATACTTTTCTTTTATTTCAGAGGATTTATTTAGCTTAAAGATGCAGTGGGCTTTATTCTTAACTTTTTTTTTGTTTTTTTAGACAGGGTCTCACTCTAGTCACCCAGGCTGGAGTGCAGTGGTGTGATCATGGCTCACTGCAGCCTTGACCTCCTGGGCTCAGGCAGTCCTCCTACCTCAGCCTCCCAAGTAGCTGGGACCACAGGCATGCATGGCTACACCTGGATAGTTTTTTTAAATAATTATTATCTTTGTAAAGACAGAGTGTCTCTGTGTTACCCAGGCTGGTCTCAAACTCCTGGGCTCAAGCGATCGTCCTGCCTCGGCCTCCCAAAGTGCTGGGATTACAGGCGTGAGCCACCGCGCCTGGCCTCAACCCATTTTTCACTTTGGAGGGAAAAGAGGCACACGTAGCTTCAGCACTTGTTGAATGAACACCCCTGTCTATGAGTGTGGAGATAAAAGAGAGCACTTCCCACAAACACTCTGGAATGATTTTTGGGGTACCCGGCTCATTCCACCTGGTTAGTCCTGTTGACAGTTTAGAGATTATCAAACTTAAGGCAGATCCTTATGGGAGGAAAGTGGAGAGAAAACCCTAAGGCAAAATGGTCCCTATTTAATGAGAACCTATTCACCCTTATGTTCTTAAGGAAGATTTTGCTCTTGAACATTCTCCTTATGGGAAGTCAGTTTATTTTAAATAGGCTAAGAAGAGCCAGGAGCAATGCGCAAATCACCACTGCAGGGAGGAGCCGCCTGCAAAGTTGGCTTCTGTTTCTAGAATGGGCAAACTCTCCCGTGTCTATGGGCTGGTCCAAGTTCTTGTGTTTGCCATAGTTTCCCCACCTGTAAAATTGGGACAACAGCTACCTGATGGAATGATTTCAAGGTAATTGGTTAATGGCTGCAACTCTTTGAGCTCCTTCTCAGTGGTGAATTTACAAGGGACCATGGTGCAAACTGTTACTTGCAGTTTTACTCTAAGAAGCAATGAATTTTTTGAGCAAGCCAATTGCCTTCTCTCCAGAGCCATCACTTGGAAATAGCTCTTCGTTAATCTCTTCTCTCTCTTATCATCTATCCAGCCACCTTTGACCATGAATTTGTCTTACTACTGGTTTGCCCCTTTGGCCTATAACACCCAGCATTGTGGACCTCAGCAGCACACGGTCAAGTAATGTATATTAAGCAAGGGATATTTCTCAAGATGCCAGACTCTGCATAAGGTCTAGAGGACAGGCCAGCACCCCACTTCTCCCGTTTCCCAACCATTCCTTTCTCCACCTGGTTGGAAGTGTGGATTACAATGCACCTTTCAGGGCCTAAAGCTGCCTCCCCTCTCACACAGTTCTTGGTCAAACATTATTTTCCAAAAGCCATTGTTTTTATTTGCTGTACTGCTTGACAGTTCTTGTTTCTGTGGGTCAGCGTCCCAGACTCTAGGCCCCGGTGTCAGGGAATACATGGATGACGTACCAGCTTCTCATCTTAAACCCTACGTGATTTCTTCCCATAACTGCCCAAAACCTCCCAGGATTTTAGGGGACTCCCCACCCAGGATTTTAGGGGACCGAAATGTCTTTTATTTACTCCTTTAAAGCAACAAGGCTATGTTTAGTTTTTACAGCTTCTGATAAGGCCACACCACCAGAGAATGTTTAAGAGCCTTGTGACAAATGGGCGAGGGTCCCAAAATAAATGGGATCCTAATCTTTACCTTTTTCTCCTCCTTCTCCCTGATCAAATAGTGAGACTCTAATTGATAATGCACCCATTGTCTGGCATGGCAAATCTCTAATCAGGAAACTGTCCTGCCTTTCTAGGAAGCCGCTCTGTGACCCACCTCTGAATCCCACAAAACTGCACCAGAGAGCCGGGCGCAAGATGAACCAGCACCCTGTCGGCTCAAGATGCACCAGACCCTCTGCCTGAACCCCGAGAGCCTGAAAATGTCTGCGTGCAGTGACTTTGTGGAGCACATCTGGAAACCCGGGTCCTGCAAGAACTGCTTCTGCCTGCGGAGCGACCACCAGCTGGTGGCCGGCCCTCCCCAGCCCAGAGCGGGCAGCCTGCCCCCTCCACCGCGCCTGCCTCCCAGGCCTGAGAACTGCCGCCTGGAAGATGAAGGTGTGAACAGCTCACCTTACTCCAAGCCCACAATTGCCGTGAAGCCCACCATGATGAGCTCCGAGGCCTCTGATGTGTGGACAGAGGCCAACCTGAGTGCCGAAGTCTCGCAGGTGAGGCTGACTAACACTCGTGGTATTTTTACAGGGGCTGCTCCTGTTTGAACACTTGGTGACTGGCTGGCAGCCAGGGAGGGCTGTTCCAGCAAGAAACCTGCAGGATAGCTTCCTGTCAGTTTGCCCTGAGATGGCTCCTGCCTGGGATTCGCTGTAGCTGCTCTCCTTTCTCTCTGTCCCTTTAGGCTAAGAATCATTAATCCAGTCCCCCAGAATTTCCTCCTGTGATTTGCAGACTGTGTAGGGCAGACAAAAAATGAAGCTTTTTTAAAAAAAAGTTTTAAATTTTCTTAGTTGATCATTTTAAATATATATACAAGTAGCAATAATTGCAAAGTGAATTGCATGCACCCAATACCCTTCAATATGAACTTCAGCAACCATCAACTCCTGACCAATCTTATTTCACCTCCCTCACACTGACCCCCTTCCCTATGATTTTAAAGCAAACCCAGATATCACATCATTTCAATAAATACCTTTCAAAGATAAAGTCTTTCTGAAAAACATAACCACAATACCATTATCACACTTAATTTTTTTTTTTTTTTTTTTTTTTTTTTGAGATGGAGTCTCTCTCTGTCGTCCAGGCTGGAGTGTAGTGGTGCGATCTCAGCTCACTGCAATCTCTGACTCCCTGGTTCAAGCGATTCTCCTGCCTCAGCCTCCTGAGTAGCTGGGATTACAGGCACCCACCACCATGCCCAGCTAATTTTTGTATTTTTAGTAGAGATGGGTTTCACCACGTTGGCCAGGATGGTCTCGATCTCTTGACCTTGTGATCTGCCCACCTCGGCCTTCCAAAGTGCTGAGATTATAGGCGTGAGGCACCGCTAATTTTTCTTTTCTGTCACTCAGGCTGGATCTCAGCTCACTGCACCTTCTGCCTCCAGGGTTCAAGCAATTCTCCTGCCTCACCCTCCCAAGAAGCTGGGGCTATAGGTACATACTGCCATGCCCAACTAATCTTTGTATTTTTAGTAGAGATGAGGTTTCACCATGTTGGCTAGTCTGGTCTCTAACTCCTGACCTCAAGTGATCCACCTGCCTCAGCCTCCCAAAGTGCTGAGATTATAGGCGTGAGCCACCGCGCCTGGCCTATTTTTTTAGTTTTTAATTTTTATTTTATTTATTTATTTTTTTTTGAGACAGTCTCAGTGTTGCTCAGGCTGGAGTGCAGTGTTGCGATCTCGGCTAACTGCAATCTCCACCTCCCAGGCTCAAGTGATCCTCCTGTCTCAGCCTCCTAGGAATCTAAGACTAGAGGTACATGCCACCATGCTTGGCTTATTTGGCGTTTTTTTGTTTTTGTTTTTGTTTTTTGGTGGAGATAGGATCTTGCTGTCTTGCCCAGGCTGGTCTTAAGTTCCTGGTCTCAAACTCCTAGGCTCAAGTGGTCCATCTGCCTCAGCCTCCCATAGTGCTGGGATTATAGGCATAAGCCACCATGCCTGGCCCCACACTTCAGAATATTAGCAGTAATTCCTTAATATTATCTAATACCCAGCCAGTACTCCTGTTTCCAATTTTGAAGCTTGGATTTTACCAGCTTTCTTCTAGGGTCACTAAAAACAGTTACAACCTAGAGGCTAGACCATTCTGCTCATTCCACAGGTAACCTTTACAAACTCAGAGGGCACATAGCCCGGGTCTGCTGGCATCTGCTGTCTTTAGACACATTTAGGAAGCTATGTGGCTAAGACATATCCTAGGAACTGCTTGCTACCTGTTTGACCTCTTTGCCTGTTCTAGTTTTCTTGACCAATATGGTGAGTAGGTCAGGAAGGCTGTGTGAGCATATATGAAAACTAAGGTCAATTCTAAATCAGGGGAGTCTTCCTTGAGGAGAGGCATTTCCTTTGGTTGCAGTGAACTTGATGTCCCCTTCCGGGCTGCTCTGTTTTTTCCTAAGCTGCTTACACCCATTCTCCAGGCCATTCTCAATACCTTCAACCTTCACCAACCTGAGCCAGGGACTCTTTAAGCTCAGAATCACCTGGGAAAGAAGCCAGAGGCAGGCCCTGCTTTGAGGCTGCTTCTAAAAGTGGGGGTAAAGGAGGACTTTAGACCAGAAGGAGGAGGAAACGGTGACTTCAGGGATGGTAATGACCAGTCCACATCTCTGTCTCATAGCCCAACGAGTCCAACCACTCGCACAGGCTCAGGCTGAGGTCACTGCTGTAGGCGGGAGAAAGATGACCTCTGGCATAGTTGGAAGCAAAGCACAGAAAGAAGCGAGGAAGCCCAGATCCAGTTCAGAAGCCACCCCTCACCCTGATCCAGCTCAGAAAACACCCCTCACTCTGATCCAGTTCAGAAGCCACCCCTCACCCTGATCCAGTTCAGAAACCACCCCTCACTCTGATCCGGTTCAGAAGCCACCCCTCACCCTGATCCAGTTCAGAAACTACCCCTCACTCTGATCTGGTTCAGAAACCACCCCTCACCCTGATCCGGTTCAGAAACCACCCCTCACCCTCCTGTTCTGCCCACACCCACCCACCCAATGTGTTTCTTTTTTCTTTATTATTATTATTATTATCATTATTTTTGATACAGAGTCTGGCACTGTCGCCCAGGCTGGAGTGTGGTGGTGTGATTTGGGTCACTGCAACCTCCGCCTCCTGGGCTCAAGACATCCTTCCACCTCAACCTCCCAAGTAGCTGGGACTGCAGGTACACACCACCACGCCCACCAAGTTTTTGTATTTTTTTGTAGAGATGGGATTTTGCCATGTTGCCCAGGCTCGTCTTGAACTCCTGGGCTCAAGCAATCTGCCCTCCTCGGCCCACCATAGTGCTGGGATTACAGGTATGAGCCACGGCATCTGGCTCCAGTGTGTTCAGTGTGTTTTAAAAACACTTAAGACTTCGATTTCTTCAGGCATGCACTGTGATTGGGTTATCAAAAAACCCACAAACTCAAAGCAAAAATTAAACAAAACCCCAAGCTCCATTTTCCAATCCAGTGGAACAACTTGTGTCACCCAGCAGCTGGTTGCAAGGGAGGAAGAAGGCACAGTGTTCTTTTTCAGAGTTATATTTTTCTTTTCCTACTTCACAGACTTAAGCCAAAAGCATTACAGTCCATGGGTAGGAAGGGCAGCTCAGTGTCTGGGAAGACAAATGGCTCAGCGGGTGCCCCAGCAATGATCACAGGGCCGTGGGGAGATGAGAAGGTGGGCGTGCACTGAGTCCCCGGCCCCAGCGCCCCTGCACTGCACTACAGAAGACATTCTACAGTATCGTTGCCCTTCCCTCTCACTTTTCCTCTCTCTCTTTTTTCTATGACAAGTTCTAATATAAGTCTTTTTGCGTTGGGCTTGTGTGTAGGTCATCTGGAGACGAGCCCCTGGCAAGCTCCCCCTCCCGAAGCAGGAGGATGCCCCCGTCGTCTACCTGGGCAGCTTCCGAGGTGTACAGAAGCCTGCTGGTCCCTCTACCTCCCCTGATGGCAATTCTCGCTGTCCCCCAGCTTACACCATGGTCGGCCTGCACAACCTTGAGCCCCGCGGCGAGAGGAACATTGCCTTCCACCCGGTGAGCTTCCCGGAGGAGAAGGCTGTGCACAAAGAAAAACCCTCATTTCCTTACCAAGACCGGCCCTCCACCCAGGAGAGCTTCCGCCAGAAACTGGCTGCCTTTGCTGGGACCACATCTGGCTGTCACCAGGGCCCTGGGCCCCTGCGGGAATCCCTGCCCTCGGAGGATGACAGTGATCAAAGGTGCTCGCCCTCCGGGGACAGCGAGGGTGGAGAGTACTGCTCCATCCTGGACTGCTGCCCTGGGAGCCCTGTTGCCAAGGCTGCCTCCCAGACTGCAGGTTCCCGGGGCAGGCATGGTGGCAGGGACTGCTCACCCACGTGCTGGGAGCAGGGGAAGTGTTCCGGGCCCGCAGAGCAGGAGAAGCGGGGCCCGAGCTTCCCCAAGGAGTGCTGTAGCCAGGGCCCCACTGCCCACCCATCCTGCCTGGGCCCCAAGAAACTGTCCCTCACCTCGGAGGCTGCCATTTCTTCCGACGGCCTCTCTTGTGGCAGCGGCAGCGGCAGCGGCAGCGGCGCCAGTAGCCCCTTCGTCCCCCACCTCGAGAGTGATTACTGCTCCCTCATGAAGGAACCTGCCCCAGAGAAGCAGCAGGACCCTGGCTGCCCAGGGGTGACCCCTAGCAGATGCCTTGGGCTGACGGGGGAGCCCCAGCCCCCGGCCCACCCCCAGGAGGCTACACAGCCTGAACCCATCTATGCTGAGAGCACCAAGAGGAAGAAGGCAGCTCCGGTGCCTTCCAAGTCACAGGCCAAGATAGAACATGCAGCTGCTGCCCAGGGCCAAGGCCAGGTATGCACAGGTAATGCCTGGGCCCAGAAAGCAGCATCTGGCTGGGGCCGGGACAGCCCAGACCCAACTCCCCAGGTGTCAGCCACCATCACAGTCATGGCGGCCCACCCGGAAGAGGACCATCGGACGATCTACCTGAGCAGCCCTGACTCTGCAGTGGGGGTGCAGTGGCCACGAGGGCCTGTGAGCCAGAACTCCGAGGTAGGTGAAGAGGAGACTTCGGCTGGGCAGGGGCTGAGCTCCAGGGAAAGCCATGCTCACAGTGCCAGCGAGAGCAAGCCCAAGGAGAGGCCCGCCATTCCCCCCAAGTTGTCCAAGAGTAGCCCTGTAGGGTCCCCGGTGTCACCGTCTGCTGGAGGGCCCCCAGTGTCACTACTGGCTGACCTTAGTGATGGGAGCTGTGGCGGCAGCAGCATTGGGCCCCAGCCTCCATCCCAAGGTCCTGCTGACCCCGCTCCTTCCTGCCGGACCAACGGTGTCGCTATCAGTGACCCATCCAGGTGTCCCCAGCCTGCCGCCTCGTCAGCCTCGGAACAGAGGCGGCCCAGGTTCCAGGCAGGCACCTGGAGTCGTCAGTGCCGGATAGAGGAAGAAGAGGAGGTGGAGCAGGAATTGCTGAGTCACAGCTGGGGAAGAGAGACCAAAAATGGCCCCACGGACCATTCAAACTCCACGACCTGGCACCGTCTCCACCCCACAGATGGCTCCTCTGGGCAGAACAGCAAAGTTGGGACCGGGATGAGCAAATCCGCCTCTTTTGCCTTTGAGTTCCCCAAGGACAGAAGTGGGATTGAGACATTCTCACCTCCTCCTCCGCCTCCAAAGTCGCGGTGAGTACCATTGTCTGCCTGGGACTCTGTCTGCAGGGCAAAGGGCTCTTCCAGAAGAAACCTTTGCCCTCATCAAAGCTTTCAGGCCCAGGTCCCAGAATCTGCCCAAAGGCCCTTGTGCCTTTATGTAAATTTCCCAGGGTCCCAGTGCAGCCCTCGGAGAGCAGGAGTTGTGGCCCTCTTTGTACCCAGCAAACAAACCTACTTGTGGTCCCTGCTTGGGATTGGTGATTTAAAATCAATCTTTCACCAAGCTGTTGCCATTTGTTGGTGCCTGTATTTTTATAATCTGGTCCTCTTTTTATTCCCCAGTTCTCTGAAGTGTCTTCAGTAGGCTTTTTTCCAGGAAGTCCTGAATATTTTCCGTTAATTTAAACATGCAAAAGAGGGCAAAAGGAGGTTATGCTACAAGATTTAGGGAGGGCTGGGTATGATGGCTCATGCCTGTAATCCTAACACTTTGGGAGGCCGAAGCAGGAGGATTACTTGAGCCCAGGTGTTTGAGACCAGCCTAGGTAACATAAGGAGATCCTGTCTCTATTTTCTTTAAATAATAACATTTTTAAAGTTAAAGTTAAAAAAAATTTTTTTAAAGATTTGGGGAGGCAAACAGTTAATGCCAAATAAATGTGTGCTGAATAAACTGTTACCACAATGGTGATTAGGTCTTGGGGCCAAAAGCAGAAAAGAGGAAGTTTTACATGTGGTTAGGAACCCTCAGATGTGGGTTTTTAAAGAAAAAAATGGGGCTGGGCGTGGTGGCTCACGCCTGTAATCTCAGCACTTTGGGAGGCCTAGGCGGGCGGATCACGATCAGGAGATCGAGACCATCCTGGCTAACACAGTGAAACCCCGTCTCTACTAAAAATACAAAAATTAGCCAGGCGTGGTGGTGGGCGCCTGTAGTCCCAGCTACTGGGGAGGCTGAGGCAGGAGAATGGCGTGAACCCGGGAGGTGGAGCTTGCAGTGAGCCGAGATGGTGCCACTGCACTCCAGCCTGGGCGACAGAGTGAGACTGTCTCAAAAAAACAAAAAAAAAAACAAAGAAAAAAATGTAGTTTTGTGTTAGCATGCTGAAACTCAGTTTTCCCTACTGCTTCCCTGCTATCTCCTATCAGTTTAAAGTACCTTTTAAAGACTCGAGAAAAATAAATTTTTTTTTTTTTAGTTATTGAGCTGTGCATGGGTTTTAAATGCTGGGGAAAAAAAATTTCTCTCGATTAGAGCAAAACTGATTTCTGTTAGGAAAAGGAGAAACCTACTGTTTTTCAAAAAATTACAGCGTTTCTGAACAGACTTTCTCGAGTCATGTCATTTCAAGTGGTTCTGTTTCAGCTGATGTGCCTCTGGGCTGATGTCAGAAACAAGGAAATTGACCACAGAGAGAAGCAGTCAGGACGCTTGACTTTGAACATCACGGCGTCTCAGGCACTGATGTGATCTAACGTGGGTTTTTTTCTCATGACCACTACTTTGTTCTGGTATTGCACTGGCCGCCCACCATGGAGAACAGACATCTTCCAGATCCTGAGGTGATTGCAGACTCTTTGGCAGCCGCGTGTAGTCCCCGAATGAATGAGAGATTCAGCAGCTAAGATGAGCTTCCATTTATATGGCGCTCACTATGGGCCAGGGATGGATTTAAAAGAATTAGACATAACAACTCATTTCATCCTCAGAACAGCCCTAAGAGGTAGGAATTGCCAGCCCCAATTTACAGATGACAAAGCAGAGATAGAAAGCTAGGGTAACCAGCCTAAGGTTCCTGCTGTACCTGCAAGACTCCTAAGTCTACGCTCCTCCTGAACCTACAGGACATCAAGGAGCATGGAAATTGAGCAGGGCGTGAGAGTAAAACATCCAAATTGTATCTGCCTGCCTCAGTCCTGGGTAAATTAGTGGAAAGCACAGGTATTGGCATTAGAAAACCAAGTTCCTATTCCCTCTCTCTCACAAATGGAGTGACCGTGTATAAGCCACTCACTGTGACTGAGTCTCCAGTCCCTTCTCTAAAAGAGTTGGTCTCTAAACTGAGAGTCTGGAGTCTCTTCTCTAAAATGAGATGATAATAGTACTTTGATAACACCCTGCTATTGTAAACCTCTAATGAGACAAACAATGGAATCCAATGCAGAGGTTAGTGATGATGTAGGCAGAAGCCACCCAGGCTGCTGATTGTGCAATGACACCCACACCCTATGGGAACTAGCATGGCTCAATCCCAGGAACGCCACTCTGAGCCTTGGAGAAGTAACTAAAATTTACTCCTTTAAGAATCTCGGGGCTTGGAGAAATCCCAGTAACCATAGCAACATGACTCAGGTAGGGTTTTAATTAGCATCTGGGTTGAGATCAGAGTTTTTTCGGCCCAGTTTGTTATGATAAAACCCTTAGATTGCATATAGCTCAAGCTTGATGGGAATCTTGGAGGTTCAAGGTTTCAGCTCTTAAAAAATAAACAAGTTAGAGGAGAAAAAAGAATTAAAAAGAAGGGCCGGACTTAGTGGCTCATGCCTGTAATCATAGCACTTTGGGAGGCCAAGGCAGGCAGACTGCTTGAGCCCAGGACTTTGAGACCAACCTGGGCAACATGGTGAAACCCAGTCTCCACCAAAAAAGATATGAAAATCAGCCAGGGATGGTGGCACATGCCTGTCATCCCAGCTTCTCTGGGGGCTGAGGTGGGAGGATGGCTTGAGCCCAGAAAGTGGAGGTTGCAGTGAGCTATGATTGTGCCACTGTACTCCTGCCTGAGCAACAGAGCAAGACCCTGTCTCAAAAAAAAAAAAATCTAGAAAATAAAATTAGCTTAAGAGAACACAGAAAAACAAGAGCATCTTATTTTATTTAAAATAAACTAGAATATATTTTCATTTGGGGAAGCATTTTCATTTCTCAAGCATTACTGACATTATCTTTCGGATCTCCCTGTGAGAAGATAAGAGGGCAGGCCTGGGAACATATGCTGACTTTTAATTCTGGAACTCAGTACCTCCGCTGGGGATAGTGCCAGGAACCCCAGAGTCTTCCAACCTAGTAGGTCAGGGTGTTGGCAAATCAGAGTGTTAGTGAGAATGCAGCCAGCAGTTGATCCGGCACCAATTCCAGTACACACTGGTAATTATGGCAGGCTGATGTCAGTTTTCCAAAATGGAAGAACGTGAAAGGTCTTCAAGCAACATACAAGGTCAACCTGATTTCTTCACATGGGCCCATTTGTGAAATAGATCCTATTTCTAATGATCAGCTTCATTATGTGCGTTACCTACGCTCACACCTCTAGAAAAAGGACTTGCTTCATACAGGACACTGTTTCTTTCCACTTACATGGTGTGAGAGAGACAGATCGTCTGCTTCCTTAGGTCATTATGGAAGAACGGGGAATGATTTTCTCTTTTGCCTGTTGTTCTGTTTATCGCCCTATTTTACAAAACTGATTCTGACCTGGAGGGAAAAAAATAGATGTTAAGAATGACTTGGCTTTCCTGTGGTCCTGTTTTGAATGTTTGGCAGTAGCTTATCTGTCTTTTTGAGATATTGTCCTCTGTAAACTCCCATTCGTGTTCCTGAGAAACCTCTTGCTGGAGTGCCCTGCAGGAGAAAGGCTCTCCATGCTCATTTTATGCCCAGAACAGTTCTTCTTTGGAGGAGGTTAAGTGCCTGCCCAACCCTCCAACCCAGGCGGGTACGGCAAGGCCTGGATACTTCCTTCCCTGTTGCCGTCAAGGCAAGCTTTTATACCCACAAAGTCACACTTACTAAGAATGATGGATCTCACAGAGTCTCTGGGTCACCCCTGTCCCAATATAAGGCAGAATTATAAGATGAGGATCAACAAATACTGCTGGTTAGGAAACAAAAATACTTCAGGAAAGAAGGGTGAACTCATAGTTTAAATGTCATGCTTAAGACTTAATGGCAATTTGGCCAGGCATGGTGGCTCACACCTATAATCCCAGCACTTAGGGAGGCCAAGGCGGGTGGATCACTTGGGGTAAGGAGTTCAAGACCAGCCTGGCCAACATTAACGAGAACAGCAGAGCTGGGGAAACAATTAAGATGAGAAAGAACCAAATTGCTTTCTGCCTTTTGCTTTTTCACAGATGCAAACCCGGTTTTAAATGACTTAATGACTTTTGGGTGACTAGGTCAGCTGAAAGAGAATCATCTGGTTAGTGCAGATAAGCGTTTCACCAAGAAACCTCAAGTTAGGAGAAGAGGCCTGAGCCCAGGTGGAATTGAGGATGACAGGTGACTAAGAAATAAGACCGATTCATGTGGTTTCAGTGTCTAAATGGTCTGGCCCTAGGTGAGACTAATCAAAAGAAAAATTTCCCCAAGAAAGTGGGTGACGTCTTTGTTTTTTGTGTGTTTCGTTTTGAGACAGAATCTCACTCTGCCGCCCAGGCTGGAGTGCAGTGGTGCCATCTCACTGCAGCCTCCACTTGTCAGACTCAGGTGATCCTCTCACCCCAGCCTCCTGAGTAGCTGGGACTACAGGCACGTGCCACCATGCCCCCGCTAATTTTTATATTTTTGTAGAGACGGAGTTTCACCATGTTTCCCAGGCTGGTCTCGAACTCCTGGGCTCAAATGATCCACCTGCCTCAGCCTCCCAAAGTGTTGGGATTGCAGGCATGAGCCACCACGCCCAGCTGATGTCTTTGTTTGAAAGTTATCACTCATGGTCGGGCGCGGTGGCTCACACCTGTAATCCTAGCACTTTGGTAGGCCAAGGCGGGTGGATCACGAGGTCAGGAGATCGAGACCATCCTGGCTAACACGGTGAAACCCCTCTCTACTAAAAATACAAAAAATTAGCCAGGCGTGATGGCGGGCGCCAGTAGTCCCAGCTACTCGGGAGGCTGAGGCAGGAGAATGACGTGAACCCGGGAGGCGGAGCTTGCAGGGAGCCGAGATCGCACCACTGAGCTCCAGCCTGGGCGACAGAGCGAGACTCCACCTCAAAAAAAAAAGAAAGTTTTCGCTCAATTGAATTTCAATTTTAACCCACAACTTGCTAAATTCACCCCTTTTTCTGTGGGGCTGCTGGGGAGCAGAGGTTAAATCTATTCTTGGGCTTTTGCTCACTCTTTTTTTTTTTTTTTTTTTTTGAGACAGAATCTCTGTCGCTCAGGCTGGAGTACAGTGGTGGTACCTTGCCTTACTGCAACCTCCGCCTCCCGGGTTCAAGCGATTTTCCTGCCTCAGCCTCCCAAGTAACTGGGATTACAGGTGCGCCACCACGCATGGCTAATTTTTATATTTTAGTAGAGATGGGGTTTCACCGTGTTGCTCAGGCTGATCTCGAACTCCTTACTTCAAGTAATCCACCTGCCAAAGTGTTGGGATTACAGATGTGAGCTACAGCCCCCGGTCTTTTGCTCACTCTTAATTCTCCTCCTGAGCTGCTTCTCAGTAGACAGGTAGTGACAGTGTCATGAGTGGAGTTCGTTTCTGTCCACAGAAGTGGCCACATCAGTAACCAGAGGAACTGACATGACTTCACTGTGTGGTCTCTCCTGTAACATGATCTCTGGGCATGAACCGGGAGGATGGGCATAGGATGAGTGAGATGGGTGTTTGTCTCCAGTGTCCACATCGAATCTGATTAGAGCTTCCAATGTGTTCTTCTAGAGGCCCTTTCTGCTATAATGGATGACAGACAGTTGGGTGGCAACATTTTACTAGGAAATCCCATACTCTTGATGCATAACGGCCTTTTCTGGGCAGCATTTTGAAAATCACAGTTTGTATTAGGAAGCACTGTATTTAGAGAATCTTCATGGACTGTGTTTAGCCATTTTGACAAAACTTAAATAAGTAGGCTGGAGGTCAAGTTGGTCAGGGGAGAATGAATACTGGCCGTATTTCAGTGGCCCCCACAGATACACAGAGTTTGGCAAACAGAACAAAGCATATGTACCAACAATGCATGTTTATATTCTGTGCCATGCCAGGGGCAAATTCATAGTTGGCCTGTTTCCATAAGTGTGGGGATGGAACCTTGAAACACAGGACATCTCATAATGCTGTAAGCAGGGACCATTGAAATTGATTCCTAGAGTCTTGTTCTACAACTTCTTTAAAAATTACTGATTTGACAGCAGTATGTATTCAACATTTAAGACTTTCTGTCTAATTTTGAGCATACATTCTTGACTAAGGCTAGCAATTAGAGATTCTTTCTTTAATTTATCAGATATCTATTAATTGTCTACTTTTGAGTGGGCTCTGTGCAAGGCGCTAAAAAGCCAGTTACTGGGGTTCTGTTCCTTAAGGATCCTGAGAATTGAGTTGCTAAGAATTAAATCAGCAGGCGTGCAATATGACTGTCAAAGCTTGACCCCTGCTTTGATTCCCTTTGTTGAGACAGGTTCTTATAGGACCTGGATTCTCACCACATCCTCTGTTCTGTTTAGGGAACACAAAGGTAAGCTCAGCTCTGTGTCCAGGAGTACCTTATAGTCCTCTCCCTTAACTGTGTCTGTTTCAACTTGATCCAAGATCAGGATTAGTACAAGCTTGTAAAAAAAAAAAAAAAAAGTTTATTTTTTACAAAATAGACCAGATGCACTTTGAAGTTAAAGTGCATGCTTAACCATCTGCAATTCCTAAGGTTGAGCTCAATGCATCACATGTAGTAGATGTTCAAGAAATGTTTGTTAAATGGGCAGTTGTAAACAGAGACAGTGCCGTGTTTATTTCGTTTTCCAGAAAGGCACCTGACTCCTTGCTTTGCACATAACAGGTGCTCAAGAAATGTTGAAGAAAAAAGCAAATTGCTTTGAATGCAGTGTATCCTAAAACCAGATTTCCAGGTTGCCCCAGTACTCTGTACAGGCCTCCATTTTGGCTGTTAACACAGTGTATCTTTTGTTACATTAAAATGGGTCCACGTTTGCATCTCCTCCGAAATTATAAACTCCTGGGAGTGCAGGGATGTGTCTCATACATTCTTCCTTGACTTTTCCACAGCATACCTTAGCACAGAGTTGGATATGTAGTAGATGTTCAATGGAGAATTACTGAATTTTCTTAAAAAAAAAAAAAAGCAAGCCAGAGTGAACTACAAATGTAATAGTTCCTGGCCTGATATTTCACTGGGGACCCATCATGATTCTGCAACTATTCTCGCTCAACAGAACATTACCACCTTGAGTTAAAGAGGCTAAGAAGCTAAGGTTAATCATTATTAATGATTCAAGGTGGGCAAACACCATGTGGGCACAATGCATCCTTTCATGGATTAATTACTCTCCAATGATTGTACATTTCATTCCTGCTACCGGTCTCTATTACCCTGCTTTTTTTTTTTTTTTTTCAACCTGAGCAGGTGTGTAGAGCCAGCACTCTCTTGCCAAAATAATATTTTCTCAGGTAGTAATCATCTAAACACTTTTTTTTTTCCACCAGAGAGTTACAAGGAATTCTAAGGTGTGGTTTTGCTTGTCTGAGAATAGCTTTTCCATGCTTTGTCAGGTGCATTGGAAAATACAAGCTTAGGCAGTGTGGTCAGTCCCCCTCTGTCCCTGACGTCGTCAGAGGGACTTTGTTCCTAGAATGGCCAGCCTACATTTGATCTGCATAATTGGTTGTGAAACTCACCAATTGGTAGGAAATTTTCTGTTAGTGGCCCAAGGAATTTTTTGTTGTTGTTTTGGGATTGTTAATGCCCTCATTAAAGATCTTACGTTTCCTTCTATCAGGGTTGATAGACCAACTACAAAGAATATCCTGTGTCTCTTTCTGCAGTAATAAATTTCAGAGTTTAAAGATCAGAGTCTGCATCCTCTGTGCTTGCATTGCTCATTATTTCTTTCTATTGACTTTTGGGCAGAGCCCTAAAAATGTTGGGCGTTAGGAGTGTTTATACTATTCCCATACAACTCTGTAAAATTCCCTGCTTTAATTAGCTTCAGTCTGATGCACTGGACGGCTTCTCTGTGCTTCTCTGACAGGCAGACTTATATAAACAGCTGTTCTTTGTTGGATCATGAGAGGAGCTTCCAGGCCGAAGGCTACTTTAAAAAGTCGTTCATTTTTGTTCTCAGATATTTTCTCTCCAGTATACCTATCACTGTTGAATGTTCCCCCCAACTTCCCAGTAGTTTGGTTTTTAGCCATTTCATACCAATTTATACTTGTGCTATGATAACTTTTCTAAAGTCTAAAACCTAAACAAATAGCTGGTGGTGATATTACTTTATGTTCCTGAGGTGTAGAAAGCTCTTCAGAATAGCTTCTGCTCTTTGTGAGCTCCATATGGCAGTCAAAATTAATGAAATTAAAAAACACTATATACGGCCAGGCGTGATGGCTCACGCCTGTAATCCCAGCATTTTGGGAGGCTGAGGCAGGTGGATCACGAGGTCAGGAGATCGAGACCATCCTGGCTAACGTGGTGAAACCCCGTCTCTACTAAAAATACAAAAAATTAGCTGGGCATGGTGGCACGCACCTGTAATCCCAGGTATTCGGGAGGCTGAGGCAGGAGAATTGCTTGAACTCAGG
This sequence comes from Homo sapiens, assembly GCF_000001405.40. NCBI lineage: Eukaryota > Metazoa > Chordata > Mammalia > Primates > Hominidae > Homo > Homo sapiens. Next base: position 4,980,117 of record NW_018654717.1, read on the forward strand.
AGGCGGAGCTTGCAGTGAGCTGAGATCACGCCACTGCACTCCAGCCTGGGTGACAGAGCGAGACTCCATCTCAAAAAACAAAAAACAAAACCACCAGATACATACAAGAACAGTTGAGATAAATTGACATAGTAGTAAGTAATATGACCTTATGACCTTGAAGGTCACGAAGAAAAGGAGGGAGAGTCCAATTTTAAAAGCAGTCAGCGTGGTGGCATCACTTAACGCGATTCTTTTTTTTTTTTTTTTTTTTTTTTTTTTTTTGAGATGGAGTCTTGCTCCTTTCACCTAGGCTGGAGTGCAGTGGCACGACCTCAGCTCACTGCAACCTCTGCCTCCCGGGTTCAAGCGATTCCCCTGCCTCATCCTCCCGAGTAGCTGGGATTACAGGCGCCTGCCACCATGCCTGGCTGATTTTTGTATTATTAGTAGAGATGGGGTTCACCATGTTGGCCAGACTGGTCTTGAACTCCTGACCTCATGTGATCCACCCGTAATTCTTATATTATGTACAGATCAAAAGGATGGTAAGATTTTATGACTGCATATTGTTGAACCATGAGAACACTTGGGTTGCATCCTCCATGCCAATTCTGATCATTTGGAGCCCATGCATCAGGAATGCTGGCCATCATCTATTTGTGGTGTCTGCAGGTTGTAGGGAGGTGGGGGTGCAGATACATGTCATGTGCTGGCTATTTGCTGATTCAGCCATAAAATCTAAAATTTGTCTTCTAAAATGCATGATGTAGCTGGGCACGGTGGCTCATACCTGTAATCCTAGCCATTTTGGGAAGCAGGAGAATCACTTGCACCCAGGAGTTCAAGACCAGCCTGGGCAACATAGCGAGACACTACCTCAAAAAAAATTACAAAAATGAGTAGGGCATGGTGGCACATACCTGTAGTTACAGCTACTTGGGAGGCTGATGTGGGAGGATTGCTTGAGCCAGGAGGTCAAGGCTGCAGTCAGCCATGGTAACACCACTGCACTCCATCCTGGGTGACAAGGTCAGATCTTGTCTCAAAAAAAAAGATAAAAATAAAGTGCAAAATCTCAAGTGGTTAATACCCATTTTTGTTAGTAATTCAAGAGTTTAAGAGTTCCCAGCTGGGCTCAGTGGCTTACATCTGTAATCCCAGCACTTTAGAAGGCAGAGGCAGGAGGATCATCTGAGGTCAGGAGTTCAAGACCAGCCTGGCCAACATGGTCAAACCCTGTCTCTACTAAAAGTAAAAAAATTAGCCAGACATTGTGGCAGACGCATGTAATCTTAGCTACTCAGGAGGCTGAGGCAGAAGAATTGCTTGAACCCGGGAGTTGGAGGTTGCAGTGAGCCGAGATCATGCCATTGCACTCTAGCCTGGATGACAAGAGTGAAACTCCGTCTCAAAAAAAAAAAAAAAAAAAGAATTCCCATGCCTTTGGGTGGTAGGGGGACTCTGTCTAGCCACTTCTGTTTGGCAGATGACGGCCATTCTCTTTGAATAGAGACTCTAATTTTAGACCGAAATGCCAAAATGTCTTGTTTCTTCTTAGTGAGTGATTATGAACGTCCCATGAATTTTAACCATTTGTGGAACTCTGCATTTTAGTAAATAACAGTTACTATTAAGTTTATTACCCATTATTTAAAGGATTATTTTCCTTTATAGACCTTCAATTTACTGTTTCTATCCTTAAATCTTATTAAGCAATGTGTTTTCACTTAGCCTTATTTTGTTTGTTTGTTTGTTTGTTTGTTTTGAGACAGGGTCTCACTCTGTCACCCAGGCTGTAGTGCAAGCACGATCTCAGCTCACTGCAATCTCCACCTCTTGGGTTCAAGAGATTCTCCTGCCTCAGCCTCCCAAGTAGCTGGGATTACAGGGGCATACCACCATGTCCAGCTAATTTTTGTATATATATATGTGTGTGTATATATATATATATAGGGTTTCACCACATTGGCCAGGCTGGTCCCAAACTCCTGACCTCAGGTGATCCACCCTCCTTGGCCTCCCAAAGTGCTGGGATTACAGGTGTGAGTCACTGCACTCAGCCCACTTAGCCTTATTCTCTTTGGCTTGTTGCATATATTTATTTATTTATTTATTTTTGAGTTGGAGTTTCACTGTTGTTGCCCAGGCTGGAGTGCAATGGCGCGATGTCAGCTCACCACAACCTCCAACTCCTGGGCTTAAGTGATTCTCCTGCCTCAGCCTCCCGAGTAGCTGGAATTACAGGCACCTGCCACCATGCCGGGCTAATTTTTTGTATTTTTAGTAGAGACGGGGTTTCTCCATGTCGGTCAGGTGGTCTCGAACTCCTGACCTCAGGTGATCCACCTGCTTTGGCCTCCCACAGTGTTGGGATTACAGGTGTGAGCCACCATGTCCAGCCGTTGTATTGATTTTCAGTGCCCAGGATTGGGGAGTGAGGTGGCAGATGCAGGAGCTGTGTCAGAATCTTTGGGAGGGATAGTTTAACAATGAAAATTCAGTGATGTAACATAATTTAAATTGGGAAGATGAAAACAAAACTATTGTTTTCCTAACACATACTACTTATAGTTTTTCTGAATCTTCTCCACTGGTGAAAAGACAGACCATCATTTTTATAGAGATGCTTGATTGAAAACAGGTCATGTCTCCCTAGGAGAAAATAGAAGAAAACCAGGACAGAGATATTTGCTGACCTGTCATATTTCCTTGGTATCCTTTCTTCAAATCTTTCAAAATATCTTCTCTATATTCATGTCATCTTCAAGACGTGAAACAAGGAAATTGTCTGTACAGACAATTTCCAGACCCTTGATCCCAAACACTCTCAATGCTTGTCTGTGTTTCCTACAAAAAGCAGAAACCTGAGAAAGATAAGGAGTACTTTGCATGTAGAATAGAGAAGATCCTTACAGTTCAGGGTCTGAGATTCCATCTTGACATTCATTTGATCGCTAAATATTGAAGACTTCTTTTAGGTGGAGCCGTGACCATACATTGGTAGGAAAAGTACAGATTGCTTACGAGATGATTTTGGCACACTTGTTGACTGTATGGAGAAAACAAAAAAAAAAACAACATTGAAATCCTGCCATATAGTGTCATATAGTGTATGTAAAAGTGGACTGCAGATGGAATAATGATCCAAATGAGAAAAATAAGACCAAAAAGCAAATTTAAAAACATTCACAGCATTTTTAAGACCCTAGAAGAATAAGCCATAAAATGATGGCTTTGACTTCATCAAATTAAGGATTTCTGTTGAACTGAGGATGCCATCAGCAGTTAATAGATGGGTGAGAAATTAAAGCAGTGTATCAAAGACTGACAAGGCATTAACATGTAAGGTGCTCTTGTAATTCAAGCAGAACAATATGTGGAAACCAGTAGAAAAACAGGCAAAAACATGGATAGGCAGTTAACAGGAGGGAAAAGCTAAATGCAGGGCAAGAATTTGAAGAGCTACTTAACTTCATTAATAATCAGAGAAGCATAAAACAGTAAAATAGCACATTATGTCCATCAGATTGATGACAATTACAAAGTGGGATAATTCCAAATTTCAGCAAAAATACAGGAAAATGGCTATTAAACAGCTGTTAAATTAAGTATGAGACTACATCTTGTCCCCACAACCTTCATTCCTGAGTATATATTCACACAGGTCAGTAAGGGGACATAAACAAGGAAGTTTGTCATAACATTATAGTAGCAGGGAGTTAGAGCAAGTCCAGGTATTCATCTCTAGAGAAATAGGTAAGTAAAATGTTATGATTATGAAATAAACTATTTAATAGCAGTCAGAAGCAATGAACTAGAAATATGTCCAGAAACATGGGTGAACCTCATACTGGTATTGACTGAAATAACTAAGAGAATGAAATCTATAGCACAATATACTTAATATAAATTAAATATAAACAGTTTCATAAAATAACACTATGTCTGTTTTTAAGGAAAGCTGCATTCTTAACCTTTTATGTAGTTTTTAAAAAATAGACATACACATAAAATATGTATATATGTTACATATAACATAAAATTCACCATCGTAACCATTTTAAAGTATAAAGTTTAATAGTAGTTTCCATTTGTTGTATATTAAATCAGTCTCCAGGGAAGTCTTTTCATTTTACAAAACTGAAACTCTCCACCTTTAAACAACTTCCTGTTTCTCCCTTCCCTTAGCCTCTGGGAACCACCATTACTTTCTGTCTCTGAATTTGACTACTCTAGGTACCTCATATAAATGGAATCATCCAGTACTTGTCTTTTTGTCATTTGCTTGTTTCACTTAGCATAATGTTCTCAAGTTTCATCCATCTTGTAGCATGTGTCAGAATTTCCTTCCTTTTAAAAGTTGAGTGATAGTCCATTGCATGTATATACCGTTGTACTATTGTGAAATACATATTTGGTCTTTTTCCAGTGTCCTGGCAAACAACTCCTAAAATTTTTGGTATCTTCAAAGTTGTGAAAATTAAAAAGTTCCTCTTCAAAGTTTCCTTTTTATTAAGGAATAAGTCATAAGTGTTAGAAGTAATAGTTTCTCTTAAAGACTAGCTTTTTGCAATAACTCTTTGTTAAACCTTATATAGTCATTAAGTGTAAAAGGATAAGTATATTATATATAAGTATATATATATATACACACGCACACATATATATATCTATATATCTATATCTATATATATATATCTTTATACTTTAACTACAATATTAGTTTTGGCTTGCTCAGGCATGTCTCAGCATGCCCAGGCATGTCCCAGCTCACAGCTTATGTCTCTTCCTTATTTGGAAATGTTATTGCTTCTATAAGCCTTTACATAAGCGACTTCCTCTTTTCCTTTGTTCTGCACAGTCTTTACCTATTTAGGAAAGTTTTGGATTGTTAGCCAATCAGGCTAAGCTTAGACTGTGAGGTCCAGCTCCAGCCAGTAGAGATAGGACAGAGCAATAGGGACTTTACATGTAAGGGATAAATATTCCTGTGTCTCTTCGTTCAGTGTGCTCTTGTGGCAGGATTGCTGATGGGCAGTACCCTTTCTGCAGAAAGTACTGAGAAAAGTTTTTATCTGACTACTGATTCTTCTTTGTGGCACCGAGGAATAAGCATTTATTTCCAACAGTTTGGGGGCTCATCCAGGATCACCCATTCTCCTCTGGGGCAGGGTCTCTGATCTTTCTCCTAGGGGAGGTGCCCCACTGCCTTGTTGCAGTGGCCTCAGGGGTTGGGAATCAGAACTCACCTGTTGTAATGAATAAACCCAGACTCTCAGCAACACGGGAAAGGATGGACAGGCTTGCACTGCTGTGGCAACCAGGTAAACTCTGTGCACAGACCAAGTAAGAAACGTCACAGGGGTGTGACAAAGTACTTCCTTGGTGGTCCAGATACTCTGGAAGTTGAAAGTGTGTGTGAATGGTCTCAAGCCATGCGGTGTTGCTTGTGTGGATGGTGACAAGTCCTGCTGGACGGAGTGGGTGGGTGCTACCTGTGGTTCCATGGCCACCTCATACAGCTTAGGGCAGATCCTGACGTGGGTTTATATCAGCATGCCAATGCTAAGAGGAGCCTAAATTTCCATTAGGGAAGCAGCCAGGTAGGACGAAGTGAGTGAAGAGTGTAAGAAAGCTCCAGGGGTGGGGGAAGAGGAGTTAAGATCCTCCCCAGGGAAAATGAAACCTCAAGTGCGTGAGGTTAGGAATTTAAGCAAGCTAGGGAAAAACAGGATAGACAAGAAGTCTCTAGAATTAAGAAGTTGAGTCTACCCAGCATTCAGTATGGGAAATGTTTCTAGTAAATTGGGAGCGAAGAAAGATGCAAGTGATCAGATTCCCCCTAATAATCCTTTAGGGTTTATGTTAAAGATTGGTAAGATAATGAAACAACTAAATTCAAAAAGAAGCAGTAGATGATTAAGTATTGTTGCTTCATTTGAACTAAAGAGCCAATCCTCCAGCCAGCAGTTGTTTGGCCAAAATTTGGGTCAGATGAAGATTGAGTCTGTCAACTTTTAAAAATGTATGTTAATGACAAGCCTGTAATTGAAGGACTTATTAAAGATGGGCTGCTCGAACCTTGTATGTCCCCATCCAATACTCCAATTTTCCTGCATCACAAGAAGAAATAGATTGATTATGCTCTATGCTGGTGGCAAGGGCCTGTTCTTCTTTACCCTCTGAAAACAGGTGAAGGGGGACAGGAGAACAAGGAAGAGTCAGAGATTGCCTCATCTGATAAGAAATGGGACCCTCTAGACCACCTTCCCCCATTTCTTAATAACCCACTGCCACCTCCCCAGGCAGCTGCTGCTGCCCTGTACCCCCTTCCGGACCCGATCCCAGACCTGACTGCTGCTCCAGGCCCTTCCATGTTATTTCCTCCCACCATATAACCCAGATTCTTGGGAATTCCAGGAATCTGGGCATTCTAAATATCCTTCCTTAAAGAAAGGACTTCAGCAGGAGATAGAGCAATGTAAAAAGGATATTCAGAATCTTCCCTTTCCTCCCCTACTAAGAGGTCAACTTCAACGTTCTTTCCTTTAAGGGAAGTTGCTCAGTGAGGGGGACATTGACTTTGTAAATGCTCCCCTAACTGGGTCTGAGGTCCGAAGTCTGAAAAAGGAACTCAAGCTACTGTTAGATGATCCTTATGAGATGTCAGATCAAATTGATCACTTTTTAGGCCCTCAGTTATATACTTGGGCTGAATTAATTTCCATCCTGGATATCCTCTTTTCAGGGGAAGAAAGAAATATGATCCACAGAGCCGCTATGGCAATTTGGGAATGTGAACATCCTCCAGGTCAAAATATTCTGGCAGCAGATTACAAATTCCCTGCTCAGGAACCGCAGTAGGATAAAAATAATGCCACCCACTGAGATAATATGAAAGATTTAAGGGAAATAATAATCAAGGGGATTCAGCAATCAGCACCCTGAACCCAAAATCTTTCCAAGGCATTTAACATACAACAAGAAAAGGATGAAGGACCTATGAGATTCTTGGACTAAGAGAACAGATGAGAAAATATGCAGATTTAGACCAAGAAAGCCCCCTTGGGCAAGGAATGTTAAAACTGCACTTTGTTACTAAGAGTTGGCCAGACATTGCTAAGAAGTTACAAAAATTAGAGAACTGGAAGAATAAGTCAATAGAGGAGTTGTTAGGAGAAGCTCAGAAGGTATATTTGAGGAGAGATGAGGAAAGACAAAGGCAGAAAGTGAAAATCTTTTGGCAGAATTCACCAGGACAGATGATGTAGGGGGCTAAGTCTAGACCCACACCTGTAGGATTTTCTAGAGGAGGCAAGAGGAGAAATTTTGGTAATTCAGGAATGCAGAGAGAATGAAGGCAAGGTCAGTATTTTAGAGGAGAAGGTAAAAGTAAGTGCCATAGGGGCTGTGGATATGAAAATAAAGAGAAGAAGAAAAGGGGCCCTGGGCTTGGAAGACAGGGAGGGCAAGACAGATGTTACAGATGTGGGAGGCCAGGTCATTTTAAGAACGAATGTCCTGAATTGGAAAAAGCAGAGGAAGCTCTCCCATTTGTGACTACTTCTGAAGAAGAATAGAGGGGTCAGGGGCTCTGTCTTTTCTATTTCGAGTCCCACCAAGAGCCCTTGATAAATTTAGAGGTGGGACCCAAACATGAATTAATCACCTTTTTGATTGACTCAGGAGCTGCTCACTCATCTGTTGGTTTTCCTCCAGCTGATTTAGCTCGTTCCTCAGAGGAATTGACAGTTTCCAGGGTCAAAGGAGAAGGATTTAAGGCAAAAATTTTAGAAAATATGGAAGTTAAATATCAAGATCAATCGACTTGTATACAATTTTTATTAATTCCTGAAGCAGGAACCAATTTGTTAGTAAGGGATTTAATGATAAATTAGGTATAGGTTTGCAAGTTGGTCCAAAAGGTTTTCTAACCTCTTTAAATTTGTTAACTGCGATAGATGAAAAATACATACATCCAGATGTCTGGTCAAGGAAACTGAGGAAAGCTACGAATTCCTCCAATACATATTTGGTTAAAAACTCCAGGGGAGGTAGTAAGGAGAAAGCAATACCGTATTCCTTTATAAGGAAGAATAGGGTTAAAGCCTGTAATTGAAGGACTTATTAAAGATGGGCTGCTCAAACCTTGTATGTCCTCATCCAATACTCCAATTTTACCAGTCAAGTAATCAGACGGGTCATACTGATTAGTGCAAGACCTTAGAGCTATCAATCAGATAGTCTAGACAACTCATCCTGTTGTACCTAACGCTATTTCTAATTGGCTAGAAGGATGGTCCGGTCAATAGAAAGAAACTGTAGCCTCAATTCTTACTTCTATAGCAACTGTAATAGGCATACTCCTTCTTCTTGGGTGTTGTATTATACCATGCATCTGGGAATTAGTAATAAGATTAACAAAAACAACTCTTACTAAAACCCATCTTAACTCTCCTCCACCTTATTCAGAAAAAATTCTCCTTTTAGAAATTCAATCAGAGCAATTAAGCCAAGAAATATTAAAACAGTTTGAAGAGGAAAAACTATAAAAAAATAAGAGGAGGGAATTGTGAAAAGTAAAAAGTTCCTCTTCAAGCTTACCTTTTTTATTAAGGAATAAATCATAAGTGTTAGAACTAATAGTTTATCTTAAAGACTAGCTTTTAACAATAACTCTTCATTAAACCTTACATAGTCATTAAGTGTAAAAGGATAAGCATTTTATATATACATATACTTTAACTACAATATGAGTTTTGGCTTGCTCAGGCATGTCCCAGGTCACAGCTTATATCCCTTCCTTATTTGGAAATGTTATTGCTTCTATAAGCCTTTATGTAAGCAACTTCCTCTTTTCCTTTGTTTAGCACTGTCTTTACCTATTTAGGAAAGTTTTAGATTGTTAGCCAATTGGGCTAAGCTTAGACTGTGAGGTCCAGCTCCAGCCAGTGGAGGTAGGACAAAGCAATAGGGACTTCACCCATAAGGGATAAATATTCCTGTGTCTCTTTGTTCAGTGTGCTCTCGTGGCAGGATTGCTGATGGGCAGCACCCTTTCTGCAGAAAGTAAAATTGTCTTGCTGAGAAAACTTTTTGTCTGAATGCTGATTCTTCTTTGTAGCACCAAGGAATAAGCATTCCTTTCCAACAGAAATGATGTGTCTTTTTGTATGCTTATGAATTGACTGAGGGCTGGCAGCCCCTTGGTCACTTCAGTAGGGGAGTTGGTCACCTGAAAAACCAAGACAAGATTAGAGGGTTGAGACTTTCAGTCCCACTCCAACCCACAGGGTTGGGGAGAGAGGCTGAAGGTTAAGTTGATCACTAATGGCTGATGCTTTAATTAATCATGACTATGTAATGAGGCCTCCATAAAAACCTAAGAGGACAGAGTTCAGAGAGTTTCTGAATAGCAGAACCTCTGGGGTTTCCTTGAGGGTGGTTTGTCAGAGAGGGCATGGAAGCATCATGCCCCTTCCCACACGCCTTGCCCATGCTTCTCTTCTTCTGTATCCTTTGTGATATACTTTATAATAAACTTGTAAGCATTTCCCTGAGTTCTATGTGCAGCTCTAACAAATTAATTGAACCCAAGGAGGAGATTATGGGAGCCCCAATTTATAATTGATTGATCAGAAGCACAGATAAAACAACCTGGGCTTTGGATTGGCATTGGAAGTAGGGGGAAGTCTTCTGAAACTGAACCCTCAACCTGTGGGATCTGACTCTACCTCTAGGTAGATAGTGTCAGAATTGAATTGAATTTGGTAGCAACCAGCTGGTGTTTGCTGCAGAATTGATTGCTTGCATGGTGTTGGGGTGGACAACTAACAAGATCTGAGGTCACAGAAGTATTTTGTATTGTGACAGTATAGGAGGAACTGAATTTGTTTTTCCCATACATTCGCAGAACCATATTGTGTTTATTCATTCGTCTGTTAATGGATACTTAAGTTGCTTCTACATTTTGGCTACTGTGAATAATACTGCTATGAACACAGGTAAGCAAATATCTGTTAGAGACCCTGTTTTCAGTTCTTTGAAATATATACCACAAAGTGGAATTGTTGGCTCATTTGGTGATTCTATTTCTAATTTTTTGAGGAACTGCCTTACTGTTTTCCATAGCAGCTGCACCATTTTGTATTCCCACTGACAGTGCACAAGGGTTCCAATTTCTCCACATGTGTCTTCAAAACTTGTTTTGTTTTTGTTTTTTATAGTACCCATCCTAATGGGATGAGTTGTTGTCTCATTGTGCTTTTGATTTGTGTTTTCCAAATGATTAAAGATGTTGAGTATCTTTTTATGTGCTTACTGGCCCTTGTGGGTTTTTGTTTTGTTTTGTTTTTTGACAAATTTAAGTTCTTTGACCAGTTTTTAATTGGATTGTTTGGTTTCTTGTTGTTGAGTTTTAAGTGTTGTTTGTTTATTTTGGATATTAACCGCTTATCAGATGTAGGATTTGAAATATATTCTCCCAATCCATGTGTTGCCTTTTCACTCTATTGATTATGTCCTTTGATGCACAACATGTTTTTATTCCCATGTAGTCCAGTTTATCTATTTTTGCTTTTGTTGTCTTTGCTTTTGTTGTCATATCCAAGAAATCATTGCCAAATCCAATGTCATTAAGTTTTTTTCTTTTTGTTTTCCACGAGGAATTTTATAGTTTTAGGTCTTAAGTTTAGGTCTCTTACCCATTTTTAGATAATTTTTGTATACAATATTAGGCAAGGGTCCACTTTCATTTTTTTGCATGTGGATATTCACTTTTACCAGCACCATTCGTTGAAAAGACTGTCATTTCCACGTTGAATGGTCTTGGCACTCCTGTTGAAAATCATTTGACCGTATACATGAGGGTTTGTTTCTGGACGTTCTAGTCTATTACATTAGTCTATATGTCTATATGCTAGTACTCCACTTTTTAAATTACTGTAGTTTTGTATCAGTTTTGAAATCAGGAAGTGTGAGACCTCCAACTTTGTTCTTTTTCTAGATTGTTTTGGCTATTAGGATATGTTGAGGTTTTATATGAATTTTAGGATGTATCTTTTATTTCTGCAAAAAATGCCACTGAGAACCTCTAGGCCAGTCGTGGTGGTTCAAGCCTGAAATCCCAGCACTTTGGAAGGCTGAGATGGGCAAATTTATTGAACCCAGGAGTTCGAGCCCAGTCTGGGAAACATAATGAAACCTCATCTCTACAAAAAATACAAAAAAATTAGCTGGGCACAGTGGCACATGCCTGTAGTAACAGCTACTTGGGAGGCTGAGGCAGGAGGATCACTTGAACCCAAGAGGTCAAGGCTGTGGTGAGCCATGATTGCACCACTGCACTCCAGCCTAGGTGACAGAGTGAGACCCTGTCTCAAAACAAAACAAAAACCTCTATAGTTTTCATAATGATTTACATTTCCACCAAAAATGCACTAGTGTTCTCTTTTCTTCACACCCTCACCCACATTTGTTGTCTTTCATATTGATAACAGCCATCTTAATGAGTGCTAGGTGATATCTCACAGTGGTTTAAATTTGCATTTCCCTGATTAGTGATGTTGAACACCTTTTCATTTATCTGTTGGTGAGTTTTATGTCTTCAGATAAATGTCTGTTCAGATCCTTTGCCCATATTTTAGTATGGTTACTTATTGCTCTGCTATTGAGTTGTAAGAATTCTTCATAAGTTTTGGACATTAATGTCTTATCAGACACGTGGTTTGCAAACATTTTTTCCCAGTTCCTAAGTTGCCTTTTCATTTTGTTGATTGTTTCCTTTGCTGTGCAGAAGGTTTTCTGTTTGATGTAGTTCCATTTATTTATTTTTGCTTTTGTAGTCTGAGCTTTTGGTGCGATATCCAAAAAATCATTTCCAAGGCCAATATCAAATAGATTTTCCTATGTTCTTTTCTCATAGTTTTATGACTTCAGGTCCTACATTTAGGCCTTCTATCCATTTTGAGTTTATGTTTGTGTATGATATAAGATAAGGGTTCAGTTTCATTCTGTTTCATGTGGAGATACAGTTTTCCCAGCACCATTTATTAAAGAGACTATCTTTTCTATGGTGCCCTTTTGATGCTCTTGTCAAAAACTAGTTGACCATGTATGTCTGGATCAATTTCTGAGCTCTGTATTCTGTTTTATTGCTCTATGCTTCTGGTTTTATGCCACTACCATATTCTTTTCTGATTACTATAGCTTTGTAATATAATTTAAAATCGGGACGTATGAAGGCTCCAAATTCATCTTTCCTTTTTTCTTTCTCAATATTGCTTTGACTATTTGAAGGGTTTTTTTTGTCATTCCATATGAATTTTAGGATTGTTTTTTCTATTTCTGTGAACAATGCCTTTGGAATTTTGATAGAGATTGCATTAAATCTGTATATCACTTTTGGTGGTGTGGACATTTCAACAATATTAATTCTTCTGATCCATGAACATGGTATATATTTGCATTTAATTATGTCCTCTTCAATTTCTTGCATTTAATGTTTTATAGTTTTCAGTATACATATCTTTCACCTCATTGTTTAAATTTATTCCTAATTTTTTATGCCATTGTAAGTTGGATTGTTTTCTTGATTTTTGTTTTTTCACCTGGATTGTTTTTTTGTATGTGGAAATGCTACTGGTTTTTGTGTATAGATCTTCTATCCTGCAACTTTACCGAATTCATTTTAGTTCTTTTTTTGGTGGAATTCTTGGGATTTTCCACATACAAGATTATGTCATCTGTAAATACGGATAATTTTACTTCTTCCTTTTTTTGTTTGGATGCCTTTTATTTCTTTTTCTTGTCTGATTGCCCTTGCTAGTACCTCCAGTACAATGATGAATATGAAGTGGCAGAAGTGGATTTATTTGCCTACTACTGGATCTTAATGGAAAAACATTTAGTTGTTCCCCATTGATTATGATATTAGCTGTGAGTTTTTCATAAATGGCCTTTATTATGTTGAGGAACTTTTCTTTTATACCCAAGCTGTTAAGAGTTTTTATCAAGAAAGGATGCTGTACCTTGTCAAATGCTTTTTCTATGTCAATTTAGATGTGGTTTCTATCTTTCATTCTGTTAATGTGACATATTACAATGATTTATTTGTATATGCCAAACCAGCCTTGCATGCCAAGGATAAATCCCACTGGTCACATTACGTAATCTTTTGAATGTATTGTTGAATTCAGTCTGCAATACTTTATTGAGAATTGAATTAATATTCATCAGCAATATTGGCCTGTACTTTTTCTTTTCTTGTGGTATCTTTGTCAAGCTTCAGTATCAAGGTGATGCTGGCCTCATAAAAAGTTTTTGGAAGTATTCCCTCTAGCTTTATTATTATTTTTTTTTTTGGAAGAATTTAAGAAGTATTGGTAATAATTGTTCTTTGCATGTTTGGCAGAATTCAGCTGTGAAGCCATCTGGTCCTGGGGTTTTCTTCGTTGGAACGTTTTTAATTACTTCTTCAATCTCTTTATTTGTTACTGGTCTGTTCAAGCTTTTTATTTCTTCCTGATTCAATATTGAATCTAGGAATTTATCCATTTTCTCTCTGTCATCCAATTTGTTGGCATATAATTGTTCATAATAGTCCCTTATGATCATTTTTATTTCTGAGACATCTGTTACAATGTCCCCACTTTCATTTCTGATTTTATTTGAGTCTTCTTTCCTTATTTTCTTAGTCTATCTAGGGGTTTGTTGATTTTGCTTGTTTTTTTCAAAGAACCAATTCTCAGTTCTATTGACTTTTTTTTTCCTTATGTGGCTTTTCTGTTCTTTATTTTATTTATTTTTGTTCTAATCTTTATTATTTCCTCCCTTGTGCAATGGGTGGTCTTCCTCTTCCTCTTCTACTACTACCACTACTACTACTACTACTTCTTTATCTTCTTCTTCTTCTTTTTCTTCATCTTCTTCTCTTTTGAAACAGGGCCTCACTCTGTCACTCAGGCTAGAGTGCAGTGGATCAATCATAGCTTACCGCAGACTCAAACTCCTAGGCTCAAACAGTCTTTCAGCCTTGGCCTCCCAAAGTACTGGGATTATGGGCATAAGCGCCACACGTGGTTTTGTCCTTTTTCTACTTCTTTGAGGTATATAATGTTATACTATTTATTTGGGATCTTTCTTTTTTAATGAAGGCATTTATTGCTATAAAATTTCCTCTTAGAACTACTTTTTCTGCATCTTATACATTTTGATATATTGTATTTCTATTGTCATTTTTCTCAAGATAATTTTTTAATTTCTGTGATTTTTTTCTTTAACTACTGGTTGTTTTGGGAGCATGTTGTTTCATTATTACATATCTGTTAATTTTACAAAATTCCTCATATTATTGTGTTCTAATTTCACACTGTTGTGGTTGGAAACAATACTAGATATGATTTCAATTTTCCTGAATTTATAAGACTTGTTTTATGGCCCAACATGTGGTCTATCCTGGAAAAAGTTCCATGTGTGCTAGAGAAGAATGCTGCTGTTATATGGAAAGTTCTATATATGCTTTTTAGGTCCATTTGGTCTAAAGCTTAATTCCAGTTCAGTATTTATTAATTTTCTGTCTGGTTGATCTATCACATTGTTGAAAATGAGGTGTTGAAGTCTCCTACTATAATTATACTGCTATCTATTTCTTCTTTTATGTTCATTAATATTTGCTTTTTATATTTAGATACTTTAATGTTTGTACATATGTATTTACAATTGTTGTGTCCTCTTGATAAATCACCCCCTTTATTATTAAATGATCCCCTTCTTTGTCTCTTGTAACCATTTTTGACTTGGAGTCTATTTTATCTCATATAAGTATTGCCATCTCTGCTCTCTTTTGGTTATTATTTGCATGGAATATCTTCTTCCTTCCCTTCACCTTCAGCTTATGTATGCCCTTAAAGCTAAAATGGATTTTTTGTAAGCAAGTACAAAATCTTTATTCAAAGAAAAACTCAAGATATAAAACAAACATACAGGTATACCAAATATAGTGTGTATACCTAGAAGTGAGATATTGGGAAAGTGGCAAATTAGAGTAGAGGTAGAGATGAAGGGAAAAACTAAAATAATGCAGACCAATGTAAAAATGTGTCATTAATTAGGCATATGGTCATCTCACTTCTCTGCACTTAAGAACTAACAGGAAGAGAAACTGTGAGTCATGGAGAAATAGAGGACTTACTTGAGAGAGATGAGTATGGTGACTAAGAAGATGAATAAAAGTGATGAATGCTTGGAACAGCTGATTTGGGTCAAGTACAAGCATTACCAGGGAGCCCTGAGAGGTAGTATGAATTAACTGTGGCCCCAACCTGCATAGTTGTGGACTTTTTCCTGGAGAAGCACTGGGCTGCCTGGTACAGGAATGAGGATGGAAAATGCTTGGGGATATCCAGAATGGGGAGGTCAACTGAGTCTGAAGACAGAGAGCTGGACCTGTTGAGATGCAGATAAGAGAGTGAAGAATTGATCAGGGAGTGTGGAGAGAACCTGTGATGGTGTCTGCTCCTTATTGGGCAAAAGGCTGCCCCAGCGTGAAGAATGGGGAAGTAGCTCATCCTAAGAGCTTTGGTCCAAATAACCTCTCAAGCTAGAAGGGTAGAAATGAAGTCTAGTATAAAATACACTGAAGCTGGTTCAACAAAGTGAATTTGAAATATTCACCAAATCAAGAAAATTAGGGTCTGAGAATTCTGAAAGCAAGGTCACCAAAACCATTAGTCTAGAAACACAAAGATTCTGGTCAGGCACAGGGGATCTTGGTGGGATTTCAATAGGATTCGATCAAGCCCAGAACTGCAGTGACTCCCAAGTGGGTAACAACTCACTAGTGTTTTTGTTTAACCAAACACCAGAGGTAGATGTGTGCTGGGGGATGAGGAGATGGTGTGAAGGGAGAAAGGAAAGTTCTAGGAGGCTAAGGGTACTCATGGGAGATTCTTTTTTGCAAGGGGAAGGCAGGCTGATGTAATAAAATAGGTTGTTCTCTTTCTAGATCTTTATATACTGAAAGCGAAGTGATAGAGCTAAGCAACCTGATTAGCTGAGGAATATGTCACCTCCTGGATCTGGGGCTATACTATAAATTATCTAGTTCTTGAACACACAAATTCAAAATGAGGTCTGGTCAATGGACAAATCAACTCTTTCTCATGATTTTAGAATAATGCATGTCCTCAAAGCATCATTCTATTTATCTTTCCTTGCAGATCTTTTAAATGTTGTAGTAAGAGTAGAGACATCAAAGTAGGGTGAACCTCTAGACTATCTGAAGATTTCTGCTTCTGTCGATAGCAAAAAGAATTACTCAGTCATATGGTTTGGATCTGTGTCCCCACCTAAATCTCATGTTGAATTATAATCCCGAATATTGGAGATGGGGTCTGGTGGGAGGTGATTCGACCATGGGAGCGAATTTCCCCCTTTGGTGCTGTTCTCATGATAGGGTTCTCATGAGATATGGTTGTTCAAAAGAGTGTGTGGCACCTCCCTCACTCTCTTCCTCCTACTCTTGCCATGTGAAGTGCTGACTCCCCATTTGCCTTCTGCCATGTTTTTAAATTTCATGAGGCCTACCCAGAAGCCCACCATACGCCAACATCTTGCTTCCTGCACAGCCTGTGGAACCATGAGGCAATTAAACCTCTTTTCTTTATACATTACCCAGTCCCAGGTATTTCTTTATAGCAATAGAGAACTAACTAATACACTCAGTATACTGGAGACTGCAGAAGTCCTCTGTTTGCCTGTTTATCCATCCATTGATCTATTCATCCATCCATCCATGCACCCATCCATCCATCCATCCATCCATCCATCCATCCATCCATTTAACGAGCACTTTCTATGTACATGGTGCTGTTTTGAGCAGTTTATAAATAATAACTCATTGAATCTTTCTAATAACTGCATGAGGTATGTATTGTCATTATCCACATTTTATAGATGGGAAGCTGAAACAGAGAGAGATTAAGGGCCTTTTCCAAAACACACAGCCAGTAAGCATTGAGTCAGGACCCGAACCCAGGCCGTGAAGCACCAGTGTTCATGCTCTTAACCACCACATCATTGGCCATCCTTGGTGACTCTGAAATCCGTCTAGGAAGTTATTCAACTGCTAGCATCATTGTTCTTCCCAGTAGCTCCTGAGGGCCCTGGGATACTGTGCTTGCCTATAGGCAAGGCAGCTGGTAGGAGAGGCCCTTTTGTGGAATGCAGTTACTCTCTTGTTAGTTCCCACTTTTTCTCTTTTCATCTCCTTTTCTTCCCATCTGCTCCTCTTGTGTGAACAGATGTGAGTTTCCTCCTTGACTTTCCAGGCCATGAGTTGGAACACGTTGTTCTTAGGTGATCATTTTAGAGATGAAAGTGTAGTGTACAGGGGTGATGGAGCCAAGCTATGAGTTCTTCATCACTCTCTTACCTGCTCATCAGCAGCTCCATCTCCCTGTCTGCAGCCTCAGCTGAAACCTCCGCACCTGGATACCCCCAAACATCTGCCATCCTCACTCCTGCACCAGGCAGCCCAGCACTTCTTTGGAAAAGTCCACAACTGTGTAGGCTGGGGCCACAAATAAAAGACTTGCTTTTCTGAAATCTGAATTGTCATCTTTAAAAAAATGTTTCTATCTCTCATGCTAAAGTATATCTGTATATAATCAGGGTACACTTCCATCTGACCAATTTAAGAATTTTTATCCTTGACTGAAACCAACTAGTAACCGAAATGTGTGTGTGTGTGCATGTATGTGTGTTTGTGTGGTATGTGTGTGTGTGTGTGTGTGTGTGTGTGTGTGTATTTTCCTATCTTTTAATGTAACTATGAGTTTATCCTGTGTTAAATGGTTTCTACTGAATATGAAGTTAAAACAAAGGGCTTTTAAACTTGTAGAGCTCCAGAAGAGTCACTAGTGCATTAACTGAAAATGCAAATTAACAGGCCTGCACCATGGGGACCACAGAGGTCATCTGACCAAAGATGAAACTGATTTCCTATATTTATGCATCCTAATAAATCAGCGGGTGGAAAACATGCCCCCAGAGAAGATTGGCCCTATCAGTTTTTTCAGCTGGCATTTAGGCATTTGCAAAATAGCTCCCTTAGCATCTTCATCAAAAAGCTCCAACGATAAAAATAATAGAAACCGGCCGGGCGCGGTGGCTCAGGCCTGTAATCCCAGCACTTTGGGAGGCCGAGGCAGGTGGATCACGAGGTCAGGAGATCGAGACCATCCTGGCTAACACAGTGAAACCCCGTCTCTACTAAAAATATAAAAAAAATTAGCCTGGCGAGGTGGCGGGCGCCTGTAGTACCAGCTACTCAGGAGGCTGAGACAGGAGAATGGCGTGAACCCGGGAGGCAGATCTTGCAGTGAGGCGAGATGATGCCACTGCACTCCAGCCTGGGTGACAGAGCGAGACTCTGTCTCAAAAAATAAATAAATAAATAAATAAATAAATAAATAAATAGATAGATAGATAAATAATAGAAACCTCCCCAGCTTAGTTATCTGCCTTTCTCCTCCTATCTTCTGGATAAAAAAGCATTTAAAAACTACAAGATTTGTGAAAATTCAGAATATTTTAGAACAGGTGTATTTTGTACTAATGGCAAAAACCACAATTACTTTTGCACCAACCTAGTAGATATGAGAAAGTTTCAGCTATTGAATCTGGTATTCTTGATGGTTATCAGTTGCTCTGTGTTCCTGCCTTTTGCAAGTTTTGCTGGGCAAGTGTAATTCTTTCTTAAAGGAAACATTTATTCTCCCAGATGCCACTGTGGCCTCAAAACAGAGGCAGATAAACTTAATCAAGAACTGTTTAATAATGACTCTGTGTTCCAGCACGTCTCAACTGTGACACAGCTCCTCAAACCATTTATAATTTTGGAACGGTTACAAGCCTATTTCACATCAAACAATTAGAAAAATGTAACCAGGATTATAACCAAATTCTCAGTGATGTGATTCAGACTCAGTGCAGTGTCAGTTACAGAAGGATGAGAAGGGTCAGAGAAGACTGAAATAGTTTGGGAGGAATTTGTAGGTAAGTGAAACTGATGCTGGGTTTTGAGGATGGAGATGGTTTGAAAGGGAGAGAGGAGCATTTCCTCTGAGCCACAGTTAGGAGAAGAGAAGGAGCACTTTGGTGCTTTGGAGACAATCAGAGGACAAAGACGAGCCTGCTTGGAACAGAGGATTTAGGAGGGGAAATAGCAGTATGTTAACCAAAATGATGATACTTTGTTTTCTAAACCAGAAGCCTAGGAATGTGTTGGAATGTGTACAATGGAATGAATAGACTATGGGGAATATTTGAAATTGAGATTGTCAAAGAAAATTTGAGATGTGTGTTTCTGTCACTACAGAGGACCTGAGTCAATCCAACATGGTGGCTAAGCTAGAGAGAATCCTTATGGGAGTGCCAGGTAGGACTCTTTCAGGATCGTCCATTTTACAAAGATTTTGAGTCAGGGTGCTTTTACCAAGGTTGCAAATATTCTCTGAAGATGTGAATTGCTGGGTGTGGTGGCTCATGCCTATAATCCCAGCACTTTGAAAGGCCAAGGCAGGTGGATTACTTCAGCTCAGGAGTTCGGGACCAGCCTAGCCAACATGGAGAAACCCTGTGTCTCTTAAAAATACAAAACTTAACCGGGTGTGGTGGCATGCACCTGTAGTCCCAGTCACATGGGAGGCTGAAGCATGAGAATCTCTTGAACCGGGGAGGCAGAGGTTGTAGTGAGCCAAGATCACGCCACTGCACTCCAGCCTGGGTGACAGAGGTTGTAGTGAGCTGAGATCATGCCGCTGCACTCCAGCCTGGGTGACAGAGGTTGTAGTGAGCTGAGATCATGCCGCTGCACTCCAGCCTGGGTGACAGAGTGAGACTTTGCCTCAAAAAATAAAAAAAAAAGATGTGAATTGATCTCTCACTAGAGGAGCTTGATAAATATTTCTCTTCTAGGTCTGCAGGTTTGTTCAAGCACAGGGATCTTGTCAGCTCTGTTAACCATTGTATCCCCAACACCTAACAGCGCTTGGCACAGAGTCGGCTTAATGCTGAAAAGCCTGGGAAAGGTATTCAGGATAGACAAGGAGGAAGATCCACTGCAGGTAACACAGGCATATGATAAGTTAAAAACAGAGTGTTCTTATCCACCAAGAAAACTCGAATTGCTTAATGATTTTGACTTTAGTAAGTGGCTAAATAGTAGAGAATAAATGAAGAGAAACTTAATGTATTTTAGAGCATATTTGAATTGCTTTGAATCATGGAGCCAAATAAGACAATTGGAGATTGAAAGCTGCAGGTCAGAGAGGCAGAGCCGTCTCTGTTTTCCTGTGCTTTTGCAGGAAGTGCATTTTATAGAAAAGTCAGAGAGGAACTGAGGGGAAACAGAGAGCTCTGAGCTGGTGAATTCACAGCAGCCTGGAGAAGCATTCCGGCTGCCTCTGAAGCTGGCTCTTCACACCCAAGGGCTGCCCCTTGGGAACCTGAAGTCACTGTCCCAGCTAGTCACAAGGCCGGGGAGGCCTCACTGATAAGGACAGCACTACGGGCCTGAGTCTAGAATGGTAAGAGGTTCTCAGTCTTTGAGACAATTATTGGTTGTTTGAGTTTAAAACCAGTCTTTTCCTTTCTTCTTTGTAATTGAAAAAACATGTATAGACTGTTTAAAAACTTGTTCTTGCTTTCAGAACATTTATTTGATGCTCTAAAACTTTCCTTTAGATCTTCTCCAGATCATTACTAAACTTACTAGTGTATTTGACCAATCCCAAGAGCCAGCAGTGTGAATGCCTGCTGGGATTTAGAGAGCCAGTCTGAAACTGCATGCTGGCATATGTGGGTTTTCAAAGATTCCGCTCCAGTGGCAGAAAGCTCTCGGCCAAATGTATGTGAACCAAACAAAAGTCAGGGGCAGTGAGAATGAAAATCGGCCTCAATCACACTTTGAATATTGCTGTCATATGAGGATTTTAACAGCCATGGAAAGTGTGAGATTCACTCTCTGCTGCACACTGGGGCCCCGCATCCGTTAAGGATTGTGGGCATTCTGAAAGCTCTCATTCTGAAAGCTTCGGGGGTATTTTTAGATGAGGCTTGTTCCTACGAATGAGGAAGTCTAGCAGATGGCTCTTCCGGCTGGAGTCTTTTTTTCCAGCTTTCCACCAACATAGTATGGAGACCACTCTGGCAAGACCTCTCTCTAAGGACAATGGAGGGAAAAGCTATTCTCAAAACACTGGGCAGCAGCTGCAGGGCTGGGGCTCTGAGGACACCGTGCCACTGGCCTGTACCTTTCACCCTGCCTGCCTGGACTGTATGTAATCAACAGTGGGAGGCCGAAAGGAAGTTTGAGGTTAAGCACAAGATGTCTTTTATCACACTACGTGAGTGAAGACATCTGTGGAGACTGTACTCTCACTGTAGATGATAAGAATGTTATTCACCAAACAGACAGAAAAGACTGGAGTATGAGGTTTTTGTCCATGGAAGTATTTTGCAGATGGTTTGCACCAGTTTTGTGAAAGACAGATCAAATTATTATTAATGAAGGAAAAGTGCCTTTAAAAAAGGCTAAGTAGTCTTGTTATACCGCATTGAGTACACTCATTGTCTTTTGGCCTCACATCTGATAGAACAATCCTTTAGGGCTCAGAAAAGTCATCATTGCAATAGTAAGCCTTTTCCAGGGATTCTTAAGAAGTCTATTTTACACACAGTGTAAAGACCCAAACAACTTGATTGTAAGTCTGTGCTTTGATGGCAAGCTTCCTGTTCATTTTTTAATTTGATGTGGTTTTGCTCATGCCCTAATTAAAGTGGCAATTCTCAAAAAGTACAGATTGCACAGGTTTCCAGGGCGGATGCTTTTTAATGCAGTTCATAAGAAAGAGTCATCAGTCCTAAGGTTTTATTTTATTTTATTTTTGAGACAGAGTCTCGCTCTGTCACCCAGGCTGGAGTGCAGTGGTGCCATCTCAGCTCACTGCAACCTCCGCCTCCCGGGTTTGAGCGATTCTCCTGCCTTAGTCTCCTGAGTAGCTGGGACTACAGGCATACACCACCGTGCTTGGCTAATTTTTTGGTTTGTTTTTAGTGGAGGTGGGGTTTCACCATGTTGGCCAGGGTGGTCTCGAACTCCTGGCCTCAAGTGATCCACCCGCCTCTGCCTCCCAAAGTGCTGGGATTACAAGTGTGAGCCACTGTGCCCAGCCTTAAGATTTTGCTATTAAGCAAAAGGGTCACCTACGTGTGTTTTGGAAGACCTGTTATATCCCCATTTACAACTGAGCATTCCAAATGCCTACTGATTTCTGATTTTCTTTTTCTTTCTTTCTTTCTTTTTTTTTTTTTTTGTAGAGACAGGGTCTCACTATGTTGCTTAGGCTGGTATCAAACTTCCAGGCTCAAGTGATCCTCCCACCTCGGCCTCCTAAAGTGCTGGGATTACAGGCTTGGGCCACGATGCCTGGTCACCTGTTGGGTTTTAGCGACCTGGCAGGAAGCTGGATTTCTCAAGCTTTTCCAATAAAGAAGAAGCAGTTAGATCCCAAAAGCCATGAAAATTCCACTTGTGGCTTAGAAACTAAGATTTACCAAAGTCCACTTTGGGAGGCTCCCTTCCTCCCTAACACACACACACACACACACACACACACACACACACACACACACACACACACACACACACACCCTGCGGATAATTTATCCTGTAATCACAGGGATAGACTAATTTTGTCTGCATTCACTTGATGAGAGTTTTGACAACAGTGACTTCTGCTATAGTAACTATAGACAGAAGAATTAACTCCCAAGTCTTAAAAGAGTAGTTAGGTCTATGATGCAACTGTTTCCAGCCACAGGGGTGCTCTGTGGTGGAACCAACCCTCGTTGAGACTGCCTGTTCCCACTGAGGGGTCTGATGGAAATCCCACTGTGTTATTTTGTGTGTTGTTTGCCTTCCAGAGGCGCAACAACAGATCAACAGGAGCAGCCACCCCCTGCCTCATTCAGGCCCTGTGATTTGCTTTCTCACTAGAAATTTTCATTTTTAGTGTATCAAATATTCCAAGCATGCAGTGAAGTTCAGATAATAATTTAACTGACCTGCAGGTGTTCCCTAAGATTTTTCAAATATTAACATTTTGCCATTTGCTTTAGATTTTTTAAAAATAAAATGTTACTGCTACTGTGGAAGATCCCTCCCTATCCAATTCCCATTTCAACCTCCCATTGCTACCCAGAGCAATCACTGTCTTGAAGTTGATGAGTATCATTTACATTTTATTATGTGCTCCGTAAAACATGTATATATCCTTATATGTTTTTAATCTCTATACAAATGGCATCACATTTTACTTGAGCCTTTTGTAAATTACTTTTAATACTCAGCATTTTAAAATATTTCTTCATATTGCTACCCTAAAATCCAGTTCATTTTTTTCTACTGCTATAAAGTATCCCACCAAAAGACTATACCACAATGTTTTCATTCCTTTGTGGAAGCACCGTTCAACAGTTTAGAAGGTTATTTGCTATTTGTAACGTTGTGAACACCTTTCTCCACTTATAAGAGTTTCTCCAGCTCTGTACTGCACAGTATGGTAGCCACTAGCTTAAAATGTGGTTAGTCAGAATTGCAATGTGAGTAAATATAAAATGCATGCCACATTTTAAGGACTTAGGATGAAAAAAACATATGGAATATATCATTAATAATTGATATAGGTTATACTGATTACTGCTTAAAGTGACAATATTTTGAATACATTATGTTAAATAAAATGTATTACTATAATTATTTTTTCCCATTTATTTTACATTTTTTAAATGTGGTTACCAGAAAACTTAAAATTACATATATGGCTTGCATTATAATTCTATTGGACAAGGCTGGTCAAGACCAGCCAGTAACTGATTGCCCACATGCAAGACATCTGTTTTTGTAAATAAAGCTTTATTAGAAAACATGCCACTAATTTCTATGGTGGCTTTCCAGCTACAACAGCAGAGTTCTGTAGTTGCAACAGAACCCTTATGGTCCACGAGCCTAAAATATTTACCATCTGGCCCTTTAAGGAAAAGTTTGTTGACTCATATTCTAGAGCAGTAATTTTTAACCTTTTTTAAAAACCATGACCCACAATAAGAAACATTAATATCATGACCCAACAAACACACATCTGAAACAAAAGTTTTACAAAACAAAGTTTCACAAATCCTTTCTATGTATTTTCATATTTTCTGTTCTGTTCTGTTTTGTTAAAATAAACTGCTGGTCAGTAAACTGCTAGTGACCCACTCAAGTGACTTAGCCATTCATTCATTACTAGTTATTTAAGTAACATTGCTCAAGGACATATACCCAAAAATGGAGTGACTGGATTATAGGAATGTGTGTATTTAACTTTACAAGATTCATCACATTGTTGTCCTGTGTGTGAGTTTACCAATCTACAGTCTCACAAACAGTGTGAGAGAGTTCCTATTTCCCTATATCTTTAACAAAATCTGACGTTGTCAGTCTGATCTGATGGGTATGAAATGAAATCTTGTTTTATTTACAATCTGATCATTCATAATTTTAATAATCTTTTCATGTGTTGAGTGGCCTTTCTTGTTTCATTTGTGAGTTGCCTGTTCATTTCCATTTTAAAAATGGGGTCATTTGTCTGTTTCTTAGATTTATAGGCACTCTTTTTTATTCTGCCTACCAGTACTTTATTAGTAATGCGGGTTGCAAAGATGTGAGTTGGCCACTCCAAGGTTTGTTTTTTTTCACTTTTTAATGGTGACTTTTATGTTATGAGGCAGAAGTTTTAAATTTTAAAGTAGTCAGATTTATCTTTTTCTTTATATTGCTATTTTTTAGCCCTTATTTTAAAAATTATTTCCTACCCCAAGTTCATAAAGTTTTCTCGTTATTTTTTCTGATGAATTTAAAATTTAATGGGTGTTTCTTTTCTGTTGAAAATTCGTGTTTCTACACGGTATGAGATATGGCTCTACTTTCTTTTTTTCTTCACATCATAAATAGCTGGTGTAAGTACCATGAATTGACTTGTTAATCCTCCAGTCTGTTTCTTGGGTCTGTGTCCTGGAAATGTTGGTCCTAGATTTATCAGAACCAGATCTTTACTGATCTCATTTATACAGCAACTGGTCCTTGATGGTTTTACAGGGTAGTTTTCGCAATCTTTCAGAGAACACATAATGTTTCTCTTATAAAAATTACCTGAGATAAGGCCGGGCGCGGTGGCTCACTCCTGTAATCCCAGTACTTTGGGAGGCCGAGGCGGGCAGATCACGAGGTCAGGGGGTCGAGACCATCCTGGCTAACACGGTGAAACCCCGTCTCTACTAAAAATACAAAAAAATTAGCGGGGCGTGGTGGTGGGCGCCTCCTGTAGTCCCAGCTACTCGGGAGGCTGAGGCAGGAGAATGGCGTGAACCCGGGAGGCGTAGCTTGCATGAGCCAAGATGGTGCCACTGCACTCCAGCCTGGGCAACAGAGCAAGACTCCATCTCAAAAAAAAAAAAAAAATTACATGAGATAATTGAAAAAGTGAAAGTTACTCAATTCATTTTATAATTCCTTTTCTTTTTTTTGAGACACAGTTTCACTCTGTCACCCAGGCTGGAGTGCAATGGCACCATCTCGGCTCACTGCAACCTCCGCCTCCTTGGTTCAAGCGATTCTACTGCCTCAGTCTCCCAAGTAGCTGGGATTACAGGCGCAGGCCACTATGCCTGGCTAATTTTTGTATGATTAGTAGAGATGGGGTTGGCCTGTTGGCCAGGCCGGTCTCGAACTCCCGACCTCAAGTGATCTGCCCGCCTTGACCTCCCAAAGTGCTGGGATTACAGGAGGGAGCCACCGTATCCGGCCGTCATTTTATAATTCTATTTTAACCTTTATATCCAAATTGGACAAGGACAGGACAAGAAAGAAAAATTATGGGCTAGCCTCTATTTGAATGTAAATGTAAAAATCTTAAACTAAATATGAGTAAAACTGAATCCAGCAATGTGTAGTAAAATAAGTTCATACAACATGTGCAAGGATGGCTTAATTAAGAAAAGCTATTAACATAACTCATCACATTCACAGAGTAAAGGAGAAACATGATATGATTTTTTTCCCATAGATGTAGAAAAGGCATTTAATAAACCCTAATAGCCAAAAATGATTTTGAAATACAAAACCTTAGAAAACTTGAAATAGAAATAAACATCCTTAGCCTGATAAAGTGCGTCTACTGAAATCTGTAGTAAATATACGCTTAGTATTGAAGGATCCCTTGTACTGCCTGTGTGTGGAGTTCCCTCTTTGTATCTGGCACCTGAGAATTGTTCTTTCTTTTAATCTTGGCTGTTACTTTAAGTAAGTATGTGTGTGTGTGTGCATATGTATATGAATATATATATATGCTCATACATACACATGTTTATGTATTTTTTGGTTTTGTCTATTTACATACATTTCATGAAGTTTGTGGAGTGGGAAGCTGTGCCAGCTCTGTAGCCATGGTGCTGTAGTTTCTCCCTTAGTGATTTTCTGGGCCTGAAGACCAAGAAACTCTAGAAACCACTTTGGAAGGGGCAAAGTAGGGGATAGCCACAGAGCTGGCTCTGGCTTCTCTCCTAGACTGAGGAGTTGTTATGCATGACTTCATATCCTGGCTTCCCTTGGAGAAAACTATTAGTGATAGATCTGATGTGGATATAAGAATATTGTATGAAACTGTCTGATTTTATTTTGCCAGGAGATTAGGCAAGGATCAGCTACTGCCATAGCATTTCCTAAGGAATTGATATTTCCAAGGTTCCCACAGCGATACTGAGATACAAAGATGAAGATTAGTCATAATGTTGCCTTCACTGTCACATTTTTTTTTTTGACAGCTTTAACACAGTTTAAAAGTACGATTCTAAGGGTTGGGAGTGGGGAGAGGGACGTGTTTTCAAGGAGCACTTTTTGTGGTAGCGAACAAACTTTAAACCCTCCTGTTGATACACAGGGGATTCCCGTGACTATGAAAATTAAAACAGGGCCTGGCAATGTTGAACACAAAGAACAGCCAATAAATTCTTGACCGTAAGGTCATGCGCATTAAATAAGGCAGTTCTGATGCCAAATCAGTACTGTACTGTATATTTCCCATAGCAGATATTGAGATATGGATCTGCCGTAGAAGGAACAGGAATGTCATCAGGAAATATCAGTTCAGACAAATGTGGGTTTCCACCAGCAGGGGAAGAGCTGGACCTGGTGTGGATCTGTCTCCCTTCATGGTGAGAATGTCAGATCAGAAATGAATATTCATGTGGCCCTTGGAAAGTGGGAAGGAGAAATCAATAAGCTAAACACCCAACCTAATAATAGAACTGTTTTCTCCAATGTGAGTGTTTTTCTCTTGAAGTTGGTATTTCTGTCCTTGATCTGTTGGTGATGCTATTTAGAGATGCAACAAAAGATTTCACAGAAAAGCAAAAGGTTGGTTCCATTGTTCTGGAATAAGGGTTATGTCAATTTGTTTCTATCTAAGCATGTCACTGGAAGTCTGGTTCACATTTAAAGTTTTCCTTAATTCCAAGAAACAATCTAGACCCTTTGAAGCTTTGGCAAAAGAGTACCAGGTAAAAAAAGAAATCCCACTTGTAAAGGCCTAGTTTGCAATTCATTTGTCCTGGGATCTTGCAAAAACAACCCAATATCTGTATGTCTCTATACATTGGTGTGTATGATAATATCTTTATTTTTCTTTGTAGAGATTTTACACAGGATATAATAAGTGACACAACTGTTTTGGCAGATGGGGTCAGAATATGAAGGCAATTCCTTCCATGTAAGAATTTTGGTGCTTGTTTAAATTTAATAGACTCGCTTCTCCTAACCACACTCTGGAAGTCTCCTGTCATTCATGCACATAAGAACTCAGAAGAGAACCTCTACTGTCTCCCCAAAATCTTTTTTTTTTCTTTTAATAAACTTGCTGACATTGGCCAGGTTTCAAGAGCATGGTAAGTTCATGATCCATCAGCCTGGTTTCTGAATGGAAATCCAATGAGTTATTTGTATTGTTTGTTCCTACCTTTTCCAGGCACCTTCTAAAAATGAACAAGAGCAGCTCTGATTTGGAAAAAGTGAGCCAGGGCTCTGCAGAAAGCCTCAGCCCATCCTTCAGGGGTGTCCACGTCAGCTTCACCACCGGCTCCACGGACAGCCTGGCCTCAGACTCTAGGACCTGCAGCGATGGAGGTAACAAACTTGACATTGACGGAGAGGCTTAGATTCTCCTGGACCTTCAAGACCAGTCCTGCGTTGCTTGCGGGATTGGAAGGGCTGAGCAAGGACTACTGTCTTGGTCCTGCTTTCTCAATGAAGTAGACTCTTCCAGGGAGCTGTTGAAGTCAATTATCTACTGAATATATGGCAAGCCAGCCCATCCATATTGCCCTCTCCAAATTATAAGAGTGTGGACGTGGCAACATGGTGGGAGGAAGATGAGGTTGAAAGGCTCCTATTTCCTTGGGTAATGAGCCATCTGTGTACAGGCCTGCTTTTTACTTCTGTCCTCAGGATGGGTCCTAAACCACACATTCTCACTATCTCTTTCTCTCTCTCTCTCTCTCTCTCTTTTGCATCTACATGTGCATGTACCCACATGTACACACTTACTGGACACAGCAGATGTTTACATAATGTTTGCTGAATTAAGCATGAAGACTACATTAGGCCACCATCTAGCCTGCTTTTTGGATTAAGCTCTAAGGCCTATGGGTGGGTCTGTCCTCCACTGGGCATGTCCCTAAAAAGGAACTCTTGTTTTTCCATAGTTGTGGCCTGGATGGGTCATATTTAAAACCTCTCACCCTTTCAGCATTCTTTGTGTATGTGTCCTCTCCTGCGTTTCTCTTAGACTTGCGTTAGCATGTTGGATTTAGACTTGTACTCACATGACTTCCTTTTTCAGTCCTATGGAAATATTTCTTCTCAATAGGCAATGACACAGTAGAGGGTTCCATTGCAAATTTACTGTCAGCAACATTATTCTACCTAAACGATAGGTACTGGCTGAGACAAAAGAGTGTGTTATAAGTCAGTCTGTGGTGTGTTCTGATGAGAAACCTCTGACAGTTCTTACTTAAAAACAGGAAATATCTTAGTCTTGATTTGGGAGGAATGTAGCAACAACAGATTTTCTTTTTCTGTAGATTTTTCTAGGCTCTTATCTTCTTCCTTTTCCCAGCCCATTGTATAACAAATTCAACAAGGCAGATTATTCCATAGAGGGCAGTGCATCTCGACCACGAGCCCCTGTGCTGGTTAGCTCTGATCCACTCTCTTGGAGATTGTAACCAGTTCTGGGGAGTGATCTACAATGAACCATCAGTCACCAACCAGCGGGTGTCAGGCGAACTGGACTTCATGGCTTCACCACTTTGTTTCCCAGAACCAGTAAACCATGACGTCCACTCGCAGGGTTCCTAAGAACTGACTAGGAAAGATAAGGTTAAAACACATGGTACATGGGTGGATGGGATATGGTAGGATATTGGGCAGCCCAGAACATGAGTGCTTCTTATAAAGGCTTCCAGAAGAGACAGAAATCAATGAAGGCTGGTGGAGGGTTTAGGGAAGACTTTATGAGAACATGGGACTTAGAGATCAGATCTGAAATGTGGCCAGAACTGGGGAGGTAGGGGGTGAGGAGGAGAGGGCTTTCCAGGTTTAGAGAACAATAAAAGAGAAACAAAGCCACAGGGATGGCAGTGCATGTGGGAGAAGGATGAGACCAGTCTGACATGCTTCAATAGACACCGGCAAGGGGAAATGGGACATGAGCTTGGTGGGAAGCAGGGGCTGAATTGTACACGGCTCTCACAGCAATCTGTGCAGGTGGGAGACAGAGAGCTGCCGGAGGTTTGTGAGTTCAATGCTGGAGGTTTGCGAGTTCAACGGGGAAACCTATTCAGACGTTTTCTCATGTTCGTTTCTGAATAACATGAATTAAAATGAATATATTGTCGTGGTATTCCTTTATCACAAGCTAGTTGTTCAGTAGAAATGCATTTCAAAACTTAGACTCCCAGACCAACAAGAAGATATGTACCTTGTCCCTGGACTCTAGCCCCTGAGAGCCAACCATTCTATCTGCTGCCCCTGGACATGGCTCTCTGTACCCGGAACCATGTTTTGAAACTGGCAAGAGACCAAAGGCATGACATTCTTTCTCTCTCTCTCTCTTTCTCTCTCTCTCTCTCTTCTTTTTGACATCTTTTAAACATTAATCATTAATCTGGAGAATATACAGAACTACTGGTCATGTAATATGAGAAATCCTTCATTCACTTCTCACCGCTTACCAAGGCAGCTTAGATTTGTTATTGCACAATTATCTTCCAGTCCCATGGGTCCTTAACTCACTTTTATCTTGTAACTGAAATATTTATCCATTGCAACTTTAGTTACTGTTTGGCATGCAGTACCAAAGCTGAGAGATTAGATCCAAATAGAAAAAGAACTAGTTCACGCTGAAGTTCTTTGAAACTTGAATGTAGTGTCTGCCTTTCTAATATTATACATTAAGCCAAAAGATACCATTAGACTCTTCTACATTTATTTTGTCAGTAAGAATCTGCTAGTGAAAACTATGCGTTTCATTGACTTTTTCCATCCACAGTATAGGCTGGCCTGAATGAATGGAGGAAAAAGTCATTCCAGGGCATATCATGATAGTAGTTTGTGTAAACTTCTTGGAAATGTATCAGCGTTAATGGCTAAAGTTAGTGATTCATGCTTTATGTCGGAGGTGGGGGGAGGGGGGAAAGGGGTGTGGGGAGGGGAGTGGGGGGAAGGTTTTAGTTGTATAAGGAAAACCCTAATAGAAATCTCTAACTTTGTTACATTTTTAAAACAGGTGTTTATTCTAAATGTTTCAGTGGCAAAATGCCACTTTTGTGTCAATGTTAATTTCACCTTTTTATACTTTTATCAGAGTCAATGGCTGAAGTTAATGATTTGCGTTTTATGGGTGGGGGGAGGTTTTAGTTGTATAAGGAAAACCTAATCGAAATCTCTTACTTTGTTACATTTTTAAAACAGGTGCTTATTCTAAATGTTACAGTGGCAAAATGCCACTTTTGTATCAATGTTAATTTCACCTCTTTATACTTGTATCAGATTACATATTCCTCCAGTGCATCTGTTATCCCATTTGTCCAATTCAATTGAACAGCCAGTCAACTCAGTGCAAGGAAAATTTGTCGAAGCAGTTGTTTGGTTTATGCTTGGTTTAGGAGGTACAGACTGCATGTGTCAGGACAGATCCATGAAGGCTGCCAAGGGGAAGGTTTTTGCAGGGAATGGATGGTTGGACGTGTGAGGGAAATGATGATCAGAAATGGTCATCAAGAGACCTTTTTGCTTTAAGTGGTTACTTGTAAATTTGCAAACCTAATGTCTCCTTGAGATCATTTCCCTCTTTGATGTAGGATACCATTAAAATTCAGTTCAGCAGTTCGGCAAACATTTCTGAATGCCTGGAGATTAGAGAAGATTAGAGAGTTCTCTGTTGAACTGAAACCATTGGCACCAGCAATAGATAAGAAGTCTGAAAATACAGTTCATATAGATATTCTCACTTGCATGAATACATGTACCAGGGCAGTGATACCATTCTTATTTTTATAGCTGGCAAACCAGAGATACAGAACACTAATTAAATATATTGACAGTAGTCAGTCAGCTTGTTTTTCTCAACAAGCTGACTACTACTGGCAAATTTTTAAGAAATGTATATTAATGCAGTCATTCATTTGATAGATATTGTTGATTGCAAACTCTGTGCTGGGTACAATTCTAGATGCTGAAGTTTCAGCAATGGAAATAATTCCCAGTCCCTTCAAGGGGCTTACATTCTGGTAGGAGAGATAGACAATAAGAAAGATAAGATGTAAAGTAGCTACTGGTCAGAAGGCAGCGAGTGCCAGGAGAAAAATCAAGCCAGGAACAGGTTGGGGAGGGGTGGAAGTGCTCCAAAGGAAAAAAACATTTATTTTTAAAAATTTTCTGTGGCCTGAGCTATAATATCACTGAAGTGAAGCTTCAACTTCATTTAAACCTTCCCCGTTAAACTGAATTTTAAATAATATATTATTGTTCCAATAAAGTCAATACTTTTTTTTTATAAAAATTCAAACAACAGAGAAAGGAATAAAATGAAAAGTCAGTTTTCTGACACCCCATCCCAGCTCCTACCATCACTTTTAAGATTTTTTTCTGTATCATCCCAAAAATGTGTATCCATATGTGAAATATAAAATTCAGTTCTACAGATTTTTGCACTTTATCTTGGGGCCTTTCAAATGAGAACCCCTAGGACTGCCTCATTTTTTGAAATTGCTGCTTATTTTTCATTATATTATTTGGTTATAAATCCCTCTCTTGCTGATGCATGTCTAGGTTGATTTCATTGCAAGACTTACAGTAAGACTCTGTGCCATACATTGGCATGATTTGGTGAGCAAATCTGTAAGATAAATCCTTAGAAGAAGTGGAACTGACATATCAAACTGTATGTGTATTTTAAATAAATATTACCAAAGTATCCTCTAAAAATGTCTATTTACTTTTCCATCACAGCATCTGAAAAGTGCCTTTTTTTTTTCGAGACAGAGTCTTGCTCTGTTGCCCAGGCTGGAGTGGCACAATCTCTGCTCACTGCGAGCCCCACCTCCAGGGTTCAAACAATTCTCCTGCCTCAGCAGCTAGGACTGCATGCGCGCCACCACGCCTGGCTAATTTTTCTATTTTTAGTAGAGACGAGTTTCGCCATGTTGGCCAGGCTGGTCTCAAACTCCTGACCTCAAGTGATCCGCTCACCTCAGCCTCCCAAAGTGCTAGAATTACAGGCATGAGCGACTGTGCCCGGCATGGAAAGTGCTTTGAATTAACTTTTAATTTTACTAACTCGGAAGAAAACCATTAATGATTATGTTATAACAGGAGATTGAAAGATCATAATTCCAGGACCACATGTGAGCTGTAGGCAGGGCATTCGAGATACTTAGAGCCTGTTTTCCAAAGTGAGACAGAGCTTTCTCTTCTTTCGCATGTAAATCACATTCACATCTTGATTATTGTTTCCTGGGATGATTAAGTGGTCTGGAGAGACTCCTCACAAATGCCACATTTTCCATCCAGTTGTAAAATGCTAATAACCTGCTTCCAGTTTCAGAACACGTTTATCTTCTTGAAAAAAGCAAAGGTTTCTTTTAAAGAAATGCTTTTTTTTTTTTGAGATGGAGTCTCACTCGGTCACCAAGGCTGGAGTGCAGTGGTGCAGTCTCAGCTCATTGCAACCTCCACTTCCAGGCTCAAGTGGTTATTGTGCCTCAGCCTTCTGAGTAGCTGGGATTACAGGCACACACCACTATGCCCAGCTAATTTTTGTATTTTTAGTAGAGACAGGGTTTCACCATGTTGGCCCCTCAAACTCCAGACCTCAGGTGATCCGCCTGCCTCAGCTCACCAAAGTACTGGGATTGCAGGCATGAGTCACTGAGCCCGGCCTGCTTTGCTTTTTGTTTTTGTTTTTTCTTCTACATTTCATGTTGAACCTGCTCTGACTGTGGAACCAAACAAGAGATTGCAAAACTTGCCTTCAGAGGAACAAGTCCGTGTGAAGCCAAAGCATCCCTCTGCCCCACCCTTCATCCTCTCTGATGCAGGAATAGTTAATGGGGGTTGGCAGAAACCTGCATGACAGCCACTTCCTGGGTGATATTGGCAAGGTGCCCGTGCAGATGGCTTTAGTTTTCTCACCTCTCACATGAGAGAATTGCACTAGGGCCCCAGGGCACAGGGTATGGGTGAGGTTTTCTCCATCCATATTCCACTTGCTTTACCTTACTCAAAGTTGGAGAATGGTCAAACACAAAAGCTAAACGTTTGGGGAGACTTAGTTGGGACGCTGCCCTTTGCTTCTGCATTTGTTCTGACCCAGCTGCTATCACACAGCAGAGCTGTGCAAAGAAAGAGCCAAAACAGGACTGACCACTTCCTCTGTCAGCTCAGCTCTCATTTTGGCTGCAGAGAACAATGAAAGTGCCTATTAAAACCCAGCAAGAAGAGAGGACTCTATAATAAGGAAAACCTCAGAGTACCATGTTTGAACTTATGGCCTGCATTTCTGCAGAGAGGTTAAGCTGTTCTTCCCAACCACTGAAATCCTGATTTCTCATCTCTGCTTTCTAAATATAATGACACCAAACTAGTGCACCTTCCCTTGGTCTTTTTAAGATCCCATCCAGTGCAGCATACGTGATATGTAGCTTCTCACTAGAAATGCTTTCTCTTCCCTGAAGCACGTTCGCTAAAGGCATGGAGCGTGTTGTACTCTATAGCCAGGAACTTCCTTTATATGCAGAATTGGAAATTCGAAGGAAAACTTAGGACCTGAGGTTTGGAGCCCTCTGGCCCAATTAGCATGCAAAATTATTAAAAACCAACAAATGAGGCAACTGAGACATAGGCCAAGGTCCCAGAAAAATGTTCTCCCCTCTCACCCCTTTTGCACCCTTAATTGTAAGGCAGAATTTGGAAACAGCAATCCAACACCAGCATCAAACCAGGATGTGTCTGAGTTAGTCTCATGTCCCTTGGGATCCAAGTCTGGAGAATATTGGCTGTTGGCTAAAGTCGTGGAGGATTTTTTAGGCAGACTTTTCTGAACCAGTGGTTTGCCTGTGAACTCGGAAGTATTTTAGGTGTCAGGGTATATTTGTTCCCTGTTATTTCCAGCTTGCCTAATCCAGAGTGTGGCAGCCGTTGCAAACAGTAAGAACATAGATGCTGTGTTGCCTAAGGCCATGTTTATGGAGAGATAGTTCCCCAGGTAAGAGTCAAGAGAATTAGCCAGAGGAGGTCTTTAGGAGTGCCTTTAGATTCCATAGAAGACAGCTACCATTTGCCATGTAGTGGAGAAACCAATTTCATCTACAAGGGCTGCATGTTAGCATCTATTTCAAAGTATCCCCAAGAGTATTAACACCTGAGAAACTATAGGATCCTCGGAGGCCTGGAGTGGCCTGGAGGTGGTGGGGTGGGGGTGGGGGCTCCAAGAGTGAATTCTGACCTCTCACCAGCTGTAATTCCACACCTGGAGAGCTTTAAGGATCCGTAAACTCAGAGGAAGAATGCGTTAGGTTGGAATGCAGTATGCTTGTCATAGAACCAGGCATATCTTTTCTGAATACAAAAATCATAATAGACCGGGCACAGTAGCTCACACCTGGAATCCCAGCACTTTAGGAGTCCGAGGTGGGTGGATCACCTGAAGGTCAGAAGTTCAAGACCAGCCTGGCCAACATGGTGAAACCCCGTCTCTACTAAAAATACAAAAAATTAGCTGGGCGTGATGGTGGGTGCTTGTAATCCCAGCTACTTGGGAGGCTGATGCAGGAGAATCACTTGAACCCAGGAGGCAGAGTTTGCAGTGAGCCGAGATCCCACCATTACACTCCAGCCTGGGCAACAAGAGCAAAACTTCATCAAAAAAAAAAAAAAAATCGTAATATGTGTAGATAATGCCCAGGTATCCCTGTGAAGTCCACATTTCAGGGGAGCTGTATTTCACCTGATGAGGTTTGTGTAGCTACAGGACTTTACTTCTGCTGGGCAAGGGCGTGGATAGGGAATGTTTGGGTATGCAGTGCTAGCCTCTAATGAGTGTGTGTATAATGCGGCGAGTACTGAGTTTGGTGCCCCAAACTCATAGCATCTAAGAAACAAAGAAAAATTAATCAGTGCATGTGCTAATTCTTGAAGTTAAGCTTCTCTGCTAATACCTAGTACCCCTTGTCAGATTTACCCAAGTAGTGATACGGTGTAGATCTGATCAAAGTCACTGACTAACAGCTCCTACAGGAAAGCAAGAGAAAACAGAGGGAAGGACAAAATCACTTCCTTCCAGCTGCCTGAATACACGAAGGGTTTTTTGTGCTGGGACCTACCATACAGTCTAAAGCAGAACCTCTTGGTTCTCTTTGGTCATCTAGGGAATTAGAAGTGTTACCGATTATGTTGCTAAAAGATCCCTGGTCTCCTCACAGATTGGAAAATGTACCAGTGGTAATTTGTGTGAACTAGACATAGAAGGAAGAACAATTGAACCGAGATAACAATCTGCCTAGAGCTATTTGATTTCAGGGGCAGCTTTGAGACAAAATGCATGTTCAGAGAGGTTGAAAATGGAGAGAGTAGCTGAAATTATAGACTATTAGTGCTGCAAGGGGCCTTCACAATGATGTCATCGGTCATTTTCTAAAGGAGGAAACTCAGGCAGGGCAGGCTGACAGCTGGTGAAGTGTTCACTCCACTGCTCACCCTCAAATTGGAGCAGAAGCAGAAAGGGGCATACTGGTGGCATCAGGATAGCCTTGTAGTAAAGACAAGGAAGACAAAATCAATAAACATGGAGAAATAAGCCTAAGGCTTAAAGAAGAGACTAACCAGGAAACTGATCTGTTATGAACCTCCCTAGCCGACTGGACTTGGGATGGGAAGGAATCCTGACCGTAGGCAGGTTGTCCTTGTCTCTGAGGGCACTGATGAAAGCATTGACCAGGGTTCTGATCACACCCCACTCCCATCTCCCAGCCTCAGCTTCTGTTGTGTTGATGATAAATTGAGAATCAGACGCCTCGCTGGTGACGGTTTCTGCTGCCCAGAATGCAGAAAGGTCAGGAAGTGGATGTGTGCTCACGGCTCCCAGTCCTCCTGCTCATCAGGCTGGGAGTTTGGTGACTGAGGCTTACAGTCCTTTGAGAGCCTCATAAGTAGGTGGTCTTACCCTCCTTTTTTTATCCAGGAGGTGGCAACTGATCCTCCTCCTGCTCTCAGCCTCTTCTGTTAGAGGGAGGAGGGAGAGGAAGTGAATCATCTGCCCTAGCCTCCGTCTGTCCCCATTGCTTTCCTGGGGAGCGTGGGATGGGGAGACCTGTGGACTGCAGGATTTCAGCACCTGCTGAGATCACTGCCATCTAGATCTTCCCTCTTCTGGCTCGCTATTTCTTCTGCGCCCTTCATTCTGACTATTGAGGGGGAAATTCGTGGGCATGTAAAAGTGACTGGTCCAGACTGCACCACCACTGCTTGATTTATTATTAACTTGAGCCCTCCTGGAAGGGGTATAAATCACTCACTCAGCCTTGCTGCCAGGGGCCCCGCCTATCATTAGCAAATGGGAAGGGCAACTCCCTATGATCTTGATAAACCACAGGGAAACAAGGATTGCTTACTACAGATGGGAAAGTGGGCAAGGAGAGCTTAAGAAACACGGTGCTCCCTCTTGTATTTCATTTTCACTTGTGACAGTCTCACTCTATAGCCCAGGTGGGAGTGCGGTGGCACAGTCTCGGCTCACTGCAATTTCTGACTCCTAGGTTCAAGTGATCCTCTCCCCTCAGCCTCCTGAGTAGCTGGGATTATAGGCATGCACCACCACGCCCAGCTAATTTTTGTATCTTTTGTAGAGTTGGGGGTTCGCCATTTTGCCCAGGCTGGTCTTGAACTCCTGAGCTCAAGTGATCCTCCCGCCTTGGCCTCCCAAAGTGCTGAGATTACAGGCATAAGCCACCGTGCCCAGCCCCTGTTGAGTCTTATGATAGATGATAGAGCCAAGGAGGATATTGGTGCAAGGACCCCATAGTCTTGCTCAGCTCCCCAGGGCTTTTCTTTGCATGAATCCATTGGTTCTCAGCTCCTGTGTTCAACAGGTTGCATGCACTGAGTTTGTCCTCCCGTCAGCGTTGCATTCAAGGTTGTGCCCTGCTGTCGCTCACTAATGCTGCCTCGGTCACTGAGGCTGGGGCATGAATGTCAGCCCATGGCCATCCATCTTGCTCCCTAGAGAGACCCTCCTCCCTGTGGAGCAGCAGAAATAAAGAGACCCAGTCTTGATCTATGTGGCTTGCAACTGGTGTTTGAGCCTCAGGGATCTATTCTGTTCCCTCTTGGGTTGGAGAAAGCAGAGAAGGGCTCAGTGTGAGCTAGAAGGTTATTAACTGTTCAGGAGCAGCCCTAGAAATGTCCTGTGCACCTGAGTGAGGTGACACAAGACTCATAATTTGCTTCCTTTGGGGCCTTCTACCCCTTGTCTTCTCCTATGCTTTTGTTCTGCTTTTTTTTGTTGTTTTCTGGTCCTACTGCCAAGGTGTGGAAAGGCATAGAGACACTCCATGCTCTTCCCTTAGGGTGATGTGGCATGGAGAACTCAATGAGGGGCACACATCCTAAGTACACATTTCCTTAGGGCTGCAACCCATTATTATTATTATTATTAGATGAAGTTTCACTCTGCCACCCAGGCTGAGTGTAGTGGCGCAATCTTGGCTCACTACAACCTCCATCTCCCGGGCTCAAGCGATTCTCCTGCCTCAGACTCCTTAGTCGCTGGGATTATAGGCACGCACCACCACCCCCAGCTAATTTTTGTATTTTTAGTAGATACGGGATTTCACCATGTTGGCCAGGCTGGTCTCAAACTCCTGAGCTCAAGTGATCCGTCCACCTCAGCCTCCCAAAGTGCTGGGATTACAAGCATGAGCCGCCGCACCCAGCCAAAAGGGAGAATTTTACCATTGGCCAGTTACACCCTCTATAAACCTGACTTTTAAAAAATTCCACGGAAACCACACATGTTCGAGTTTGTTATTGCTGTTGCAGCATTGTTTGCAAAATATTGGAAACAATTTAAGTGTCCATCAAAAAGGGATGGTTAAATTATGATACTTGCATATGGTGATATATTATGGTGAGACTGTTTAAAATAATTAAATAGATCTGCATATTTGATTTAAAAATCTCTCCAAGATGTGAAAGAAAAGCATTATTCCAAACAGTAGCCACCGATTGCTCTTTTCTATGTAATTTGTGTGTGTGTGTGTGTGTGTGTGCGCACGCGTGCAGGCACGCATTTGTTTGGATTGTTGGAGGGATGCATGAAACACTACTGACAGTGGTTTCCTCTGATGAGAGAGCTGAGTATGAGGGACAGGGTAGGAGGAAGACTTAGTTGTCAGTCTATACCTTTTCTGCATTTTGATTTTTTCCATTGTGCATATATTGTCTATTAGAGAAATAGAAAAGAAGTAACATAAAATTAATTGCTCTGACCAAATAAATAAATAAATAAAGGGAAACAAGTCTGCAGGACCCTGGAATTGAGTGGCACTGGCCTTGGTCTTATGGTTTCTGTCTCTCCTCTTCAGGTCCCTCGTCTGAGCTGGCTCACTCGCCCACCAACAGCGGGAAGAAGCTCTTTGCTCCCGTTCCGTTTCCTTCAGGCTCCACTGAGGACGTGTCCCCCAGTGGCCCCCAGCAGCCCCCTCCACTCCCCCAGAAAAAGATAGTGAGCCGGGCAGCCTCTTCACCGGATGGCTTCTTCTGGACCCAAGGCTCCCCCAAGCCCGGAACAGCAAGCCCCAAGCTGAACCTAAGCCACTCGGAAACCAACGTCCACGACGAATCTCACTTTAGCTATTCGTTGAGCCCCGGGAACCGCCACCATCCTGTCTTCTCCTCTTCCGATCCTCTGGAGAAAGCTTTCAAAGGCAGTGGCCACTGGCTTCCGGCAGCAGGGCTGGCGGGCAACAGAGGCGGCTGCGGGAGCCCTGGCCTCCAGTGCAAAGGGGCCCCCTCCGCCTCATCCTCCCAGCTGAGCGTGTCCAGTCAAGCCTCCACCGGGAGCACCCAGCTTCAGCTGCACGGTCTCCTGAGCAACATCAGCAGCAAGGAGGGCACCTATGCCAAGCTGGGGGGACTCTACACCCAGTCCCTGGCCCGCCTTGTAGCCAAATGTGAGGACCTCTTCATGGGCGGCCAGAAAAAGGAGCTCCACTTCAATGAGAATAACTGGTCGCTCTTCAAGCTGACTTGTAACAAGCCCTGCTGTGACTCGGGGGATGCCATTTATTACTGTGCCACCTGCTCTGAGGACCCCGGCAGCACCTATGCTGTGAAAGTAGGTACCACTCCCTCCTTGCATTCTGCTGTGCCACTGGCTGGTGCTGGCTTGGGCAGAACTGTGGCCTGAGCAAGTCATTTCACCTGTCTGGGCATTAGGAGGGGAGTTGATTCCTAAGCATTCTTTTTTTTCTTGTAAGATAAGAGTCTCACTTTGTTGCCCAGGCTGGAGTGCAGTGGCACAATCTTGGCTCACTACAGCCTCCGCCTCCCATTTTAAAGCGATTCTCCTGCCTCATCCTCCTGAGTAGCTGGGATTATCTGTGTGCACCACGGTACCCAGCTAATTTTTGTATTTTTAGTAGAAATGGGGTTTTGCCATATTGGCCCGGCTGGTCTTGAACTCCTGACCTCAGATGATCCACCCACCTCGGCCTCCCAAAATGCTGGGATTACAGGTGTGAGCCACCACCCCTGACCCCTAAGCATTCTTTTAACACTTAGTGCTCAGCAGCTTCACTCTCTCTCTGCCCCAGGACATGGTGCAATGAGATTTGTAGTATGAATATAAGACACATTCTGTGCTTTAGCTGAGTTAAGAAAACAGTTGCCTTTTAGTGCAACGGAGAGTTTATTCATTTATTGACCAGGTTTTTATTGAGTGTCTACTATAGGCCAGGTACTTTGCCACAATCTGAGTATGTAGGTGTGAATATAAGCTTCCTTATAGAGCTATGATGTAGTGAGGGAGATGGATAATGAGGTCATTCTTCTAATGTTAGATCCAGAAGGAGCATTCGACCTAGGAATCATCTTGAACAATAATAGTAATAATATCATTTGTGTGAGCATTCACTCTACAACTAGACTCTTACCTCTAATCCTAACAGTAATCCTACAGGTTAGGTAGGTTTTACAGATGGAGGATCTGAGGCTCAAAGTGGTTAAGTAATTTGCCCATAGCTAGTTGGTGGCTGGAATGGATTTGAGCTCTTCTGTGTCTGTCTCCAAAGCCTAAGTTATGTCCCTACCATTTAAGATAAATGAAGTTCAGAGACATTAAGTGACTAGCTCAAGGCAGCACAGCTCTTTAACCTTTGATGCTGGATCAGGCCTCTTGCTACCCACACTGTATTGCACTGTCAGAGTGCAGCTCTGTGTGAGCTAGTTGAGCCATCTGCACCCATTTGGGCCACTGGAGTCTCTACCATGAACTCCAGTCCTTCCTGTGGCCCTATTTGTCATCTTCTTTTGCTGTTCCTTGATTACCTATTGAGACCCTGGCCCTTCTATAAATGTGGGCTTTTATTGGGAGTCAGGAGGGAGACCCTGAGCTATCTTCTCTCATCACCTGCCCTAAGACATCGCTTTTTTTTCCAGTTAGAAAAGTGCAAAGAATAAGCTAATTTGAAATGGCCTTGGTGGGGTAGCTTGCTTACCAACAATTTTTTAAAATAATATTGCTAACATTTTAAAAATAATATTAAACAATATTTAAGTAATATTATTATTACTATTAATATTCAGTATATATAAATAATATATAGTAGTTGTAATTAATAGTAGTAATAATACTAATATTCAATATATATTATTTATAATTATTTATTATTTATATATACTGAATATTATTAATAGTAGTAGTAATAGTATTATTATAAATAATATATACTGAATAATATTATTCAGTATCAAGAGACAGCTGACCTTTCTGTTTTGAGGAGGAAAAAGCCTGGTGGAAGACACTGAATTCCTCTTGTCCATGGTATAGAAAGTGAGGTGACCCTTCTGCAAGAAGTAAGGGGCCCTTGGGACAAACTTTTTTTTTTTTTAATTATTATTAATGTATTTATTTAGAGACAGAGTCTCGCTCTGTTGCCCGGGCTGGAGTACGTGGTGTGATCTCGGCTGACTGCAACCTCCATCTCCTGGGTTCAAGCGATTCTCCTGCCTCAGTCTCCTGAGTAACTGGGACTACAGGCGCC
This sequence comes from Homo sapiens, assembly GCF_000001405.40. Lineage (NCBI taxonomy): Eukaryota > Metazoa > Chordata > Mammalia > Primates > Hominidae > Homo > Homo sapiens. Next base: position 5,022,075 of record NW_018654717.1, read on the forward strand.
GCCCCCTCACCACGCCTGGCTAATTTTTGTATTTTTAGCAGAGATGGGGTTTCCCCATATTGGCCAGGCTGGTCTCGAACTCCTGACCTTGTGATCCACCTGCCTCGGCCTCCGAAAGTGCTGGGATTACAGACATGAGCCACCGTGCCCCGCCACAGTTTTGTTTTTCACAAACATAAATAATTGTGCTGTGCAGCTTGGATTCTAGGGCCCCATATATTACTGCAGAATTAGCCGTATTCTCTAATAAACAACACAAAAGAAATTTAACTTTCCTTAAGAATGTTAAAAACAAGTGTTGCTCCTTATTTCATTAGAAACAGAAGCCACACAGAAACCAAAAGATAAGCCTTAGCCCTCTAAACAGGAGCCGCAGGGGTTTCCTAGTTGACTTTCCTGGAGACGTGGTAGCTCAAGGACCGTCTCTGTGCCACGTGAAAAAGGAAAGTTGGAGACTAGCATCCAATATGCAGAGGATGGTAATTCTTGGAACAACGTTACCAGGAACAATATTAATTTGCAAATGTGCCTGGCCTGGTCATTGGGGGGGCGGGCCGTGGGGGCCCTGGAGCATCATTTCGCACGGGCAGCTGTTCCACTTCATTAGCTCTCCAGTCTAGACGAAATACAGTCATCTGGGGATCCGCAGGAGGGGGAGTGGGTCTCCCTTCCCAGCCAGCGAGCTGCCTGTCTGAGGCTGAGCGCATTTTATCTGCACATGTTAAACAGGGAGCCGGCACTGAAGGCAGACGGAGCCTCGTTTGCGGTCGCGGAGTCCTAGTTAACAATAGCAGGCTCACACCTGCTCCTTGCTGATGCTGGAACCTACTACTTTGGGCTCAGCGCCCTGCAGCAGTGAGGAGATAAAGCTGGTTCTTGTAGCTCCACCGCATGAATAGGTGACAGGAAAAAAAAAATCATTAGTTGTGTGTGCGTCTTCGAAGCAGTTTCATTTCTCAGCCATCTAGACAGAATTCTAGTTTGGTAATTAGGGCCCCGTTTTAAGCTGCTGGGCCTTTTTTATTTAACAGACATGATTTAGCCCAGACTTTCGCCCGTGAATGAGGCCCTGACTCCAAAGTTTAAATGAGTCCTGGCTCAGCAAAACGTTAGAAACTTGAGCTGAACCAAGAGTCTATGTAAAGTTCTAGAGCTAAAAATCCGAGTGCAGGGCCCCCTGAAAATGAAATGAGGTTGGTTGGGGGCAGGGAGTAGGGAGATGGAGATGGAGAAAAAGCCACTCCCTCCCCCACCGCCCCTTCCCCCACCCAGTGCTGTGGAATGATCTCCGGCGCGGGCCTACAGCTCACTCACAGGGCTAGTTAGCATGCGCCCAACGCAGCCTTCTCCGTTGCTGGCCTTTGAGGAAGCTGCGGGTCTTGCCAAAGGCCCAGTGCACTGATTTTGAAATGCATCCAGCCCAGTTGCCATTTACTCTGCTCCTTCATTTACATCTCTGTGCAAAATGTCAGCAGCCTGACTGGAGCTCCAGGCCTCAAGTGTTTGCTGGGCCCAGGCTTTTCATACCCCTGAGAAAAAGGAGCCTTGGAAACTCTTCCCAGGCCCCTGGGCAGCTGTGCTCTTCGGGTTTGCACAATACCTGCAGGCCAGCTCTGGATGCCTCCGCATCACCAGAGGGCTACAGCCGAGATGGCAAGAGCAGTCACCATAGCAACCTTCCCCATTGTGCTTGCCCTGGGCTGGGCCTGGCGCTGAGAGCCATGCCTGCATCATTTCATCTGATCCTCACAATGGCCCTACGAGGAAGGACTATCCCTGCCCCTGTCATTCAGAGGAGAAAACATGCTTTGAGATAAATACCGTCCATCTTCATTATTTATGGATTCTGTATTTGCAAAATCATCTACCCGCTCAAATTTATGTGTAATTCCAAAATCAATACTCGAAGCGCTTTCCAGTGATTTCTGGATACGTGTAAGGGAAGGAAAAATTTGAGTCACCTGATGTTTAGTTCTCACGATGCTAATAAAGACATACCTGAGACTGGGTAATTTACAAGGGAAAGAGATTTAATTGACTCACAGTTCAGCATGGCTGGGGAAGCCTCAGGAAACTTACAATCATGGTGGAAGGGGAAGCAAACACGTCCTTCTTCACATGGTGGCAGCAAGGAGAAGCCAAGCAAAAGGGGCAAAAGCAGCCAGGTGCAGTGGCTCATGCCTGTAATTCCAGCACTTTGGGAGGCCAAGGCAGGTAGATCACGAGGTCAGGAGTTCAAGACCAGCCTGGCCAACATGGTGAAACTTCATCTCTACTAAAAAATGAACAATACAAAAATTAGTCAGGTGTGGTGGTAGGCACCTGTAATCCCAGCCACTTGGGAGGCTGAGGCAGGAGAATCACTTGAAGCCAGGAGGTGGAGATTGCAGTGAGCCAAGATGCGCCACTGCACTCCAGCCTGGGCAACAGAGCAAGACTCTATCTCAAAAAAAAAAAAAAAAGGGAGGGAAAAGAAAACCCCTTATAAAGCCATCAGATCTCATGAGAACTCACTCACTATCATGAGAACATCACCAGGTTCCTCCCACCACACGTGGGGATTATGAGAACTACAAGATGAGATTCGTTTGGGGACACAGCCAAACCATATCACCCAATGTGCATGTTTCCAGCTGAAGGGGAATGAGGCGACAGTCTCCCATCTTGTTTCAGCCCTCATCCTGGAAGCCAGGGTCATTTTTTGCAGTCTATTTAGTGTCTTGTTTTTCACATTTGTGTGCTTTTTGTTTGTTAATGAAAAGAGTCCAACTCTGTAAAATATTAGATTTATTCTGAGCCAAATATAAGTCACCTATGGCCCATGACACAGCCCTCAGGAGATCCTGAGACCATGTTCCCAAAGTGGTCAGGCCACAACTTGGTTTTGTACATTTTAGGGAGACACAGTTATCAATCAATACATGTATGATGTACATTGAAGTTGAGGGGGCCGGGGGAGCTTCCAAGTCGTCGGTGGATTCAAAGATTTTCTGATTGGCACTTGGTTGAGAGAGTTATTATCAATAGAAAGGAATGTCTGGATTATGAGAAGGGGTTATGGAGACCAAGACTTTATCATGCAGACGAAGCCTCCAGGTAGCAGGCTTGAGTGAGAACACATTGTAAATATTTTTATCAGACTTGAAGAGACTGCCCTATCAGTAATCCCAACAGGGAGGAGGGTAGCATGAGGCATGTCCAGCGCCCCCTTCCCATCATGGCCTGAACTCATTTTTTTATGTTCACTTTGGAATGCCCTTGACTGAGAGGAGGGGTCCATTTCAGATGGTTGGAGGGCCTTAGAATTTTATTTTTGGGTTTACATGTTGGTGATTTTGCTGTTTAAAATGGCCCAAGCTGGATCACCTGAGGTCAGGAGTTCGAGACCAGCCTGGGCAACATGGTGAAACCCTGTCTCTACTAAAAATACAAAAATTTAGTCGAGTGTGGTGGCAGGCACCTGTAATCCCAGCTACTCAGGAGGCTGAGGCAGAAGAATCGCTTGAACCCGGGAGGCAGACATTGCAGTGAGCCGAGATCGTGCCACTGCACTCCAGCCTGGGCGACAGAGAGACTCCATCTCAAAAACAAAACAAAACAAAACAAAACAAAACTATATATATAAAATAAAATGGCCGAAGCATAGGGCTGAAGTGCTGTCTAGTGTTCCTAACCACCACAAGGCTGGGATGTGCCTCATGGGTAAAAACATATGTGTTAGATAAGCATTTTTCAGGGATGAGCTCTAGTGCTGTTGCCCGTGAGTTCCTCTTAATGACTCAACAAGGTATGTTAAACAAGGTATCTCTAAACAGAAGCATACATGAAACAAGGTTGAATACTGGTGGGTTAATGAAAATATTGTGACCAGAGGTTCCCAGGAAACTTACCTTGTATTTCCCCTAGGAAAAACGGTTCACTATTCACTAATTCAGTGTTTATGGCTTCTTCACAGAACATAACTCCTGCAAATAATGAAAATCCCCTGTAACTTGACAAAGGTTACAGAGCTAATACTGAAACCCAGGCCTTTTTTCACTCCAGAGCCCATGCTTTTGACCTCTGCAACACTTCTCGGTTGTATAGTCCTGAGCAAATAATTTAACTTCTGGAAGCCCCAGTTTCCTCCTCTGTAATAGCATCTTCCTCCTTGGATTTAATGAGATTGAATGAGATGCTGCATGGAACCCTCACAGTTGGCACAGTACTTGCACATTCAAGAGCCCAGTCTGTAATCTGTTAGGGGTGAGACAATAACAGTGATGTCCTCCCACATCTCCACTGACAACACAGCGTATATGCAAGATGCTTTCTTTGAGGACTTCCCCCACCACCATTGCTGCAAATTTCCTTTAGTTTAATAGTGCTCCAGAAGCCTGCCATTTAAAAACCAAGTGCAGGCCAGGCACCGTGGTTCACGCGAGTAATCCCAGCACTTTGGGAGGCCGAGGTGGGAGGATCACTTGAGCCCAGGAGTTCAAGACCAGCCTGGGCAACATGGCAAAACCTTGTCTGTACAAAAATTCCAAAAATTAGTTGGACATGGTGGTGCACACCTCTAGTCCCAGCTACTCGGGAGGCTGAGGTGGGAGGATCGCTTAAACCTGGGAGGTCAAAACCGCAGTGAGCTGTGATTGCACCACTGCACTCCAGCCTGTCTCAAAAAGTAAAAAATAAAAACCGAGTAGAGTTGGGTAGTCCGGAATAAGAAAGAGCCTGAACAATGCCTTTTAGGCATGTATTTCAAAATCATTTTTGTTAGTGTAATAGGAAGCAATGTCTGGGGTAAATGTCTTTCCTTTTTATTACCATTCTGCTTTTATAATAGACAGATTACTAAATTAATGTGTTACCCACCATTCCCGACAATTAGCTTTAAAAACATCTCTTGGAGGCCAAGCTCTTGTATGCCAGGTTTCATGCTGAGAAGCTTTGCATAGCTGCAATATAAATAAATCTCCGTGAAAAGGTGCTTGCAGTAGAACTTCTAAAAGTATCGCCTGTAAGCATTGAGGCACTTCAAAAACACTGCTTCATCATCATTCCAACACTGCAGCCTGAAGGCAGGGTTATTTTGGGAGTGTTTGCAGGATAATATTTTATAGGTAGATGTGAGATGCCTTTCTTCTCACATCTGATCTTTGTCTTTCTACATTACACATTGATCTTTGTCTTTCTACAAAGCCTGGGTGAGGTTGCATAATATTCATTTGAGAGAGGGGACTTCAGTCCCTTTCAGGGTAATGACAGGGAGATTGAGGCCTGACAGAGGGCCATTACGGCTGGTTCAAGACTCTCTAGTTGAGTGGCAGCCAGATGAGGACTAGGATTGCTAGAGATCCCCAGGTGGCTGGCACTGCCATTTGTACAAGAAGAAATGGAGGAGGCGAGAAAGACAGAGTTGTGTGGATCCCCAGCTATGCTTCCCACAGAGAAGCTTGAGACCTTCCATCTTGTTTTTCCTACCTTCATCTCAGATGGTGCCCTGGGGTTCCTCTGAGGGTTCCTTCTGGTTCCTTCTTCCTTGGAGAGCTTTCTGGTTTCTTTCAGCTGCTGTGACTCACCTTGAAGGAAAAGTATGTGGGAAGTGAGGCTGCTTTCTTATGAACACTATTTGCCTTCTTGAGAATTTGTCCATACTGTGCACAGAGGGATGTCTTCCTACCAATACCTCCCGACCACACTGTGTGTTGCTCGGCAGGGACCCCACTCACTGGGTCATATGGTCATTTTATGTTTAACTTTTTAAGAAACTAACAAACTGCTCCAAGGGGTCTGCCCCATTTTACATTCCCATCAGCAATGTCTGAGGTTTCCCATTTCTGCTCATCCTCATAGACACTTGGAATTGTCTTTTATTAGAACCCATTCTAGTGGGCGTGAACTGATATCTCACTGTGGTTTTGATTTGCACTTGCCTGATGAATAATGATGTCCAGCATCTTTTCACATGCTTGTGGCCATTTACAAATTTTTTTGGTGAATTACCTATTCATATCTCTTGCCCACGTTTTTTTGTTTGTTTGTTTGTTTTTTCCTCCATGCCATGATTCTGTATCCTTTTTTAATTGGGCTGTTTGTCTTACTGAGTTGTAAAAGAGTGTTTTTTAATACAAATTCCAGAAACAAGTCCTTTATTACATACATTTTGGCAGATATTTTCTCCCAGTCTATTACTTGTCTTTCCACTTTCTTAATGGTGTCTTTTGAAGCACAAAAGTTTAGAACTTTGAGGTTAAGTTTGTGATTTTTCTTTTCTTTTGTGAACTATGCTATTGGTGTGATATTTAAGAAATCTTTGCCCAACCCAAGGCCTCAAAGATTCTGTCCCATGTTTTCTTCTAGCATGTGTATGGATTGCTCTTACCCTTAAGCCTATGTGGATAGGCTTATTGCACGTAGATACTCAAATGTTTCCACACTCTTTGCTGGGCGGAACCATGGGCCCCACTCTTGATTTCACTTCTTCTTCTCTCCACAGATCTGCAAAGCCCCTGAGCCCAAAACAGTCTCCTACTGCAGCCCGTCCGTGCCCGTGCACTTTAACATCCAGCAGGACTGCGGCCACTTCGTCGCCTCGGTGCCGTCCAGCATGCTCAGCTCCCCCGACGCGCCCAAGGACCCTGTGCCTGCCCTGCCCACACACCCCCCTGCCCAGGAGCAGGACTGCGTGGTGGTCATCACCCGAGAGGTGCCACATCAGACCGCCTCCGACTTCGTGCGGGACTCGGCGGCCAGCCACCAGGCGGAGCCCGAGGCGTACGAGCGGCGCGTGTGCTTCCTGCTTCTGCAACTCTGCAACGGGCTGGAGCACCTGAAGGAGCACGGGATCATCCACCGGGACCTGTGCCTGGAGAACCTGCTGCTGGTGCACTGCACCCTCCAGGCCGGCCCCGGGCCCGCCCCCGCCCCGGCTCCCGCCCCCGCCGCCGCCGCGCCTCCCTGCTCCTCTGCCGCCCCGCCTGCTGGTGGCACTCTCAGCCCCGCAGCCGGCCCCGCCTCCCCGGAAGGGCCCCGGGAGAAGCAGCTGCCCCGGCTCATCATCAGCAACTTTTTGAAGGCCAAGCAGAAGCCGGGCGGCACCCCAAACCTGCAGCAGAAGAAGAGCCAGGCCCGGCTGGCCCCCGAGATCGTGTCTGCTTCCCAGTACCGCAAGTTCGATGAGTTCCAGACAGGCATCCTCATCTACGAGCTGCTGCACCAACCCAACCCGTTCGAGGTGCGCGCCCAGCTGCGGGAGAGAGACTACCGGCAGGAGGACCTGCCGCCGCTGCCCGCGCTGTCCCTCTACTCACCCGGCCTGCAGCAGCTGGCACATCTGCTACTGGAGGCCGACCCCATCAAGCGTATCCGCATCGGCGAGGCCAAGCGCGTGCTGCAGTGCCTGCTGTGGGGGCCTCGGCGCGAGCTGGTGCAGCAGCCGGGCACCTCGGAGGAGGCGCTGTGCGGCACGCTGCACAACTGGATCGACATGAAGCGGGCCCTGATGATGATGAAGTTTGCGGAGAAGGCGGTGGATCGCAGGCGGGGCGTGGAGCTGGAGGACTGGCTTTGCTGCCAGTACCTGGCGTCTGCGGAGCCCGGGGCCCTCTTACAGTCGCTGAAGCTCCTGCAGCTTCTGTGAGCCAAGCCCCAGCCTGCACCGTCGCTGCCCCTTCCCTGCCTAACCCTTTCCTGTCTCGCCTTGGAAGCACCCATGTCTCCCTGGGAAATGGTACAGATGACTGGGATACCTGGATGTAAAATATATAAATATATATATAGAAAATACATATACCATATATAAATATGAAAGACTAAGGATGCTGTTGCCCGTCCACACTCGTCTCCTCTCTGCACTAAGTCCTCCCTGTTTTCTTCTGTAATTATACACATTTCCAGTTCCATGCAACGTCCTGAGGACAGTTCTGTGAACTGAATGCAGCCTGGACACTGGCCTCAATACCTTGTTTAGGATTTCTTCACCCTTTTGTCAAATTGTTATTTAAAGAAAAAAAAAAAAGAAGAAAATTCCATTAAAATTTTTTTTGGTTGAGTCATGAGCAAAGCTCTTTATCCTTAAGTGCCTGAGTGTATTAATATGTTTGGTGGGTAAAACGGAGCTGTCTTTGGTCTTAACGCTTTTCAGGAGATAGAGCAGCAGTCTGCAAAGGACCAGGCAAGGGGGTACCAATTCATCTTCCCTGTTTCTCTTCCCACCTGGCAGCCTTCTGGAAAGAATCCAGACACAGCCGCTGTGATCCCAGTGGTTTGGAATTCAAACCCATTTCCAGTTTGCTAAAGCTGGTTGCCATTTGTAAAATTCAGAGACGTGTCTGAAAACAGAGTCCACCCCAGATGGCTCAGATGAAAAGAACTTAAGGGGACCACTTAGCTAGGTGTGATCAGGGTTATGAGAACAAAGGGTGACAAGGCCAAAAGCAAGGGCCAGAACAGCAGGACAGGGGAACATACAGGAGGTATTCGCGCTGAGATCTCTACAGCCGGAGATGGGAGTCTCTGTTTCCCATCTGTCATCTCCAACCTAATAGGATGCCAGACAGCAAGGGACCTTGGGTGATGCAGTCTGGAGGATCAGCCTCCTGGGGCAGGGAGGAGGGAGAGAATGCATGGGACGCCAGGTGGCAAACGGCCCACTGTTCCTACCGTACTAGATACTGGCAGGGCAAGCATAGAATTCAGGTGTTTCAACTCCCAGGCCAGTACTCCCTCTGCTGTTCGGGCCTCCTTCAAGTCTCCTTTTCTAAAACCTCATTTAACGCACCCATTGGCACCTACAGCTTACTGGAGTCAATGTTTGTTACTATGCCTTTAAAAACACACAAGGAAAATTAGGAGGCATCAGATCTTTCCTCCTCAAAACTAGACACAGGCACGAAAGTCAAAAATTACCTATTTGAAGAGAAATAGCCCCAAGACTCTTGTATTTCTACCTAATGGGTAATCTTCCAACTACAGAACTAATTGATTTCTAAAACCTTGTGAATAACTCTGGACAAATTAAAACAAATACAAAGATCTGAATGGATGTTTTGGAAACCTGGGGATGCACTTAGCAGGAAGGATAGGGAACTCTCCCAGGTCCTCTTCTGCATATTAATTTCAATCCTTTTGTGAGTTCCACCTTCCAGCCCCTGACTACATGTAAACACATTCATCTTTCCATGCATCGTTGGTGAAGACAGCACCTGGGGCGCATTTGTAATTTCAATTGTTTCCTGAGCATTGAGGAAAGAACTGAACCAAAACCAGCTCCCAACCCGTTTGTACAAGAGAAGGAGTCTGCAAACGTGGAAATCATATTTCTCCCCAGGACCTATCTGTTTCGGGGGGGCATTATTTGCCAGTTCTTTCTTTGTCCCTCAGAATTTTCCAGGCAAACCTTCTGCCATCAATTTGCTATCTTTTGCTTTTTTGTCCTTTTTCACTTCAAGTAAATAAACAATGGAGAGGGAGGAGCAAATATTCTGACAGGGGAATGCAGTGCCATTAGAAAATAAGGCCCAGCGTGGTGGCTCATGCCTGTAATCCCAGCAATTTGGGAGGCCAAGACATGTCAATCACCTAAGGTCAGGAGCTTGAGACCAGCCTGGCCAACATGGAGAAACCCTGTCTCTACTAAAAATACAAAAATTAGGTGGGTGTGCATGCCTGTAATCCCAGCTACTCAGGAGGCTGAAGCAGGAGAATCACTTGAACCCAGGAGGTGGAGGTTACGGTGAGCCAAGATCATACCACTGCACTCCAGCTTGGGTAACAAGAGTGAGACTCTATCAAAAAAAAGAAGAAAGAGAAGAAAAGAAAAGAAAGAAAAAGAAAGAAATAAAGGAAAAAAGAGAAAGAAAGAGAAAAAAAGAAAGGGAAAGAAAGAAAGAAGGAGAGAGAAAGAAAGAAAGAAAGAAATGTCTTAGGAGCCACATTTTTAATTCCTGAATTAATTGCAACTTTTTTATACCACCCACTTCAGAAAAAAAAAATGAGGTTGTAAAAACTGTTCTAAGAACCAACATGAACCAAAAAATAAAGGATAAAGAAGAAACAATAGCAATAAATTCTGAATGAGAGGAATAAGAGCAATTAAACATAAAACTTACTTCTGAGCTGTCCACCAACCTATAAAAAGAAAACTGGTTGCAGAATTCTTTTTTGTGTGCAATTTTAGGAAACAGTTCGTCAGAAGGAAGAAATTTTTGCCCAGTGCTTGGTTCTGAAGGAAATTTGTCAAGGATTCTTTGTTTGAAGACATTGAATAATGCCCCAATAGCAGTTTTAAAAAGAAAAAAAAAAAAAAAGAATTTTTTGAACATAGGTGTCATGAGCGATGCCAGGTTAAAAATAACCAGGTCCACACATGCTTGTGTCTTTCCAGAATGTCAGGCTTTTATTGATGCTAATTCAGTCACAAAAGCCAGAGGCTACATGGAGTTCCCAAGGAAGCAATTCTCTTTAGTACCTCCTGTTCTCTTGGTAGTCAGAGCCGCAGGCACACAGGCTTGAGCCACTCCACAAGTCAGTCAATATGGGAAACCATACATAATAGTATGCTTAATCAATATACATATATTACAGATTAAACATTCCACAATAAACAAAGTAGCATTGAACATGAAGAGGAGAAAGAGATAGGAGAAAGGTTAAGGAACCAGTCCAGTGGGAGCAGGTCAGTCTTGCAAGGAAAAGTGTTTGAGGTGGCAGAAGCAGATGCCAAGTTCTTATCATGAGTGACTGCAAGACAGTATCAGTTAAGACAGCCCCATTTCGAGCTGCTGAAGGCCTGACATTTTAAAGTCACAGAGGCCTCTGGTGAGAACTGATCTTGGACGAGTGTCCTTGTTTGTGTCTTTATCTGATTGGATGCAATCTTTATCTTTTTTATTTATTAAACAAAACATCTTATCCTTGTTGGCAAAGTGCCCTCTGAAACATAAAATGAAGTCTTATTCTAAGATGGAGTTTGTTATATCAAGGGTACTCTATACAATAGGGCATTTTTTTATCGCTACCATTGGTGAAGTTCAAATATGGAGTGTTAAAATCTAGTTTCCTCAAGTTCTCTGGAAATGCTTGCCTACTCACTCCTCTCCGTGGATTGGCCTTTTCCATAAATGATTAGTCATGTGGCTGTAAATATTAGGTTTAGCAAACAACTTCATTCGCACTAAATTCAGAGGTTCAATATAACTGGTTTTTTGTTACTTCAAAATACACCTAGGCTGCATGGCTTTGTCTCACAGAAGACTCTAGCATGATATCCATTATGCCCAGAAACAATAGTTTGTTCTGCAGGACTGAGGTTCAGAAATAATCAGGGACTTTTGTACGAGGACAGTTGCAGGATCTGGCAATTTAATACTCCTGTTATCAGTGAGTTCATCTCCCATTTTTCTTGGCTCTAAACCCAACTACTGGTATTTAAATCTCCAGTTTTTCTTCTCTCCCACTGAGTCAAGTCACCCCCATTATGTTTTCCACATACGTAATTTTTGTTGTTTGTAAGCCATTCTCATTTTCATGCCAAGATGTGGAATCGTTTTTCTTCTAATTTTTTTAATGTAGGCGTTATAAAGCCTCATATCTAAATAGTTATATCCTTGCCAGAAGCCAGATAAGCGCTTTAGGGATTATTTATTTATCATAACATATGGCTCAGATCTGAAAAGACTGGTTTTGGGGAGCTGTAGTTACCACTTTATATAACACTTCATGGTTTCCAAGAGCTTAGAGCTGAAAAACTCTTTTGAGATGTACGCGTGTACATAAAATAATTATAAAGATTTTCTAAAAAGAAGACACATGTTACTTTAGTGAGTTCTAAATTTGCGCTTAAAATACAGTCAACAAATGAAGCAGCCCTTTTCTGCTCTGTTGAATATCTGAAAACCTTTGGAGATCTAAAGATTAGCTTACCAAATCCCACTAAAAATAGTAGATTTGTAACATAAAACCAACTTGCCATTTTTAAGAGATGGTGATGTGAATGGAATTTATTTATTAGAAATCAAAGTTTAACCCAGCTGATGTCATTGTTGAAAAAAAAAAAAAAATAAAAGCAAGAATAAAATGGTTGGAACAAGTACCATGGGATGATTGTCTTGACAATTACCCTTTCTTTCTTTTTTCCAGTGCTAATTAATGCAGGCAATGGGGCAACCTCCCTGTAAAAGATATCCTAGGAGGAGGAACTGCACCCCGGGAAAGTGGTCAGGAGGTAACCCGATGGACTCTAGGGTTCCAGAAAAAGAGTCCAAATTCACTCAAAAGTGATATTGTTGGTTTAGGGGACTCTGGGGTTGGGCCAGAACATCTGTGACCAATGTGGATCCTTACCAGATCCAGGATACTCAGTCTTGTCTGATCTGGATCTTTTCTCCCAGAAGTTGACTACATCCATGCCAAGCTTATGGAACTGGGGAAGGAAGGTCAAGTTCACTCGAGATTTTTCTGCGTGTCAACAGGCTGACTTTGTATTGCATTATCCCTGGGGAGTTTGAACATAGACATTGATCACATATTCTAAATGTTAGACTCAAATATTTCCAGCTCCTATGCCAGAGGTGATTACAGCTATTTCCTAAAAAAATACTGCCCTAGACACCAGATGGGCTGAGATTGTGAAGATGTTTGTGCACTGTAACAAACTTAAAGGTTACTCTGCAGACTTCTGCTTTACTGCCTTATTAGGGCAAAGCAGACATGGAGACAGGTTGAGGGAATTGAATGTGGAGGTCTAAGGAGAGAAGACAAGGCGGGAATTGAGAACACAAGATTCGAAGACAAACTACCTGCTCTATTCGGTTGGTGCAAAAGTTATTGTGGCCTTTGCCATTACTTTTTAATTACTTTTAATGCAAAAACAGCAATAGCCTTTGCACCAATTTAATATCATATGCATGGATCCAGCCCCGGTGACTTTCCACAATCCTGAAAAGGTAATCAGGCCTTCACTCCTTTACTAGGATTACACAGACATTTGTATGTCCATTATTTTCTCAAAGATTTCCAGGAATGAGGAAGCTGTAACCATTTCCTCTTTTCTAGATTGTGTAGAGTTCAATTTCAGAACTTACAGCAGATTCTGTAAAAAGTCAGAAAGACTTTAACAACTGAGCCTCTTATTTAAACCCTTTATTTACTGGCCATTCCCACCACCACAATGACATAAGCAAGTTCTGGTTTTCCTAAAAGAGAAGCGGATTTTCTTTTTCCTACCCCTCAGCTTTGTTGGTTTTATTTATTTGAGTAGGCAAGCCCTAACATGGCACTCAAAGATAAAACTATCCAACAGGTGTACTCAGGGCTGGGCACAGTGGCTCACGCCTGTAACAGCATTTTGGAAGGCCAAAGCTATAATCCCAACACTTTGGGAGGCCAAGAATTGCTTGACGTTGGAGACCAGCCCTGGGCAATTTTGGGAGACTCTGTCTCTACAAAAAAATAAAAAACAAAAAAATTAGCCAGGCATGGTGGCACACACCTGTAGTCCTAGCTACTCACCTCCAGTGAGGTGAGAGGATCACTGGATCCCGAACGATCAAAGCTGCAGTGAGCTAGGATGGTGCTACTGTACTCCAGCTTGGGCAACAGAGAGACAGAGAAAGGCTGTCTAAAAAAAAAGAAAAAAAAGGATGCTCAGAGCACTCAGAGCAGGTATCAATCCTCCATGCTTTCTCCTCCATGCCATTTTCCCCTCCTTTCCCCTGTGAGCACCCACCCGCTGTGGTCACCAAAGTCACCAGTTTCTGCTTGATCCTTCCTGTGTTTGTTCACAAATGAGCAGATACAAGTATATCTTTCTTTCTTACACGGAAGTTACCATGCCTGAGATGCCAGAGCGCTTTGCTTTCCTCACTTAGCAGTATGTCAACAAGAACTTTCTTTCTTTTCTTTTCTTTTTTTTTATTTTTTATTTTTTTGACACAGAGTTTTGCTCTTCTTGCCCAGGCTGGAGTGCAATGGTGCAATCTCTGCTCACTGCAACCCCCTTCTCTGGGGTTCAAGCAATTGTCCTACCTCAGCCTCAGGGGTTCAAGCAATTATCCTGCCTCAGCCTCCCGAGTAGCTGGGATTACAGGCATGTGCCACCACACCCGGCTTATTTTGTATTTTTAGTAGAGATGGGGTTTCTCCATGTTGGTCAGGCTGGTCTCGAGCTCCCAACCTCGGGTGATCTGCCCGCCTCAGCCTCCCAAAGTGCTGGGATTACAGGTGTGAGCCACCGTGCCCAGCCGGAACTTTCTTAAAGAGAAGTGACTTGATTTCTCCCCTGAGTTAGGGAATTGACAGGTTTCATCACCTTTTCCCCAGGCATTAAAACATCATTTGCACTGCTTGGAGAGCATTAACTCATCAAAAATTTAATGATCTCTTATTGGTATTGCTCCTTGTTTTTGGTCTTAGGACAACTCATTTAATTTCCATTGGGAGATACAGACTCTTTTTCTTCCCAGATGGAAGTCCTGAGGCTTGCTCTAAAATGCAGTTAACATTGGCAGCAGAGCCCTGAGTTAATGATAAAATTCACCCTCAGGCCCTTACTAGTCCCTGGAGTGACTCTGCTAGTCTTTGCACTTGCAACTCAACACTTCTTTGACAAGGTCTGCATTGGTCCCTTGTGGCAAACCCAACCTGGTGCCTATGGCCGGTTCTCCAAGGAAAATGCTTCAGGATGATCTTTCAGAGATAGTGTTTAAGGAAGAGCAAGGTTGTGCTACTCTGTGCCTTGGCTTTTCTGTGCCTCCAGTGTGGTCATTTCTTTCCATGACTTTAGAGAGCTGCAATGTAAGCAACAAGGACTCCACTCATTGAAATAGTTCATGGAACTTGGAGTCAGCTCTTGAACAATAGAAGCCTGATGCTGTTAGTCTTGGCTGAGTACAACATGAGTCATGTGCTGTTTCAAGTACCCAATTGAACATGGGTAGAAAGAAGGGGCTCCCTGGGTGACAGCCAGTGGAACAATTCCATGTGGAGATAGGGTTGGGGGAATGAGGTGGGGTGGGGGCTGCGCTCCCAGCACAGGAAGCAGACAAGGGTGCAGATCAGCCTGCCTTCCCGGTCAGTGCCGACTGTGCCCTGCAGCCGGGGTTGGCAGACACCTCCCAACTATGAGTCACACATTTGATCACAGCGTTCATCCTGCAGACAGGCCTCACTGGAACCAGCTGCTGGGCCCTGGCCTATTACCCAACTACCCCCTTTGTTTCATCTCTGAAAAGGCAACAGTTCATTGGAGAAAGAGTCAAAATGAAGAAAACCAAGGGCAATGTTAAATGGCTATGGCAGTCATTCATTCTTTTGGTAGGATATTCACTTCTATTTTTTTTTTTCTGAGATAGAGCCTTGCTCCATTGCCCAGATGGAGTGCAGTGGTATGATCACAGCTCACTGCAGCCTTGACTTCCTGGGCTCAAGTGATCCTCCGACTTCAGCCTTCCAAGTAGCTGGGGCTGCATGTTCATGCCACCATACCAGACTAATTTTTTGTAGACATGGGGGTCTCACTAAGTTGCCCAGGCTGGTCCAGAACTCCTGGTTTCAAGCCATCCTCCCACCTCCATCACCCAAAGTGCTGGGATTGGAGGTGTGAGCCACCACATCCAGCCCAAGATAACCATTTCTAAACAACACCTGTCACAGGTGCTCTCATAAAACGGCTTTTCACTGGGGCACAGGCCTCTGGTAGCAGTTTGATGGAGGGTTGGAATCATGACCTTCAGTTGGACAGGCCTGGTGAGGTCTGGAGTGTTTCCCTTGTGGTAACTCTAAAGTTATTGGGAAGGAAAGGAAATAATGCAGGAGACAGACAGTGAATATTCCTGCAGAGATGTTAAGAGCATAATACAAGCCCTGATAATGGCCACAGCTGGGCTCTGCGGGGTATCTGTGTTTCTGTAAATGGACACTACTCAGTTTAGCAAACGGAAAGTGGCATTACATCCGGGTCCTCTGTCTCATTTTCATTCACAGATCCCTGTGGGCTGAGCACTGAGGAAGGAATTCATTAATGCCGCTGACCTGTCATTCAAAGACTCCCTGGGTTGCTTGAACAGAAGATTTTAGTTTGGTGTCTGATGACAATGTTGGAAAACTATGAATGACAGAATAAGAGTGTCTTTGTTTACTTGACTTCTCTGCTCCAAGATTTAAAGTCTTGTTATTTGAAATATTATTTTACCTTCTTAAAACATTCCTCTGATATATGGAGAAATCTAGAAAGATAATCTCTATTTTAAGAGAAAATTAAGGTGTGGAAAAGTGAAATGATAAGTGAAGTGTAAATTCAGGACTAGAGTCTAGGCTGCATGCCTTCCATTCTCTACTAAGTACACTGTACCTCCATGTGTATACCCCAGTGTTTACTGGCTACCCATCAGCATCTTGCCCGTCCTTCAGTTTTTTTTTTTTTTTTTTTTGGGATGGAGTCTCACTCTGCTGCCCAGGCTGGAGTGCAGTGGCATGAACTCAACTCACTGCAGCGGCATGATCTCAACTCACTGCAGCCTCCGTCTCCCGGCTTCAAGCAATTCTCCTGCTTCAGCCTCCCGAGTAGCTGGAATTATAGGTACCCACCACCACGACCGGTTAATTTTTGTATTTTTAGTAGAGATGGGGTTTTGCCATGTTAGCCAGGCTGGTCTCGAACTCCTGACCTCAGGTGATCCGCCCACCTTGGCCTCCCAAAGTGCTGAGATTACAGGCATGACCCGCCACACCCAGCCAGTCCTTCAATGTTTGGCTCAAGGCACACCTAATTCAAGAACATAGAGAGTAGAAGGATGGTTACCAGAGGCTGGGAAGGGTGGCAAGGGGCTCAATGCAGGGAGGTGACGATGGCTAACGGGTGCAAAGAAATAGCCAGAAAGAATAAAATCTACTATTTGATAGTATAACAGGTGACTATAGTCAATAATAACTTCATTGTACATTTGAAAATAGGGAGTGTCACTGGATTGTTTGTAACTTTAAGGATAAATGCTTGAGGGGATGGATACCTCATTTTCCATGATGTGCTTATTTCACATTGCACATAATATTTATCTCATGTACCCAATAAATATATACACTTACTATGTAGTCCCCAAAATTAAAAGCAATAAAAAAGAATAACTAATAAAAATAAAAATAAAAAAGTCCTCCCCTGCTTATGAAAGCTAGTGTCCCTTTCTCCTCTGCAATTATCCACTACTGCATCTCTCCGAACCTGGGAGGCAGGCAGTTTTTTAAAAATCTGAACATAAGTATATTCTTTCTCACTGAGTAGACTGTAGGACCATTGAGAGCAGTGACAATGTCCTACACGGCTTGCTCCCTCATTCCCTTGCCCCCTGCGTTGTATGCAGTAGGTGTTTAATAAATGTGTTGAGAACATTTATGATGATGCCTGGTTTTTAGTTAATGACTGTGTCAACCGCTTAAGAAGAATGATGTTCCACAAATGACACAGAGCTTTACAGTTGGCAAAACACTTTCATGTTCCTTATCGCCCAACAACCCTCTAAAGTCATACAACATCCTCACCTGTAGAGCATGACAGGGAGCCTCTGAGAGACAAAGCAACTTGCCAGAGAGTCCTTATGACTGGCTGGTGACAGGACTCAGATTGCAACCAAGGTCTTCTGTATTCAAACCCAATGTTCTGTCCACCCCAGCACAGCCTCGCCTCTGTTTCTGATGAATGGTGCCCCGGCCGTCACCCCAGGATCCACATAGCCTCTGTCTTTTCCACTAAAGCTGGTATTTACTTTTCCTGTATTGAGTGGCTTCCACTGCAAGAGTGACTATGTAGTGAGTGCTCTATTGGTGACATCCAAACTTGGGTTCACGGAGACATTTTCTATTTTCTTGGGCAGGTCATCCAAACACTATCTACCTCTCTGCAATGTGTAGCAATGAGGGGTGTCACAGATGCACACAAACTTTGTTACAACCATTTTCAGTTGCAATACCCTAAAGGCACTCCCAGGGTGATGAAGCCCCTCCAGCATCCTGGAGGGAGAATATTCTTTCTTGGTTTGTCTGCTCCATTCAACCCTGGACTATGCCAAGCTGCCCCACTGCTTAGAGGCCTTCTGGGGCTAGTCAGGTGGGCATGTGGGGGATTTCAAGGTGCTTGCCCAGTTTAGCCCCTGCCAGGACCTGCTGCAGGCTCTGCTCCTGCCCACCTGCCGCACCCCCAATCCTCCTAGGCAGCAAACCTGCAGGCAAGTGGCTGTGCCTCCACAATCACCTTCCCAAGTGACCCCCACCTCAGGCTTGTCAGTTTGGTGTCCAATTTCTAGCAGGACAGGTGGACAAAAGACGTAGTACCGTTCTGCTGCCAGACTGCTACAAAACATCACATTCCATTTTCTACACCAAACTACCAGGACAGAAAGGGAGCAAGAGTCCTCAAACCTCCCAAGCTGCTTATTTTTCCCTCTGTATTGTAAGATTTTTCTCCTTAAAACTGAGGCTGGGCTGAGTGCAGTTGCTCACGCCTGTAATCCCAGCTTTGGGAGGCTGAGGTGGATAGATCTCCTGAGTCAGGAGTTCGAGAGCAGCCTAGCCAACATGGCAAAAACCATCTCTACTAAAAATACAAAAATTAGCAAGGCATGGTGGCACATGCCTGTAGTTCCAGCTACTCCAGAGGCTGAAGCAGGGGAATTGCTTGAACCTAGGAGGCGGAGGTTGCAGAGAGCTGAGATTGCACCATTGCACTCTAGCCTAGGCAACAAAGTGAGACTCCGTCTCAAAAAAAAAAAAACAAAAAACAAAAACTGAGGCTGAGTGTTAATGAAACGCCAGCCTGATGAGCCACCTCAGGTTTACTCTGAGGCTGTCCCTGCACTACCAGGAACTGAACCTCTATCACGGGTCTCAGGTCAGCAAGATTTGGTGCTGAAAAGCATTGATACGGTTAGGCTTTGTGTCCCCACCCGAATCTCTTCTTGACTTGTAATCTGCAGGTGTTGAGGGAGAGACCTGGTGGGAGGAGATTGGATCATGGGGGCGGTTCCCCCCATACTGTTCTCATGATAGTGAGTGAATGCTCATGAAATCTGATGAAGCATCTGGCATTTCCCCTCCTTTCACTTCTCTCTCCTGCCGCCATGTGAAGAAGGTCCTTGCTTCCCCTTCACCTTCCGCCATGATTGTTAAGTTTCCTGTGGCTTCCCCAGCCATGTCGAACTGTGAGATAATTAAACCTCTTTCCATTATCAATTATCCAGTTTCAGGAAGTATCTTTATAGCAGCGTGAAAATGAACTAACATAGGCATGCTAGACACATAAGATAACTTAAAAGTTTGTCAGTGATTCTTAGGGAATATTGACAAAATTCCATGAGCAAAATATTCCATGTATGTAGGGTTAAATGCTCTCTAGGTTTCCCCAAATTTGGATCAGCTTTAAAAGATACACTTCTATTTCTTGGCTATGGATCATAGATTCCTTCTTTTTGGGATGTTTCCTAATGGTATGTTTTTATAGCAGGAATTTGGTTTTCCAAAATAATTCCTGAGAACTTATGGAACCTACTCCGGGGTCCCTGACAGCTACAGTTGGCAGGGTCCAGACCTTGGCCTAGTTTCTTTCCTATTTCTGGTCAGAAGGGTCTGTCAAAGTGAACTAAATCCTGGGCTGATTATTTCATCAGCCCCAGTAAAGGCATGTCTGAGTTCTGCCAGGAAGAATCTGGTTTCTGAAGCAACTTTCCTTTTAAAGTGCCAGGGTAAACGCTTCTGCCCAGACTCATGAAGCTTGCATTGCAGGAAGTAAAAATATGATAGCACAGCATCTTGGCAGAGAAGCTTTTCCCTGTCTCCTTAGCCTCCAAACAAATAGCTCTCTGGGGGAGTGATGTCTACATCAAAAGCTACTTGTCGCTCAGTGGGCCTCCCAGAGGGAGAACTGTTTATTTTGGCTGTGACTGAAAATATTTTCTATGTCCAGAGCTGGGGGCTGCCTGCAATGGGCTCTTTCTGGCAGCAACAGGGCAGATTTGTGGTTGCCATGCCTTTTCCCTGGCTCCCATTATCCAGAAAGATCAGAGAAAGTTAAGACAAGAAATCCAACCATCTCTCCAAGGGCCATCAACATGAACTGAAAATCTCCGAAAAAGGGCTGAGGCTACTGGGTATGGCAAAAGGCCATAGAACCTCTTCTTAGTCCTCTGGCAAAGTTGGTAATATCTGCTTCTGGGTAAAATCTAGGATCTCGAGGTCGGCTAAAATTCAATTTTTTAAAAATAGCACATAAAAGGTAGAAATATGTAAGTCTTACTATTTGACTTGTTCTCATATCCACAGTCCTCCTCAGGAAATTTGTCTGCGCTCAAAAGTAAATGAAACATGACAAGCCAGAATCCTGGAGTGAGAAGTCATGCTTTCTCTTTGTCAATTACTGAGCTATAATGTGATCACTGTTTAATGTCCCCAACTGTAAACAATGTCCTCAGTCACTGCTTTTTTCACTGATAGAAATCTGTAACCTTGTGCAGTTATTAAGAGCTATGATAACCTCAGAAAGTTTTCCCAAATCACTTTTTACAGCCAGGTAAGACTCTCACTCTCAGTTTGTGTACCACCTGTCCAGCCTCCTTAGTAAGGAACAGGGTAGCCTGTTGGACCATTCATCAGTTGATGCACCTCTGGGTTGTCCACTCTTTGGCTGTCATGAATAAAATTGCTTTGAACATTCACATACAAGTGTTTGTATGAACATGTATTTTCGGCCGGGCACAGTGGCTTACACCTGTAATTCCAGCACTTTGGGAGGCCAAAATAGTCAGATCATTTAAGGCTGGGAGTTTGAGACCAACCTGGCCAAAATGGTGAAACCCCTTGTCTACTAAAAATACTAAAATTAGCCAGACGTGGTGGTAGTTGCCTATAGTCCCAGCTACTCAGGAGGCTGAGGCACAAGAATCGCTTGAACCTGGGAGGTGGAGTTTGCAGTGAGCCGAGATCACACCACTGCGCTCCAGCCTGGGTGACGGAGTGAAACTCTGTCTCAAAAACACAACAAAAAAAATCTATTTTCATCTCTTTTTGGTATATACCTTGAAGAGGAATTACTGGGGCATGTCTTAGGTTTTTAAAGCATTTTCATCTTGTAATCCAGACAGCAAGTTCTGCTGTCCACATTTAAAAGGTGAGGAAACTGAAATTCAAGGGGTTGACTTACCTGTGTAAGGGATGATTGTCTAGTCCTGTCTTTTGACTTTCAGTTCATTAGACTGGTAGATGGAATAACTGAAAGAGAATAAGTTGGTTGGTCTTTCCAAGATCACCCAAAAGATTTAGTTTAATGAAGAAAAAGAATGATCTTGAGTTTACAATATTCTTTCTCCCAGTCCTAGAGTATAACTGGGAGCCTCATAGAGTTCTTTGGCTTGTAGACTGAACTTAAGTCAGAAAATGAAGTGTTTTATGACTGTCAATTTTCAATCAAAGTTTGAAGTATACAAGACAGTCTGAAGGGGAGCCACTTTTAAAGACAATCACACACACACACACACACACACACACACACAAAAAAAAAGAAAAAAAAAAAAACCAAGAACAAGACAAGGTCTCTTTATTCCCTTTGCTGTTTTGCTAATTAAACTGCATGGTTACCTCTGCTTTCTGCCAGGCATTACAAGTTGATGTCTTGAGGGTTGCCTTTGGTAAAACATTAACTTTAAGCATTTCTTTAGGACTTATTTATGAGATTTCTGTTGTACCTTTCTGCTTAGGAGCTCAAGGTGCTTGTCATATAATCTTTAGGATGTTATTTTTATCATAAACTTTTCTAAGCATCTTAATGCTGATGGGAACATCAACAGGAATGGTTCTAGTGTAACTAAAAAGAAAAGGCAACAAAAAATTATTAGTGACTTAAATATGAGCTATAATGGAAAAATGATCTAAGGTGCAAGGAGAGTACACAGGAAGAAAAAGCTAATTTTGGCTCATGAGGTGGATAAGAAGAGGAACTGGAAAGGTCATAGAGGGAGTTATAATGAAGGTGAATTTTGTTGTTGGTTGGTGTTGCTGCTTTTGAGACAAGGCCTGGCTCTATTGCCCGGGCTGGAGTGCAGTGGCACAATCTCTGCTCACTGTAACCTCTACCTCCTGGGCTCAAGCCATCCTCACGCCTCAGCCTCCCTCATGAGTAACTGGGACTACAGGCACTCACCATCATGCTGGCTAATTTTTTATTTTCTTTTTTTGTAGAGACAGAGTTTTGTCATATTGCCCAGGCTGGTCTCAAACTCATGAGCTCAAGCAATCCTCCCACCTTGGCCTCCCGGAGTGCTGAGATTACAGCCATGAGCTACCTCACCCAGCCTTGAAGGTGAATTTTGAAGGATAATTCGAAGTCTACAAGATGGACAAGATTGGGAGGGACTTTTTATTTTTAACAGCTAGTTTGAGGTACAGTTGATTTCCATAATGAACTGCATATGTGTAAGTGTAAATAAACTTGATAAATAAAAAGTTGATAAATTTGGACATACATATACACCCATAAAATCTTTGCCATAATCAAGATGATGAACATTTTCTTCTTCTTCTTCTTCTTCTTCTTCTTCTTCTTTTTTTTTGAGATGGAGTCTCATTCTTGACGCCCAGACTGGAGTGCAATGGCGCAATCTCAGCTCACTGCAACCTCCACCTCCCCACCTCCCGATTCAAGCGATTCTCCTACCTCAGTCTCCCAAATAGCTGGGATTACAGGCACCAGCCAGCACACCTGGCTAATTTTCATAAATGATGAACATTTTCATCACCCACAAAGATTTCCTGTGGTTCTCTATAATTCCTCCCTCCTGCCTTGCTACCTATCCATCCCCAGGAAGCCACTGATATGTTTCCTTTCCCTATACATTAAGTTGTATTTCTCTAGAATTTGTTATAATTAAAATCATAGAATATATATCCTTTTTTGTCTGACTTCTTTCATTTGGCATTAAACATTTTGAGACTGACCTGTGTTGTTACGTATATCAGGAGTATATTCCTTTTTATTGTTGAATGGTATTCTGCTGTATGGCTATACCATAGTTTGATGTATTCATCACTTTTTGGAGGATATTTCAATGCTGTCAGTTTGGGGCTACTATAAATAAAACCACTAGGGACACTTACATACAAGTCTCTGTATAGGCATGCCTTCTTTTAATGCACTCTGCTTTATTGCTCTTCACATATTTTATCATTTTTACCAATTGAAGATTTGTGGCAACCTTGCATTGAGCAAGTCTGTTGACGCCATTCTTCCAACAGCACATGCTGACCTCATGTCTCGGTGTCACATTTTGGTAGTTCTCGCAATATTTCAAACTTTTTCATTATTATTATGTCTGCATTGAAGTCAAAATAAAAATGTAGAGACAAATCTCTAAATTTAAAGTTTTATTGGGGACAAAATTGCAATTTGGGGCCTACACACAGACTAGGTGGTCTCCAGGATGTCCAAAAAACAAAAAGAAGGTTAGAAGATTTATAAAAAAAGAAGAAATGTTACATATTGCTTTTTCACAAAGTTTATTGGTGCTAGTAACTGTTTGGGGAGATTGCAAACTCTGATCTGTGACCGATGGCAGTGGGCATAATTAGTCCTAGAGTTGCAGCAAGTTATCACCAAAGGTATAAATAATACTGGTTTCAGGTTACCACAAGCAGTTACAGCAGTCAGGCTTGCAGATAATTGTGTTCTTTAAACAGTCTTTTGTACCCTGAGTGTCTTTTCCTCTCTGGCTTCTGGTCTCTGTTTTAGTTGGGTATGACAAGTATGACCCAATTCTTATGACCAACTTTCACATCTGTTACGTGATCTGTAATCGGTGTGATCTTTGATGCTTTTGGTTGTAATTGTTTTGCAGCATAACAAATCATGCTCACATTAGATTATTAATGGATAAATGTTGTGTGTGTTCTGAGAACTCCACTGACCACCTGTTCCCCCATCCCTCTGCCTCTTCTTGGCCCTCCCTATTCTCAAAGGTGCAACAATATTAAAATTAAGCCAATTAACAATCCCACAATGACCTCTAAGTGTTCAAGTGAAAGGAAGAGTCACATGTCTCTCACTTTAAACCAAAAGCTAGAAATGATGAAGCTTAGTTTCATAATAAGAAATTTCAAGTCTTTTTATTTAAGAAATACAATTAATAAGGCTATACTGCCATAGATAGAAGAAGGTATGCTGAAAGCCAAGATAGGCCAAAACTGGGCCTCTTGCACCAAACATCCAAACTGTGAATGCAAAGAAAAAGTTCCTGAAGAAAATTAAAAGTGCCATTCCTGGGAACACACAAATGATAAGAAGTGAAACAACCTTATTGCTGAGATGGAGAAAGTTTAGTGGTCTGGATGGAAGATCAAACCAGCCACAACATTTCCTTAAGCCAAAGCCTAATACAAAGGAAGGTGCTACCTCTCTTCAGTTCTATGGAGGCTGAAACAGATGAGCAATCTGCAGAAGAAAAGTTGAAAGCAGAGGTTGGTTCATAAGGCTTAAGGAACTAAAACATCTCCATAACATACAAGTCCAAAATGAAAGCAACAAGGGCTGATATAGAAGCTATAGCAAGTTATCCAGGAGATCTAGCTAAGATCACTGATGAAGGTGGCTATACTAACAACAGATTTTTGATGTAGATGAAACAGCCTTCTCTTGGAAGAAGATGCCTTCCAGGACTTTTATAGCTAGAGAGAAAAAGCTGTTGCTTGCCTTTAAAACTTCAAAGGACAGGCTAGCTCTCTTGTTAGGGGCTAATGTAGCTGGAGACTTCAAGTCGAAACCAATGCTTATTTACCATTGCAAAAATCCTAGGATCCTGAGAAATTATGCTAAATCTTCTCTGCCTGCGCTCTATAAATGGAACAGCAAAGCCTGGTGACAACACATCTGTTTACAGCATGGTATATTGAATATTTTAAGCTCACTGTTGATATCTACTGCTCAGAAAAATATTCCTCTCAAAATATTACTGTTCACTGACAATGCACCTGGTTACCCAAGAGCTCTGATGGAGATGTCCAAGGAGATAAATGTTGTTTTCATGCCTTCTAACCCAACATCCATCTGCAGCCCACAGCTCAAGAAGTAATTTTGACTTTGAAGTCTTATTATTTAAGAAACACATTTCATAAGGCTGTAACTGCCATGGATAGTGATTCCTCTGATGGATCTAGGCAAAATCAATTGAAAACCTTATGAAAAGGATTTACTATTCTAAATGCCATTAAGAACATTCTTATTCATGGAACAGGTCAAAATATCAACATTAACAGGGGTTTGGAAGAAGTTGATTCTAACCCTCATAGATGACTTTGAGGGGCTTACGTCTTCAGTGAGGAAGTAGCTGCAGAGTTGGTGGAGATAATAAGAGAACCAGAATAAGAAATGAGCCTGAAGATGTGACTGAATTGCTGCAATCTCAAAATAAAGTTTGAACAGATGAGAAGTTGCTTCTCATGGATGAGCAAAGAAAGTGGTTTCTTGAGATGGAATCTACCGCTAGTGAAGACACTACGAACATTGTTGAAATGACAACAAAATATTTCAAATATTACATAAATTTGGTTGATACAGCAGGGGCAGGATTTGAGAGAGTTGACTACAATTTTGAAAGTGCTATTACAGATAAAATGCTATGCAACATTCTTACACGCTACAGAGAAATCTTTTATGAAAAGAAGAGTCAATCAATGGTGCAAACTGCGCTGTTCTTATTTAAAGAAACTGCCATAGCCACCCTCACTTTCAGCAACCACCATCCTGATCAGTCAGCAGCCATCAACATCAAAGCAAGACCCTCCACCAGAAAAAGATTACAACTCCCTGAAAACTCAGATGATCATTAGCTTTTTTAGCAATAAACTATTTTAAAATTAAGATGTGTATATTTTTTCAGACATAATGCTATTACATCCTTAAGGGAGTAGAGCATAGTGTGAACATAACTTTTATATGCACTGGGAAACCAAAAAAACCTTATGACTTGCTTTATTGAGGTATTTGCTTTATTGAAGTGGTCTGGAACTGAACCCACAATATCTCTGCGGTATCTCTGTGTAGATATGCTTTCTTTTCTCTTGGGTAAATACACAGCAGTAGAATGACTGGGTCATAAAGTAGGTGTTAGCTTAACTTTTTAGAACCTGCCAAATAGTTTTCCAAAGTGGTTATGCCATTATATATAATTGCCTGCTGTCTATGAGAGTTCCAGTTCTTCTGTGTGACTTGGCATGACCAGTCTTTATCATTTTAATTTTACACATTTGTGTGTGTTTCGTGTGTGGGGTTGGGGGAAGGATTTCTTGTGATTCCTTTGGGAGAGAGTCATTGAGGTGATAGGAACATTTTAAATCTTTTGATTCATATTGTAAATTGTTTTTCATAAAATTCTGCTTTCTGTTTACCTTCCCACCAAAGATTTCATCTTATTGGCCTTTGCATCTAAAATCCCCTTCATTTCCCTCCAAATTCCTATACTGCAAGTCCCCATGTACCATCCTTCAGTAGGGGTAGTGTGTGTGGAGAAGAAAGGTTTTGGGGGGTTTCTTGATATTATTGTTGGCCTCCACTATGGCCCCCTGCTCTTCCTCGAATCTTTTCAGGGGTAAAGATTTCAAAGCATGAGGTAGGATGGAGTTGATGAGGTAGAGATCGAGGAAACGCAGGCTGTGGTGGGAATGGGAAGGTATTGTTAATGAGCATCCAAGGCTGATTTCCAGACCATGAGCTGGCTTTTGCCCAAGAGTAGGATTTAACTGGAGTTCCTAAAAGCCTGAGCAGCTTTTATTTTTCTGTCTCTCGAGCACCACTTCACTATTTGTAATCACTTATGGATACTTTTTTTTATAATTGCTCCATCTATAATATCTTTTTGGAAAAATTCAGCCCAGGGGTTACATTAGAAGGCCATCTTTCATGTCGTTTCCAGTTTTATGGTTCTCCTGAGGCTGTTTTCCCTTAAAAAAAAATCAATGACTACTGCATGTGTCTCTTTCGCAGTGAAGGTTTCTGCCCTTGCACAGATGTTAGAGAACTTTATCATGGGTGCAGCCCCATCATCTTACCTGAGCAGTGAGCTTGGGGATCCACAAATTTATTTTTCCTGTCAAGTTTTAGCCCATTAGCATTCCTCGTATGGGGAGTTTGGCAGAATATGGAGGTTTATCTGCTTGGACAACTGGCTCAGCCCAACCTCTAAGGGACTGGATGGGATTACTCTTTTGAAACCCCAGCCAGACCCAGCCGAGGGCCTGCACGAAGGCTGATCCCTTTCCAGCCTGGCTAGCTCACACTGGGGTCTAGGCAGGGGAGTCTGACGTGCCGCCTTGTTTTGATGGTCACAGGGTGGCATGTGAGTTGGCTTTTTCTGTGCTTTGTAGGAGATGTGAGGGCCTTGACTTGGGGGAATATGGGAAGATACAGGATGAACTATTAATGACTGGATGCAACAGTTCTTTTAACTTACAATTAAAGTTATTTATTTGTTTATTTATTTATTTATTTATTTATTTTTAGAAGTGGGCGTCTCCCTCTATTGCCCAGGCTGGAATGCAGTGGCGCGATCATGGCTCACTGCAGCCTCAGACCCCTGTGCTCAAGTGATCCTCCCACCTCAACCTCCGGAATAACTGAGACTACAGGCACATGCCACTACACCCGGCTAATTTTTAAAATTTTTTGTAGGGATGGGGGTCTCACTATGTTGCCTGGGGTGGTCTTGAACTTCTGGCCTCAAGAGACCCTACGGCCAAATAGATGAATGAGTAAGATCTTCAATAACCACTATCAGCAATCAAGATTACTGAAGAGTCTCTGTCATGTTCTTCTTACCACCATCCTTCTGAAATATATATCGGGTTATCTCAGTCTATTTAGTATTGCTCTGAAGGGAGGCCTGAGACTGGGTAATTTAGATAGAGAAACATGTTTATTTGGCTTACAATGCTGGTGTCTGAAAAAGTCCAAGTTTGGGCATCTGCATCGGTGAGGGTCTCAGGTTGCTTCCACTCTTGGTGGAAGTTGGAGGGGAGCCAGCGGGTGCAGAAATCACATGGAGAGGGAAGAAAAGAGAGAGAGGAAGCGCCAGGCTCTTTTAAACAACCAGTTCTTGCAGGAACTAATAGAGAACTCACTCACAACCCCCTACAGGGAGGTTATGAATCTGTTCATGAGGGATCTGCCCCAGGACTCAGCACCTCCCGTTAGACCCCACGTCCAACATTGGAGATCAAATTTCAACTTGAGGCTTGGACAAACATCCAGACTATATCAAGTCTTTGTATTTAGCTAACACTTTGCTTCCAGAGGCTAAGCCTTTCTCAAGATCGCCAAACAGCTTACTTTAGGAGAGGTTTTCTTGAATTTTAGCATGAGTTTTCCCCTGAGAATGAACCCTCTGCTGTAGCTAGCGGTCCTTTCTTCTTTCCTCTTCTCACATTATCTTTCTCTCTCGCCCTCTTTGGCCTTCTCTTGATTTCCAGCTGCTCTTTGTCTCAACCCATTATTCCATGAGTGGGGAGACATTTCCGCTTATTAAAATCCCTCCCCCAGAGTTCCCCTAATCCAGAGGAATTATCCAGCTGAGCCAGCCGCCCTGTCTGGGTGCTCAGCCCTCAAAGGGGTCTGTGCATTTTCTGAGCCTGCTCACCTTCCTAAGTAAAGCTATGAACTGGAAATCCTAACCCCAACAGCTAAAGTCTGGAGAGGAATTTATTTCCCACAGTTGGTCTTTCCTGGCCATTTATCAGGTCATTCCAAGTCTTGCTTTAGCAAACTGAACCCTCGTGATTTTTTTTTTACTAAGATGCCACCACCACGTCAATGTTTATATTTCCTCTGTGTCCTTCTGGGAGGTGGCAGGAGATAGCATTAGCTCCATTTCAAATCAGAAAGAAACTGGAGGACATCAAAGTCCCCACATCATGTGGTTTATACAACTCAGAGGCTAAGGAAAGACCTAAATTTTAAGTGTTCTATTCAAAGCATCATCTTAAATCAGTAGGCTTCACTGTGTTATTTGAACCAATCTAAGCTTTTCCATTGCCCATAAGAGGGCTCTTTCCTCATATCTGTACTGGGATTTTCAGCATAGACCCATAAACATGGAGAAGGTCCCCACCACCACCTTTTGCTTTCCTGGTGTTCTTCCAAGCCTGGCTGAAGGCAGAGGCTCCTTTGGCGGCCCGTTTTCAGCACACAGGGGCCTGGGAATAAGAAAATGTCCTGTTGCTCTACAGAGGACGCAAACAGTGGATCAGGATCCCCATAGCCTTGCTCCGGTGACTCACCCTTCCTGGTCTGTGGGCGCCTCTGAGTAAGCTTTGTCTTGCTGCTCTGCAGAAGTCTCTGAGAAGGTATGACTTGCTGAGTTCCTAGGAAAACTGCCTACCCTTAGAAAGTGGATGTGAGAAGGAAAGCAGCAAGCCGGGAGCAGTCACGCACTGGTGTCCCCAGTGCCCCTGCGGCCCAGGGCGGAGGTGACTGCTGAAGTCAGCCTCCTGGAATGCCTCCAGGTAACCCTCCCTCCCTATCAAGGTCAATGAGTCAGAGGATAGGAGAGAAGCCGTGAGTAAAACTGCACACCAGGTGAAAGAAAGGGAGGAAAGCCGCATGGACCCTCCACTCCCAGCAGAGAACAGGGGGTGAGTCACTCAGCTCCGCTCCAGGGCACAGGGCAGGACTCTCGGCTCAAGGCTTCATCCAGCGAGTCCAGCATATTCTCCTCTTCAAACAAATGGAAACTTTCTGCTGCTCCATGATGGGATCACTCTTTCTGGGCTCCTTGGGAGCAAGTGAGAGGAAGCCCTTACCTGCACCAGCAGCCTCCATAAGGAAGGGAGCATCCGATCAGAGGTGAACAACGGGAGGCAGTGTCTCGCCCCGGCACATGGGGTCAATCTACAAATATTGATTCAGAGACATGAAAAATGGGAGTTTTGCACGGGAAGCACTTTCCAGAGATCTCACTCTCCAGTCTTTGCAGAGTCACATTTTCTCAACAGAATGGGTTAGAACTAAAAAAAAAAGGTGCTTGCTCAGAAATGGCACTGATGGCTCAGCACTTCCATTTATTTTATTTTATTCCATTTTGTTTTCTTTGATCTCACCTTTCCTTTGAGGTACGTCCAAAGAGAAGACTGGCAGCTGAGAGAAGATGATGGTGACCCTGATGGTGGAATATGGTTTGTGACCCAAAAACCAGTAGTTTCCACACAGGTGGCACAGCCCTTCCTAAGTGGGCTCCAGGGCCATGGACCTGAGGCCACAGGCCAAGGTGAGGCTGTGGGGGTCCCACACTGCAGCTGAACAGTGAGGCTGCCTGGAGCCCTGGCATGGTGCCCAGGGTTCTAAAGCCACTGCTGTGAACAGGGTAGATCATCCAGGAGAGCGCCCAGAGGTGGGGAAACAGGCCTGCAGCAGGCGGGGACATCAGCTGGCCTTGCTGTCCTTTGATTCTCACAGTTACTGCTTTTTGTTCAAATGTTACCTTATTTTTAATTTTATTTTTTTAGGGACAGGATCTCTCCTTGTCGCCCAGGCTGGAGTGTAGTGGCACAATCTTGGTTCACTGCAGCCTTGAACTCCCAGGCTCAAGAGATCCCTCCATCTTGGCCTCCCAAGTGGCTACAACTACAGGCATGTGCCACCACAAGTGGTTAAGTTTTTTTTTATTATTATGAATTTTGGTAGAGTTAAGGTCTCGCTATGTTGCCCAGGCTGGTCTCAAACTCCTGCGCTTGAGCAATCCTCCTGCCTTGGCCTCCCAAAGTGCTGGGATAACAGGCATGATCTACTGTGCCAGGCGTGTTTTTACATACTTGGGTCCACACTATACTCAGCACTCCTCATTCTACTGGGAGATGCCAATTGCACAGTCAGGAAGGGGTGAGTAGAGAGTGGTGGACTTGGCCTCAGCCATGGTCAAGCCGTGGGGGGTTAGGTGGAGGAGGGCGCCAGCCAGGCAGAAATAGGTTCTCAGTGTAAGGCCCAGTCAAGTGTCTCATTCACAGGAGGAAAGCCATTGAATTCCGCCTTCCCATTGCCTCCTCCCACTGTCGCCTCTTAACAACGTGGAGCGATCTCACTACGCTGGACTTCACCGGCATCCCATTGCCCTTTCTTTTCACATTGGCAATCTCTCCTCTTGCCAAGTATCTCTTTATCTTTCTTCTTCTTTCATTGAATCCAGCATGTAATTACCGCTGAGCAAGTACCATGTGCCAAACCCTTTATTAGGACAGGGGTGCGAAGTCCCAGCCTGCATGGGCTCCCAATGGCATTAGGGAAATGTCACCGCATCATCAGAAGAGTCCAAGGTAAGTTCCGGGCTCGTGATGAGAGGGGAGCACAGAAGGCCAAGGAATAGGGACTAGACGGGGACACGGGGAATGAGGGGATACTTCTTAGGGGATGGTTAAGCCCATGCTTTGAGCTGAGTCCTGAAAGGTGGAGTATGGTTTCCAAAAGAGACAAGTGACGCTCAATCCAAGAAGAAGAAACAACCGCACAAAGGCTCAGAATTTGAGAAGCACGCGGCGTTTGGAGAGCCATGGCAGCTGAGGGTGCCCAGAGCACGCTGAAGCCCAGTCTGCAGGGTGAGCTCGGGGCAGAGCTGTCCTTCCCTTTCTGGACCCTCCACGGGGTCGTGCAAGCCTCATGCAGTCCGTGAATCTGGAGGAGGCTGTGGGGAGCATCGAGAACTCTCTTCTCAGCCCCCTCCTCTTCTTCTTTCCCAGGATCATTTATTTCTACATCCTCTCACCTGGATCCTGACTCACTCCTGCTTGTCCTTGATTTGACCCTGAAGCACCACCCACCCTCCCATTTTCCCAGAGAAGGGAGGAAAAACTGAATGAGATCAGCAGCTACGCGAACGGAGAAACCAACCATGTCAGGAATCCTAGCAAAAGTGCTCAACAAAAGCAGGAAGGATGCAAAAAAAAAAAAAAAAAAAAAAAAAAAAAAAAAGAAAAGAAAAAAAGAAAAAAAAAATCCTCACACAGGAAGTAGGGAGGCAAAAAGTAGAAAGAGAAAAACAAATTTAGGTCACCTGTGGAAACTACTAAGTTGTCTAATGAAACCCAGGATATGAGAGCATGAGTTAGAAAAAGCCGGGAAAATAATAATAGCTAATAGTTACGTAGTAGTCACTATATAAATATATTTCTAAGCATAAAACATTTGTTAACTCATTTAAGCCTCACAGAAGTCCTATGAGTTGAATACTATTATTATCCCCGCTTTCCAGATGGGGAGACTGAGACACAGAGGAGAGAACCTATAGCTATATGCAATGGGTTAGAATCAGTAATCTGGCTGGGCGTGGTGGTTTACGCCTGTAATCCCAGCACTTTGGGAGGTCAAGGCCAGAGGATCACCTGAGCCCAAGAGTTGGAGACCAGCCTAGGTAACAGGCAGATCCTGTCTATACAAAAAATAATTTTAAAAAGCTGGGCACAGTGGCTCGTGCCTGTAATTCCAGCACTTTGGGAGGCCAAGGCAGGCGGATCACTTAAGGTCGAGAGTTCGAGATCAGCGTGACCAACATGGAGAAATCCCGTCTCTACTAAAAACACAAAATTAGCTGGGCCCGGTGGCACATGCCTGGAATCCCAGCTTCTCGGGAGGCTGAGGCAGGAGAATCGCTTGAAACCGGAAGGCAGATGTTGCGGTGAGCCAAGATCGTGCCATTACACTCCAGCCTGGACAATAAGAGCGAGACTCTGCCTCCAAAATAATAATAAAATAAAATTTAAAAGTTAAAAAATTTAAAGAAATTAGTTGGTTGTGATGGTGCATGCCTTTAGTCTCAGCTACTTGGGAGGCTGAGGAGGGAGTATGACTTGAGTCTGGGAGATGGAGGCTGCAGTAAGCCATGATTATGCCACTGCACTACAGCTTAGGTAAAAGAGCAAGACTCCGTCTCAAAAATAACAATAAAAATAAAAAAGAATTAGTAATCTGCATCTAACACCAATTTACAATGAATAAGTATGTAAGGGGTTTGGGAATCTTCCCTCTCATTCTCTTCCTATATAACTTTCCTGCTCTTCTCACCAGCCAGCGTTGCATTAGCTAGAGTATGTTGACAGTGCTGTCTGAATACATCAACTCTGGGACCCAGACGTGGCTTTGGCAAACAGCAGTCTATTTCCACGAAAACCCAAGTGACTCCCGGGGAAGAAAAATACACACATAAGTAAAACTTGTCCCAAGGGGAAAGAGGAGCAGGCCGGCCCATGTCTTCCAAGACTGAAGAGTCAGTTATCCGGGAGAAGAATGGCTGTGTTTGTCTTTCAGATCTTTCCCTGGTCCAGCCTAGTGGACTCATGCCTGAATCTTATTTTAAATAGAGTAGGGGCTGGGTGCGGTGGTTCACACCTGTAATCCCAGCACTTTGGGAGGCTGAGGCAGGTGGATCACTTAACGTGAGGAGTTCGAGACCAGCCTGGGGAACATGGTGAAACCCCATCTCTACTAAAAATACAAAAATTAGCCAGGTGTGGTGGTGGGAGCCTATAATCCCAGCTACTCAGGAGGCTGAGGTGGCAGAATGAATCGCTTGAACCTGGGAGGTGGAAGTTGCAGTGAGCCGAGATCGTACCACCATACTCCAGCCTGGGCGATAGAGGGAGACTCTGTCTCAAAAAAAAAAAAAAAAAAAAAAAAAAAAGAGTAGAGGTAATCATATAATTAAAAGTGAAAATGCCTGTTTCTCAAAACCTTTGGGTATAAGCTTTATACCCAAACTTCTGGACCAGTTTAATGGAGTACAGCCCTCAAAGGGAGGCAAGAATTCTCTCCCACTTTTCCAAGGAATATTATGCAGTTCAGCATCTCCTCCCCAACCCTGAGGTTCCAGTACCTCAGCATCTGCTGTATGGGCTCTAGGGTGTCTGCAGTGAAAGCAGCTAATTGGAGGCAGTGATGTCAAGCAGGGCCAGAGAGGGTGGCAGGGGCTGCAGCACCAGCAGCCAGGCGATGCTCAGCCTGAGCATGGCCAATGCACCCTGTGTAGCATCCAGGAGAGGCAGCACATCCCTACCAGAGCCATGGTACAAAATACAAGCCACCTGGGTATCTGGAAGCGAGGGTGGGGCTTGGTAATAATTACTAAAGCATGCAGCACAGCAACAGCCAAAGAGAAGAAAGGGAAAAAAGTGAAATATGTAATCTTATTCACAAATAAATATAAGAACAAATTCCACTGAATCCCTGAAAACAAAATGTGGGGCGAGGGCAGTAAACGCAACTGACTACTGTAAATGCAACCTCACCTTAAAAGATTACCAACTAGCTAAGCATGGTGGCCCACGCCTGTAATTCAAGCACTTGGAGGCTGAGGTGGGTGGATCATTTGAGGTCAGGAGTACGAGACCAGCCTGGTCAACATGGTGAAACCCCTGTCTCTACTAAAAATACAAAAGTTAGCCAGGTGTGCTGGTGTACATCTGTAATCCCAGCTACTCAGGAGGCTGAGACAGATGAATCGCCGGAATCCGGGAGGCAGAGTTTGCAGTGAGCTGAGATTTGACTATTGCACTCCAGTCTGGGTGACAGAGTGAGATCCCATTTCAAAAAAAAAAAAACAAAAATTACCAACTACTAGCCTTATGGAGCAATATTTAAGTTGTTTTTATTTTGACTTAGACTTTAGGGCTAAATCTATGTTTTAATGAAGAAAAAATGTGTTCATAAATAATTATTTTCCTCAGAAGAAAAACATATTTTCTTTTATCACGTTGCCAGCCCAAAGGAGAGCTCATGTTTAAAAAATCACAGTGTTAGTTTATGACCAGCCTGGGCAACACAGCAAGATCCTGGCTCTACCAGAAAAAAAATTTTTTTTTAATTAGCCAAATGCAGTGGCACATGCCTGTAGCCCCCACTACTCCTCAGGAAGCTGAGGTGGAAGGATCACTTGAACCCAGGAGTCCAAGGCTGCAGTGAGCTATGATCATGCTACTGCACTCCAGCCTGGAAGACAAAGCGAAAACAACAATAACAACGACAACAGCAACAAAAAGCAAAAATCACAGCGTGTCTTAGGACTCATGTTCACTTTCATTTTTTTAAAGCTTTGCTAATTACTGATTAATCTTTTCTATTCCCTGTTGCTTAAACAATATTAGAATGTTTCTGTGCACAAAATCCAAGACTCAAAAACACAAAATAAAATTTGATGGCTTTTAAGTAAAAATTTGTTACTCAACTTATTTTTACCGCGATTTAGATTCATTGTGATGTTGGAGGTATGACCTTATCTATTCATCTGAATGACATTTTGTTTCAACAAAAGGGCAGTGCTCTCAATGTCAAATAATAAGATAGAAATCTTTAATCCCTTTAGTCCTTCTGTATACCTAGGTCATTTTATTTTAGAGTGTATGTGTACAGAGAGTATACTCAACTAACCCTCATAGTGATTACACTGGTTGTACCTAATGCAACAAATACTATTCAACTTTAACAAAATAAGAATTTTATACTGTCTGGCTTATTCTTAATTCTTCCCTAAGGGCCTATTTGGTTTAGCATCAAATACAAGATTAAGAGACTCTAAACGTTAGCTGAACAGCCACTCAAGGGATTTAGACATGATCTCTTTACACAAAAGAGTTAGCATACATCTGATATCCCCTGCACAGAGAACACATGTTTATACATATAATAAATCTCCTTTTCCTACCGATGATTATTTATTTGAAAGCAAAATGAAAAACAACCTTATCGTATCCTCAAAAAAAATCTACGCCGGTAGTGAAAAATTTGGGGCAAGGTAAATGTCTATTAATTTACACTGAACAAAGCAAAAAAAGTAGATGAAGATTGTAGGAACTATATACTCTATTAAAATATGTGTGTATATCTACATGTGTTTATGTGTGTATTTATGAGCGTATTTGCATGTACCTTAAATTTGGATGACGCAAATGAAATGGGTAAGCATGGAAGAAATCCTTAGGAGGCTAACTGACTTGTCAAACCTAGCAATAGCCTCAATAGGAATTCAAACGTTGATCTTCTAAGACCAATTCCAGTGCCTATTGCGTTACCCTGTGCTGTAACCCAAACTGCAATAGAAACTTGTAGGGCAGAGAAGAAAAAAATGCAGGGTAATATTTCTCAGTCCTACCAGGTGGCTAATGATTCAGTCTTTTTGCACGTGTAGTGAACCACAATATGCATTGTCTTCATATATTTACATTTAATAAAGTCATTTTAACGGTCTTAAAGAGATAGCAAGGGCAGACAAACAGGAAACGAGAGTCAGATGCTAACAGAGATAAAGGGAACCTCTCTCTCTCTCTGTCTCTTTCTGTGGAGTAGCTTTTCTCCAAAGAGTTCCAAAATTCCAAAATCTTACCCTATGAAGATAAAAACTGGAGAATCAGGCTTAGAAATAGGCAAGGGAAAGGAGGAATGCAACGGGGAAGGTCCAGGAAGGCAGAGAATGTGAGGCAACAGCGTGCAACTTAGCCAGACCTGGCTGAGTTGGAAAGTGTTCAAGTCACTGTGACCGTGCCCTAGCAGAGCAAGCTCACTCTCCTAGTTTATTTGCATATGAGAGGAAATGTATTTTTTAAACATTTAACTATTGTTTTTGCTGGGTAAATGCAACTATTTGTATACATAAACACATTTAAACCATGCTGGTGTGATAGTTATGTTTTCTAGAATTCATTATTTCCATGTGTATAGTGCTTGGGTGCACATCGAATTGTCTGGTGGAGGGAGAGCACAGGAGTAGTATACCAATCCTTCATTTCCAGAGGAGGGAATGGATGTGGATAACACACACGGTTTGCATATCTATAGCTTACGTAAAGTTATATTCTTAAATGTGAGGGAGTTATTAAGCATTCAAAAATTATTTAGACTTTCTTGGCTTTCTTTGCTTCTTCAGAGCTCTAAGTTTTCTACAAATGGAATTAATGTAGTAGGCTTTGTTGCAACTTCATTTCCTCACCAATGCATCAGCTCTTCCTCTCAGCTGGCCTCTGGCCCTGGTAGGAAATGCTAATCCTATGGCAACAGCAACCAAATAAAAGATGAGGTGATGTGGGGGAATGAGTATTAGTCACGACTTGGTATACATCCTGTCAATGATCCCTCCTGATAAATAGTGTGTGACCGGAAACAGGGACATGATAAAACACCTGGACAATCCCACCTCCGTCGAGAAGGCAGGGCAGTTGAGTGATTGCATACCGGGCACCTTGCCACATGCATGCCACACAGGAGGGGCTGGTTCATTCATCAAAGACCCTGCCGCACACAGCCTCTGCTCCGTGAGAAAGTGCAGGTCTAAGAGGCTTTGATATTCAGGTCTGGGTCAATGAGCCAAGAGTATAAAGAGCCCAAAAGGAATGTCTTGTCGCAAGCCAAAGTATTAGCTAAGAGAGCAAGATGACAATTATGCAAGCAGAGAATACAGCATTGCTTACACTCGGGGTCAGGAGTTCGAGACCAGCCTGGCCAACATGGCAAAACCCCAACTCTACTAAAAATAAAAAAATTCACTGGACATGGTGGCGTGCACCTGTAGTCCTAGCTACTGGGGAGGCTGAGGCAGGAGAACCACTTGAACCCAGGAGGTGGAGGTTGCAGTGAGCCAAGATCGCACCACTGCACTCCAGCCTGGGTGACAGAGTGAGACTCCATCTCAAGAAACAAAAAAAAAAAAAAAAGAAGAAGAAAAATAGTCCTTTGTTCATTCTCATTTTCCAGTTTATAAATATCATGATCTAATCAATATACAATGAGTCTATTTTTCCATATCTCCAAATTTGTTAATGGAGAGTAAATAACTTAATTTTAGAATTCTGGCCAACCCAGAATTACAGGTATCCTGGTGGACCTCACATCTAGGTTCTCACCCAATGAAGGGACACCCACTCTAATTCCCTGGATCCAGTTACTCCCAGACTATCACCACTATTGTGGGCAAACCATGACCTAACCAGCATGTAATTCTACTTTCAAACAGCTCTAATGATTAAAAAGGACTTCTGTGATAGGATAGGCTGATTTTGAGTATTTCTAAAAGGTTGCATCTCCTTTGTCAGGTATCTATGTGCATGAAGTGATACGATTGGAAGGTTTGTTCTGATCAAAATGAGGAAGAGAAACGGGAGACAGAGAACAGAGGCTACATGGTTTCCTATCTAGCCCATTGGCGTGGTTGGAACCCCAGTGCAAATAAGGATTAAGGGCCAGAAAATGAAGGACTCTGAGCGCAGGCACAGGCAGGCTGCCGTGGGACTCAGTAACAAACTGGCCAAGAGGGAGTCTTTCCCTGCAGCTGTTCCTGGAGCCCAGCTCTGCCCAACTCCGTTGAGGAAGGGCGGCTTTGGGAGAACTGGGTGAAAGCACCTTTCCACAGACATTGGGCCTTATTTGGGATTCTATCAGCTACAGCAAGAATGTGGCTCCTTCAAGTAGGCAGCTGACATGGAAAGAGGAGAGAGTGGGAAGTGAAGCATGTAGCTGATGTCTTGCGGGGAGAGACCGGGAAATGAAGCATGTAGCTGATGTCTTGGGGTTACTGATGTAGTCAAGCTTGTTTGGTAGCAAAGAGAACGTCTGGAAATTCCCAGAAATATTTTGGTCGGGAAGGAGAGCGACAGGAGCACTTTATGCAGGGAACTGCCTGTGTGGAGCAATGTGGGTAGAACAGGCTCCCTGAGTCACTGATGTTAAAGTATATCCAGGCTGGGGAAGAAGAGAAGCATTTGGGCTACTTCCTTTGCAACACAGGCTAATTAAATTATTCCTCACGTCTCCGGATGATGGGGATCAAATGTGTTACTAACTCCCCGAAAAGTTTTTCTTCCAAGCCACAAATTGTTTTTGTTAATAGAAATAAATTGTGACTTCTATTTTTTTCTATAAGACACTGTCTAGTCTTCAGCCAGATAAGCAGAGAGAGGCACTGCAGTAAAGGCAAAAGCTGTCACTTAAAGGAAGAGTGACCATAACATCCATCATCCAAACCAGGACAAGACTGAGAGTGAAAGAGGATGTTATTACTCATTATGCTGGGACAAGAGGCAATAATAGGGACTGTTCTGGGTAAATGAGAACATCCAATTACGTCACCTGAAGATTATGGGTGACAAGTAAAACTGAAATCAACTGGCCATACTTGTATTTATCCAACAACGCGGAATGCAGCCTGAATAGAGAGGGGCTGACCTGAAGCCAACCTCTGCCTGCTACAGGCAACCTTCCTAGCCAACAAGAATAACAAAGAAAGAAGAAAAAAATGCAGACTATTCCAGAAACCTCCAAGAGTAATGTAGATGTTTCTTTGAGGTTTTCTTGAAAGAGATTTAAATGAGTGCATTACACATACAGCCAAACACCCCAAAATTCTTCTTTTCTGCTCCCGCTTCCCAAAGTGTCCATTGCAACAGCCTGCCCTGTCCTCCCCACGCCTAAAGGCTTCCTTTTTCCCCACAGTTGTCTCTCTCGTTATTGTCCCCTCAGATCTGTCCTCTCCCCTTCTGCCAGCCTCTCCCCGCCATGTAAATATGTGTGATAGGGGAAAGATGGAGATTGTGAATATCATTGTGATAATGAATATGAATGCATTAACTTGTGCTGTGTGTTTGTCAAATTTTTTAGATTCTGGTTACAATAAAAATTAAAAGCTATGTTAGAGAGCTTGGCGATCCCAATTTGAGACACAGGGAGTGGGGGCTGAAATTCAGACGGAGGTACGAGAAGCAAGAAAGCTGGTAGCTATGAAACACAGTCCTGTGATGAGTGCTTTACTCACACAGTGTGAAAATGGCACTTCCTGTCTGGGTTTGACTGAGGTGTGAAGACAATAGATGCCATGTTTCTCTCCCATGGAAACATTTTTATTTGATTTTATTATTTTTTAGAGACAAGGTCTCACTCTCTCACCCAGGTTGGAGTGCAGTGGCACAATCATAGCTCACTGCAGCCTTGAACTCCTGGACTCAAACAATCCTTCTGCCTTAGCCTGCTGGCTGGGACTACAGGCATGCACCATCATGCCTAGTTATTTATTTATTTATTTATTTATTTATTTATTTATTTATTTATTGTTTTGTAGAGATGGGGCCTCCCTATGTTGCCCAGGCTGGTCACAAACTCCTGGTCGCAGATGATCTTCCTGCCCTGGCCTCTCAAAGTGCTGGGATTACAGGCATGAGCCACCACACCCGGCCACCTGGAAATTTGAAGCAAGTCAGAGATTCACCTACACCAAGGGTGAGAGGGATCGGGTTGTTGGAGACCGAAGAGGTTTGTGGAGATGATCTGGCAAAGGCTGCTGGAGTATAATGAGACCCACCATGCCTGCTCCTTACTTCGAGCAGAGAGAGGGGCCTTCAAAGGACCCCTCGGGAAATTCATGTCCCTGAATCTAGATGGACGCAGCTGACCTGGATTTGACTAATGCCTGTGGATCTGAGATTCCAAACTGGCCAGCTAACTTGATGGCAAACTAAAGTGAATTCCCAGGAGAAGGATCAGCCAGATGCCCAGAGTCTTTGGTCGGGGGGTCAAATAATTCATGACAGTTTCTTGTAGACCTGATGTAACGAGCCCATGATGAAGAGAAGGAATGGGGATGCATTCCAGAACTTGTTCAAGTAGCTGTTAGAAAAACACCAGGCTCCAGCGGGGGAGAAGCTGGAGCTGCTCTTTCTTTCCCAAAGGGGTAAGGGGAATTCAGCAACCACGAACTAGATTCCACATGCCCGAGCCAACGGACCTGGAATTCCGAGACTGGATGGATCAGGGGTTGGCAAACTGTGGCCCCTGGGCTGGGTGTTACTGTAACTGCAGATTTGTTGGAACCCAGCCACACCCATTCATTGGCGTTACAAGGGCAGAGTTGAGTAGCTGCAACAGAAGATGTGTGACCTGCAAAGCCTAAAATATTCAATATCTGACCTTTTACAGAGGACATTTGCTGACCCTCAGGATAGGTTCTCGGAAAACCCCTCAAAAGTACTGGGGCAGCTGTGACAGATTTGGCCTTAAAATAGTTTTCACACTCGGAGTGCATGAAACCATCTTAAAACATTACCATTCAAGTAGAAACTTTCCATCTCCTCCTACTTCTTGCTTTCCCTACATCAGCCAAATACGGTCAGAAACTTCTGTGGGAGGAGGAGCAAAGAGAGAAATGACCAGCCTTCTTTACCCACTGGAAGATTCCAGACCTCAGCAGACCCCAGTGCTGGGTGGATGAATGGGAGGAAGGACAGTGTGAGATTTTACTCTAAGTCTAATTTGAAACTTTGCTTATTCTATAGGCCTTGCCACTAATTACCACACTGAGAAGCATCTGATTTAAAGTAAATATATTTTTCATTCAGAGATCAGGAAACGACTTCCACCCCAGGAAAACATACAGGAATGGCGGAAGATGAAAAATAAACTTCGCTTTAAGATAACATCCCAAGACTCCTGCATGTTTTTTTGTTGTTGTTCTTGTTTTTGTTTTTGTTTTTTTGTTTTTGTTTTTGTAATGGAGTTTCACTCTTGTCTCCCAGGCTAGAGTGAAGTGGCACAATCTCGGCTCACTGCAACCTCCGCCCCCAGGTTCAAGCGATTCTCCTGCCTCCGCCTCTTAAGTAGCTGGGATTACAGACGCCTGCCACCACGCCCGGCTAATTTTTTTTTTTTTTTTTTTTTTTTTTTTAGTAAAGATGGGGTTTCACCATGTTGGCCAGGCTGGTTTTTAACTCCTGACCTCATGTGATCCACCCGCCTCGGCTTCCCAAAGTGCTAATATTACAGGTGTCAGCCACCGCGCCCGGCCAAAGATCATCTCTTCTGGAGCTCGATTTTCTCATCTGCAATGTGAGTGTTGGGCCAGCACTAAATGATTCCTATCAGCGCTGATATTCTGTGATTCTGAAGCTCAGCGTCTGTCCTTCAAGATGGTTCATGTGTCTGTGACTCTTGCAGTTCTGCATGCCATTACTGCTGTAGCCTGTGTGTAGCTTGTACCCAAACATTGGAGAAATGATCCACCTAGGGGCCCCCACTGTCACCTTCAAGATAGTCCTTCAGTGCTTAGTTAGGAAGCTGCTCTCATTTGCATAGAGCACAAACAGCTGAGACAGGCCTTGAGCGGGAGCTTCTATGTTGATTTGGCCAGGAGTTAGGCTGTGTTTACTGTTTGCTATAGCTGTGGTGTCAGCGGCTAACATTCCCTCAGTGTCCTTGTTTTTGTCTCCCCTGTGGTCTTCTAGTTTGTCTAGAGACTCCTTAAATGGGGTCTGAGGCTTGCAATTCTTTCAGCTATATTCCCCTGCTATTATATAAAACCTCTATTGATGTGGTGGTGAGGTGTTGAGGGGAGAAGAGGCATTTATACTCCTAAGATTAGGTCTCAGTCCTTTAGTGAGCTTCACTTAGGTAT
The DNA here is from genome assembly GCF_000001405.40 of Homo sapiens. NCBI lineage: Eukaryota > Metazoa > Chordata > Mammalia > Primates > Hominidae > Homo > Homo sapiens. The sequence goes on from NW_018654717.1 coordinate 5,064,479, forward strand.
TTTCCTTCTCCTTGATTGGTTAGACTCTGGTAAAATGTTTCTCTTGAGGGAAGGCCTTTTTAAAAAGAACAGAAGGAGCCAGGTGCAGTGGTTCACACCTGTAATCCCAGCACTTTGGGAGGCTGAGGCGGATGGATCACCTGAGTCAGGAGTTCGAGACCAGCCTGGCCAACATGGCGAACCCCTGTCTCTACTAAAAATACAAAAATTAGCTGGGCGTGGTGACGGGTGCCTGTAGTCCCAGCTACTCGGGAGGCTGAGGCAGGAGAATCTCTTGAACTTGGGAGGTGGAGGATCTGGGTATATTTCAAATGGTTTATATGCTTGTCCCGGCTGCAAGAAGCACAAGGGGATTTTTTCTTGATCTTCACATGACAACCTGTTAGGGGTCCTGGAGGTAAAACTCTTGAAAGTGTGCCCCTCCCAAGACTGGGCCCCCAGAAATATAACTCAGGCTGGTCCACTGAGCCTCCCAACAATTCATCGGTTACCAGTGCCAGCGTTCGGACGGATACTGGCTCCAGCCACAGGCTTCTTCTGCTCCTGGGCTTCTGTTCCAGGAAGCTGTGATTCTTTGTCTGCCTTTGTCTCCAGTTGTAGGGGTTGCAGTTGACCCTGTGACCTCAGTTCTCTGATGGAACTAAGAAAAGTTGATTTTCCCTTCGTTCAGTTTTTTTCCTTGTTGTAAAGACAGGATTAATAACTTTCTTTCTTTCCTTTTTTTTTTTTTTTTTTTTTTTTTTGAGACAGGGTCTCAATCTGTTGCCTAAGCTGGAGTGCAGATGGAGTACAATCTCAGCTCACTGCAACTTCTGCATCCCAGGCTCAAATGATCCCCCTGCCTCAGTCTCCCGAGTAGGTGTAACTACAGGTGCGTGTCACCACACCCAGCTAAGAAGCAATAACTTTCAAGCTCTTTACATGTCAGACCAGAAGCCAGAAATCCTCTCATGTATACAGAAATTGTCTTGTATATGAAATTGTATATAGTGTACAATATGTTTCAAACAAACTGGCAATTTCATCTATTCAGGCAAATAAGAATAATTCATAGAGTGCAGGGAAGTGGTGAAATTTGAGATTCAGAGCACATTTTCCAGGATACTCTGGAATTATTTTAAAAATGTAATATAAAATTCTATCTTGGAAATTCAGTTATGTAAAACCCTAAAGCAATTTTTAACTATGACAACCCAGCACTGTTTCGTACAGATTCTTCCTGCAAGTCCTTTAAATAATACGCGACACATATTTTATTTAAAAATAATAATTACTTCTAGCGCTTTATACTTTGCACAGATTTTCACATATATTTCCTCAAAGATGGGTAGAAATCTGTGTGCTTTGCAGGTATCTTTGTCTCAAGACCTTCGCAACTTCCTATGACAATAGGGACAGTATGGTGTGTGGACAACCTGGGAATGGGTGTTGCTATTCTCTGACAGGTATTTGTACAGAATATGCATTTGCAAACCAAAATTCATGTATAGAAGAAATGCAATGATTCCTATATTTTAACTTAAAGTAATTGTGATTTAGGATTCCTATTCTGTAAGGGACCAGCAGAAAATTCCATTTCTATCATCACAAAGGCCGCTGTCCTCTCTGAGATACAGAGAGCCCAGGAAGTCTATAGGGTACTCAAAAGGGAGAAGGATCCCCATGCGTTCTTCAACCCGGTAGAGCTGCCATGATTATGCAATTCTCTGAGCCTGTGGTCCCTGGAAGTGAGCTGTTCCTCATTCTCAGCCCAAGCAGAGTTACCTTTCTCCTTTGCCAAGGAGCCCAGGTGTCTAGCTATACATGGCAAAGTCCCCCTTAGAAGTGCTATGAAAGATTGGGGTATGGATCTCCAGTGCACCTAGACTGCATGATCTCCCTACAGAAAAAAAGAAAGAAAGAGAGAGAGAGAGAAACAGTAACAACAAAAAGTCTTTCCTTCCTTCCTCCCTTCCTCCCTCCCTCCCTTTCTTCCTTCGTTCCTTCCTTCCTCCCTCCCTCCCTCCCTCCCTCCCTCTCTCTCTCTTTCTTTCTTTTTTTCCTTTCCTTTTCTTTTCTTTTTCTTTTTTCTCCCTATGGGCACAGAGCGTATTGTCCTCAGTGAGCTCCAATTTTTGAAAAAGAGAGGTAGCAATATTGTCCATTATTTTATGCTTTCTGCACTGCTAAAAGTGCCAGAGGCAAGGGATCGGCATCCATTATTGCTGAAAGCTCGGGGAGAAAGAGAAAGAAGAAATACATTTTAATGTTTCAGTGAATTATCCTGGCACACATTCAACACATCAGTTAAGAAATCAAAACTTGGCCAGAATAATTACATAATTTGATTTAATTCCTGAACAGTCTTTCCCTAATTTCCTAGATTTGAATATTAATTATAGAAGGCATGTGATGAAATGATGGAATGCAAATAAATCTGCAGAATAATATTCAATAAAACTTGAAGAAAAATTATAAATTTCTTCTGAATAAAGTCATCCAAAGACAAACACATTAGAACATGTGATTCAAGAAAGTGGAGAAAAGATAACAAATATTTCCTTGAAATTAAGACAGAGCAGTACACATAGAATTATATTTTTAAAAACAGATGGCACCATTAGCTTGATAAAAAGAAGACTCTGTTGTAGCTTTAGACAGAAAGTGACTGAAAATTAGAACATTGTGAAGAAACAGTAAGAAAATTCAGAGTAAGGAACAAAGCCTTAAATGTAAGTCAATTACATTATTAAAGAAATTGTCGCTATTTTGCTTTAATTGCCATTGAGTGTGGGTCTATAGGAATTGAGAGACGTTTCTTGAATCCAATATGTAGCACACCTAGACAGAAGATTCTTTTCATTACTTAAAGTGCACATCAAATGATCTTACATTGAGTGAAATTTTAGTTATCTAATACCTATCACAATCAATCATCAATGATCAATAACCAAGTACACTACAAGACTTAAAGATTTCTATGTTTTAGTTTACTGACATGTACTTATGTTTTCTTTCATGCCTTTATTTCTGTGTTTTGCACCATTCATTAGTTAATATTATAAAATTTTTCTGTACTCCAGAAATGCACTGAAGCATGTTATTCTAATTTTACATGCCTGCTGGAGAACAGTCTCTGAATTCTTATTGCAAGATATGAGAAAAATCAATCTATCTTAGAAAACTTTCAGGGTATCAGAATAAGACAGAGGAGGATGAGGCAGCCCAGCTAAGGCAGTGAGATGACTCACATGTTAATTAAGGTAAGGCACTGTAAAGGGCTATGAATATTTCCTTGAGCAAATCAACAAGTTTTGTGCACGTACGTACACACACACACACACGACCAGTTCAATTTCTAGTAATATGGCAGATAAGATATTCAAATAAACTTTTGAAAGTATATCTCAGTTAAAAATGATAAATGTATATTTACATGAATATATGTGGTGGATAGATAGATGGATAGATGGATAGATAGATAGATAGATAGATAGATGGATGTATATTACATGACTTGGCATGTGAGAAGTAAGGGATTTAGTGTTCAGAAATGACAAGAAATATTGAATCCAAGAGGCAACACTTGTGCTGGAATTTTCCCTGGAGATATCTGGGTGGCCTGGTAACCTAGAGCCTTAGTCACAACAAGCCACACATGGGGACCAAGAGATGAAGCCTTAAGTCTGAACATCATGAGAGGTCACCTATGAGACCCACTGCATAAAGCTGTACCTCCGTAGGTGACATTCACAGTTTGAACTAAGAAAGAACTTGCCTTGAAGAGGAAAACAATGATCATACATGCTTGTGTTGGTTTTGGTTGTGGTGAGACTAGAAGAAGGTAGGAGAAAACTCTCCTGTGAAAATTTCTAACCACAAGATCATACTAACAAGTCTGCAAGGCCAGAACTTCTACTGTCTGTATGTTCTGGAAGACAATAAGTTTAAACTTCTAGTAGTCCTGAACTGGTAGTGCCCATAAGGTGATAGTGTTCCCAGACCAATGGAAGAAGACTCACCATTTAAACCAGATCTCCTGCCCACAAATGAGGAAGGAGCACATCAGCGTTAAGCATGAGACTCAGCAGAAACAAGAAACTGCAGATTCAGATAGACAAAAACAATAGGTGTTGGAATCGCTAAAAATACAAAATAAACAAGTGTAGTATATTTAAAGGAAAAAGACAAAGTGAAAGAATGACCAACTAATAAGAGATTATGAAAATTGGCCAGATCAACTTGAAAAAGAACCGAGTGAATATCTAAAGATGAAAAACTGGAAATTGGAAACTCAGTAATAACTGGATACATCACAAATTACTGAAAAACAGAGCTGGTGAAATTACTCAGACCATTGCACAGACAAATGTGGAAATGGAAAATCTGAGCAGTTAAGCTACATGGAGAGGAGAGTAAAATCAGTCAACATTAAAGCACGTCTAATGCTTCCTAAAGAAGAGAACAGAGAAAAAGGAGAAAAGGTAGGCGTTTGAAAGATAATGATGATCGAGCACTTTCTTGGACGGCTGGAAAAACCATATCTTAGATTCCGGAAGCCCAAGCAATCCAAAGTAGAGTAAATTAAAAGAAATTCAACACCAAGACATATAATAAAACTGCAGAACGCCAAAGGTTATTAAAAAAAAAAAAACCTTAAAGGTATCCAGAGGGAAAGGATAAATTGCTTAACACTTGGTTAACTATATAATTTATTGGCCAAATTTATTGACCAAACCAGGATACAAGGTTACTCTTTTTTTTTTTTTTTTTTTTTTTTTTACGGAGTCTGTCGCCCAGGCTGGAGTGCAGTGGCGCAATCTCTGCTCACTGCAACCTCCGCATCCCAGGTCCAAGTGATTCTCTTGTCTCAGCCTCCCTAATAGCTGGCACTACAGGCATGTGCCACCATGCCCAGCTAGTTTTTTTGTATTTGTAGTGGAGACAGGGTTTCACCATGTTGGCCAGAATGGTCTGGAACCCCTGACCTCGCATGATCTGCCCACATTGGCCTCCCAAAGTGCTAGGATTACAGGCATGAACCACCTCACCCGGCCAAACCAGGATACTCTTGAGAATGAAAGGGGTGCTAACCAAACAGGTGAAGAGTATCACAGAAATAAATAGGAATTATGGAAGGCAAATTAGGGCATATGTCAAAATCTATAAAAAAAATAACAATTCCATTGACAGGAAGGACAATGAAGGTCAGGAAGACAATGCATAACATCTTCAAAGCACTGAAAATATATTCAGCTAGAACTGCATGTAACCAAACTCTCTTTTAGTAACAAGGGACAAAGAAAAACACATTTAGATAAGCAAAAACTGAGAAGTCGTGACGAACAGACTCCCTCCAAAGTAATTTCTTTATAAGAGAACAAAAGAATCTCAGAAAGAGTCTAAGAGGCATGAATGTGAATAAACAAAATTTATATGACTGATAAGGTTATGATAAAAATGTTCAATGTATAAGACCACAAAAATTAAGATATGTACATAAATTTCTATACAAAAAATAGCATAAATGTCAGGAGGAGAAGAAAATGGGAGAAAGGCCAACTGAGGCTCTTAGATTTTGGGGAGGAGGGTAAAGCTGTTGATTAACTTTACATCTTGTTAAATTAAACATGCATGTTATATTTTCTGGGTCATTACTAAAAACAGAAATAATTTATCATTTAGAAAATACTAAGGAATGGAACAAAAACTTAATCCAAAGGAGAGAAAGAAAGGAGTAAAAGGGGAGATAAACTTGGGAGAAAATTAGAAAATACAAAATAATAATAATCACATTAAGTATAAATGGACTAATATCTGCAGTTCAAAGATAAAGACTGTCAGACTAGATTTTTTTTTTGAAATCTAGTTATATTCTGTTTAGAAGAAGTAAACTTAACACTTTAGAACACAGTAAGGTTTAATTGGAAAAGATATATTTACATAGATGAAAGTAGGAGAATTATTTTAATAATAGAAAAAATAAACATCAGAAATAAAAACATTAATGACAATGAAGAAGATTATTACATGTTCATAAAAGTTTCACCTCAACAGAAAGATGTATCCATTCTAAATTTATACAAATTCAATAAAATAGCTTCAAAATATATAAAGGTTAATTTGGAAGAATATAGGAAGAATTTTACATACCAATCGTGATAGTGGGGGATTCCAATGTACCTCTTTAGCAATTGATAGATCAAGCAGGCAAGACAACATAAGCTGGATTTAAAGGTCATTACATATAAATATTACATTTTGGGCCACAAAGCAAATGTCAATGAATATTTGAAAAACCTTTTTCTTATAGACAACAATCTCTGGCCATAGCACAATTAAATTAGACACCAATAGCAAAATGTTCATTCTACACACTCAAAAATTGAAGTTTTAAAAATTAAAAATAAGCTGAATCATCCATGGGTCAAAAGAAGTTCTAACTTCTCTTTTTTTTTTTTTTTTTTTTTTTGAGACAGAGTCTCACTTATCACCGATGCTGGAGTGTAGTGGCACGATCTCGGCCCACTGCAACCTCTGCCTCCTTGATTCAAGCGATTCTGCTGCCTCAGCCTTCCAAGTAGCTGAGATTACAGGCATGCGCCACCATCCCCGGCTAATTTTTGTATTTTTAGTAGAGATGGGGTTTCACTGTGTTGGCCAGTCTGGTCTCGATCTCCTGACCTCAGGTGATCTGCCTGCCTCAGCCTCCCAAAGTGCTAGGATTACAGGCGTGAGCCGCGTGCCCGGCCTAGAAGTTCTAACTTCTTAGAAAATATTTGGAATTACAAAGTAAGGAAAATGCTGTACCTGAATGCTTGGGTATTGCAATAAAAGCTGTACTTAGCTAAACAACAAAAACAACAAACAAACAAACGACTCATAGCCTTAAATTTTAAATCTGTTTGGGTTTAAAATGTACCCAAATAATACAGAAGAAAGAAAACGTTAAATAAATATACCTCTCTTATTACTTTATGGCTGCTATTTAACATTGTTATTCCTCTGTTTCCCTTCTTATTTTTTTCGGTCTTCTTGTGTTGCTATATATTTTATCTTTATCTTGTTAATTTAGGAGTTCTATCATAATATTCCATTCAATTAATGACCTGGCTTTCTCCTGCTCTCTAGATCAGACCAAATGACGCTATTGTCCTATTATTTCGATGGTATCACTCCCTCTGAGCTCTACTTTCTCCTCTACTGATTTCTTCTTGATTCCTTCATATTTTGCTCACCATCTAATGGAATGAAATCTTTAGAATTCTTCATTTTCCCCTTTTCTGCCTTCTCTCATATCCCTCAGTCCTTAATTAAACTTTGAGATGATTTTACTTCCTGTTGCATTCTTAATTCCAACGTATTGCTAAAATAGTTTAATACATATACATCAGATTTTCACTTACCATCTTTTTGTTCTCAGGGTCCGCATTAGGGACTTACGTAACACATTGTATCTTTATCCGTGAACATTTAATGACATATTTATACAGCCAAGACGTTGTTCATCTCCCATTCTTTCCGGCTTACCTTCCCCCATCCGATGCTTCTGATCCAGTTCATTTGGTCCTTGGAAAGCTCCTTTTCTGAAGTATTTACCTCGGGTGGGGTACTCAATGATTTATTCTCTGCATTAATGCGTGTTCTCAAATATCTCTGTGTGTTTCATGTTGCTATAACAGAATACCCGAGGCTGGGTAATTTATAAAAAGGTTTATTTAGCTCACAATTCTACAGACTTGGAAATTCAAGGGCATGACCCTGGCTCCTGGTGAGGGCTTTTGTGCTGTGCACATTATGGTGGAGAAGGTAAAAGGGGAAGCAGATACATGAGAAGAGGCAAACCTGAGGGGCATTCTGTCTTTATAGCAATCCACTCTTCAGGAATTAATCCATTCCTATAACTAATCCAGTGTCACTGGAGCAAGAACTCACTCACTACCTAGATAATGGCACCAAGCCATTCATGAGGGATCCACACCCATGATTCAAACGCCTCCCGCTAGCCCGCACCTCCCAACATCACCACTTTGAAAACCAAATTTCAACTTGCATTTTGGTGGGCACAAACCATACGCAAATCATAGACCTTTCTCTCACCTTAATAGATAAACAACTGCCTAGTATAGAATTCCTGGGATTTTCTCTCAGTTGCATGAATTTAAAAATTCACTGTCTTCTAGTTTTCTGAGTTGCAGGCAAGAAGTCCCATGACAGTTTTATTTTTTTTTCTTCCAAAAAAGAAAAAAACCTGGAAATTTATTTTACCAAGATATGCCCACCTGCCTGTTTTTCTTAAGAATTCAGCTAAGAATTCTGAGCTTTTCTTCTTTGAAGACAGGCTTAGGAAAACTTTCTCCTACATTGTATAAAATTATTTCTTCTACTCCATGTGTTCTTTCTTCCTCTTTTACAACGTCTGTTATTCAAATGATAGGCATCCTGCTTCTATTTTCCGAATCTCTCACCTTTTCCATTATGATTTCTCCCTCTGTATTTTGCTCTGGGATTTGTGATGCTGTTTGTACTTGACCTTCCAGGCTACTCATTCCATTCTCATCAATCACCATCCATTTTCTTAATTCCTCTACTGAAATAGTAAGGTTTTCAAAAGCTCTAGGAAGTCTTTTTCTTTTACTTGCTGTTCTGTTGTTTTGTTCTTAAGGGTTTTTTTAACTTTTTATTTAGGAACTTATTTGCACCACCAGGTCTGTGCCGCTGCTTGTGTTATCTGATGGTTGTATCGATTTGTCCTCTCTTTGGCTTCCGAACAAAGTTAAATATACTATTATTTTTCTCTGATGGCCTATTTGAGCTCAGGCTTATTTTTTTGTGTACTACTCTAAAGATCAGGAAACTCTCAGGCCAAGGGATCTCATTCCTGTGAGCCGGGTTGTAGAAAATGACACACCTGGGGACACATCCTCTCAATGGCTCAGGTGTCTCAGAGGCATTTAGAGGAAGCATTCCTGCTCCCAGGATTATCTTGGGCTCTCCCAGTGCTAAGGGCAGGAAAAACTTGTCCAAATCTTTAAGTCCCTTGGGGAGTCCTGGCACACTCAGGTAGGACAGGGTGGAAGCTCTCCCCCCACCAAGGGTGCACATGGCTTGGCAAGACTTGCTCTTGTCTCCAGCTCACCCGGCTCAACACCACCTCTTTCTGTGAGGGAGGGGAGCTCCTGAGAGCGCAGGGTCTCGTTTATATTCACTGTGGGTCCTGAATCTTGAAAGGCAAATATCTTGGATTTGGGTGTGGAAGGGAAGATAATTTCACTTAAAGGACCATTTTCTGAAAATTCCCTGCCCAGTTGTTTCTCCTGTAAAAATAGAAAATTTAGACTAGTGTTAGATAATACTGAAGAGCTCTTTTGGCTCCAAAAAAATCTATACATTTGACAGCTACAGTAATTGATGGGATTAGAACATGTCACGAAAGGAACATTTTAGGGCAGGTTCTTTTACGAAGAGAAGAGTTTTTGGGCTGTAATGCAGATAGGAAAAATCGGGAGACAAGAAACTGAGCTTGAGACTGGATGACAAATGCCTCCAGTTTTTATATCTTCAAATTCTGATCATATACAAAATATAAAGTGTTTTCTTCCCATAACCTAGAGAAGAGATGGGGTCTTACTCTGTCGCCCAGGCTGGAATGCAGTGGTGCGACCTCGGCTCACTGCAACCTCTGTCTCCTGGGTTCAAGCAATTCTCCTGCCTCAGCCTCCCCAAGTAGCTGAGACGGGCTTTCACCATGTTGGCCAGGCTGGTCTCGAACTCCTGACATCAAATGATACACCTGTCTCGGCCTCCCAAAGTGCTGGGGATTACAGGTGTGAGCCACTGCGCCCAGCCTGGAAGTTCTCAAATTTTGATGTGCACATGAATTCCCTGAAGTCACATCGCTGCAGGTTCTGATTCAGCAGGTCTGGGATCAGGCTGGAGATTCTTACCAGTGAGGACACCCACACTGCTTGCCTGTAATCGCATTTCAGTAGCGAGGCCTGGAGTATTTGTAATGGTGTATAGCCCTCTGGTGGCCATAGCGGGAATGTACAACCATTTTGTTACACACTGGTACCTTCTTTTTCTGCGACTGTTAAAAAAATAAATCCCTCCCCAAAGCCAGCAACTGATGTAGCTGTAACCAGCATAATATTGGCAAAGCCAACATAGTTTATTAATTTGGACTCTATTAGTTGGGAATTTGGAGTCATTCCAGACAGACCACACTGCCAGTGACGATTAACGAAGAGACATGTTTAGTCTACTTAAACGCTAAGGCAAATGCATTTTTTCCAAAACAACATGAGAAACCAACCTCGTAGTAGCCTTTATATACAAATAATAAGTGAGTAACAAATGATTCATTTTTATTAGTTTTTTTAAAATTCTCTAAGCTTTTAATTTGATTCCCCTATCCCTGTCAAGTGCTGCCATAAATTGCGTTTTTTATACAGGGTTCTCCAATTCAGGCCTGTCTCTATGAATCAGACTAGCCTACTCTTTAATTAAGAAAAATGGGGCAGTTTTATAGTAATTTTGAATTTCTCAGACTTTTGGCTCCTCTCAGTCTATGCTTCTCAAACAGAAAATTAAAAAAGGGCTATAGCACTTGACTAACTATTGTCAGTGGTTCAAATTAAACAAAGAACGCATAAATGTTTGGAAGGTATTCAACTTAGGAAACACTACTTTTTTCTGTTTTTTTTTTTTTTTTTTGCTACAAATATGCTTCTTATTTTGAATGTTAATAGACACATTTCCTGGCTTTGCCATGGTAAATAGATAAATGTTCCAGAAATCATTCCATTTTTTGAGATAACAAAATTATTATCATTCTAGGATGGAAAGTGAACATCCTACCCAAAGAATGTACATATACGCAAACTCGAAGTCCACCTCATTGAAATAAACTTGCAAACTATTGTCAATATCAACTTGACGCTGACATAAACCTCTTACCTCATGTGTCACCCGTTATCACTGGACCGTAGCCCTGAGCAGATACTGGAAAATCGTTCACTGGCTCAGGGGAAGTTTCCTGAGAATAGTCATGACAGTGTCCCTGTTTGTATGTGGACGCTAAATGAGATCCCAAAATGAGACTGTTTGCTTTGCTGATTTTCCGTAGTATCATTATATCCCTTTATGTTACAAGAGTTTCACAGATCTTGTACATTCTAGGAAGTTTTATATGTTGATTCAAACCTTTTATTTATCAGCCTTATAAAAACAACTGGAGTAATTACTACTAATGATCTGGGCTTGGCAATTATTGAGAGAACTGTCTGCATAAATAATTTCAAAGGCTCCTGTTTGGGGGTTTAGGAGTTAGGGTGACTTTTTCTGTAAAGACTTGGTGAGAAGTACAGAAAAATGGTTATTTCTAGATGTTTCCCTACCCTTAGAGCCTCTAAAATCAAACAACAGTTTATATGCATTTCTGACTCAGGTTCATGTGGATCATGAATATAACCAGACGTCACCTGTTAATGGCCTTGATAGTTGGTTTATTAACCTTGATAGTTTCATTACATTTTAAAATATCTATCATAGAGATAAAGCAGGTGAATATTCCCCATGCCTAGCAGCTGGTTTTGCTTATCTGCAATTCATAAGTGTTCATTACATCAAGGTATAAGGAAGGAACAGAACCTGGATTGATACCTGAAATTCAAGACATCAGTCACTTTCTACTTTAAAATCTAATTGATCCCTTTCTTTAATTTAATTTTATTTTTTGTTTGTTTTTGATTTTGTTGTTGCTGTTGTTGTTGTTTTGAGGTAGGGTCTCACTCTGTCACTCAGGCTGGAGTGCACTGGTGCAATCTCAGCTCTCTGCAACCTCTGCCTCCTGGGTTCAAACGGTTCTCCTGCCTCAGCCTCCCGAATAGCTGGGACTACAGGCACTCACCACTATGCCTGGCCAACTTTTGTATTTTTAGCAGAGACAGGGTTTCACCATGTTGGCCAGGCTGGTCTCGAACCCCTGGCCTCAAGTGATCCACCTGTCTCAGCCTCCCAAAGTGCAGGGATTACAGGCATGAGCCACCGTGCCCTGCTTAAATCTAATTTTATTTCCCTCCATGTCTTTCATTCTATGGAGTTTTTCTACTAAGTGAAGCTGAGAAAACAAAAGTAATAATTGGAGGGATGTTTAAGACAGAATTCGAAGCCAGCAGTTCCATATGCCAGCTTTTTGCAACAACTTAAAGGAAATAGTAAAGAAGCAACATTGGTTAGAACAAATGTATATTTCACTACCCAAACCCCCAAATCACACAAGAAATGGGGCACCCATGTTCTTCCATACCTTTGATGCCCATTATGACAACCACAAAAGCCACTGGAAAAAAAAATTAAACATTTATGGGATCTGTTTATCCAGAAGTTGAGTAAGGAAAGAGGTGGGGACAAGACACAGCTCCCAGTGGATGTGAGGAGTTTCCATCTCCCAGGAAGGAGCGACTAACACCAGCTTGGGGCTTCTTGCACCCCAAATATTAAATAATTCATTCTGTATTGTTACATTTCCTGACTTCTAAAAATCAAACATATATTTAAGATATAACCTGAAGTGTTAAGTAGGTAATGGGTACCAGTAATTCCCATAGGGGATAGAATCGGTTTACTCCGATGACCTCTCTCCTGCCTCTGCAAGACACTTAAGGAACAGCAGCTTTCACAAAGTAGAAGGAAAGGAAGGATGACTGTCGATTATGGACTTATCTCTGCCTCAGATGAGGCTGGCCAGAGTACACACTCAGTCTGTGGGTAGGGTGGGGCAGAGGAAGGAGGTATTTCTCTCTGGGAGTCATGGGGCAATGTACAGATAGGTAAATACTGAAAACCAAGTCCCTGGAAGAATGCAAAGTCAGGGCCAAAATAAACATTCCAAACTGGGACAGCAATCCCAGGAGCCAAACAATGAATGGGAAGTAAGGTAAGGTGCCAAATGGGTTAGAAAAACAAGGCAGAAGAGAACCGCGGAGAGAGAGTATCGGGCAAGACCCAAAGAGGGGGCCATGACTGAGAAGTCATGCAGACCACATTTAGAAGAACTAAAATGGCTCAGAACTAACACCCGCCCCCGACCCCTTTCCCAGCAGGCCTTCTCCTTTAGAATGTCTCTAGGTTTGCCTGGGAGAAGCCTCTAAAGATTTCTGGAGCCTGCATTTCAAAGAAGGAAAGTGGGCTCATTGTCACAGTGGATCAATTCCTGGAGCCCCTGTTGGGTCCTTGGCGGGTGCTCTTGGTGTCGCAGGGAGCTATGCAGAGTGGTGTGGATGTTTTCAAAAGAGGGAAGCTAGAGGCAGAAAGCCATAGGGTTGGTGGCCTCAGACACCTTGAAGGGCCCAGGAGGCCCTCTGGTTTCTGGAATATCAGCTCTGCAACAATCTGAAGGAGATTCAGGCATCTTCCATTGAAATGTGTTCCCTGGGGGATGGACAGCTACCAGATTATGATTTATTTTGACCTTAGCACACCACAGGGTTGACTAGGGGTCTTTTGAAGTGGAACCCCCAACCTCTAGGTACCCATCAACTGCCAGGCCTATTGCTATAGAAAGGGACATTCTTGGGGAGGTACACAGGGCATTGTGACAGTAAAGGCCACTAAGTGGAGACAATGAACTAGTTATTTTGGTCCCTGTAGAGCTGCAGAAGCTTCCTTTGGGTTTGCCCTTTTACCAAGCTAATGATTAATTATTTATATAAGTCAACACAGTAATAAGCAATTTATGTGCAATTCCCACTGAATCCTTCCCACACTCTATAGCAGACCCTCCCCAGCATCCACGACCCTGTTTTTCCCTCTATAGCACCCCAATTCTGTTTTGTTCTCCACCTCCACCCGCCTTGTACCCCAGAAGCAAGATGCCTCCTTCTCTGCTGTACAATGGCTCTGGTTTGTTTGAGGGCCTCCCATTTCTTTGGCTAGTTTCTCTTTCAGGAACAAGCATATGACCAACTTTTGGCTAACAGGACCTTGAGGGGACGTGTACCAGAGATCTAGGATGCGCTCCTAGGAGAGAGCTGTGAGAAGGGGGAGCTTCTCTTCTTTCCCTGTTGCACACTGTGCCTAAATCTAATTTTTAGAGCTGCCATCTTGCTACTTGCCTGAGGTTGAAACCTACAAAAGGAGAAAGATGGACCAAGAGGGCCACAGAGAAATGCAGCCAGGGATCTGCTCTTCCATCCCTGGGGCAGATTACGTTTTCTATAAGATAATGCATCTCTTTATTTTTTAACCAATTTAACTGTAGATTTCTGCCTGCTGCAGTCAAATCATCTTAACTGCCACAACAATATGAGGCACACTTTTTTTTCCTCCCTATTCTATACATGAGGAAATTGCAGCTTAGAGAGGTTGGGCAATATTTCCAAGGTTATACAGCTTCTTAGGTGGGGTCAAGACTTGAAGCCAAGGTGGCTCAACTCCTAAGCCTGTTTTCTTAACATGCAATTCTGAACCCATGTGATATCACACCTGGGTGATATGACTCATCTGATTCTGAGTCAGAAGGTCGTAGGCTATGGACACAGATGCAAAAGGCTTTGAGTATGCTGGGGGCTCCCAATTCAGGGTCGCTGACTTCTTGTCAGTGTGCTGGTCCTGGAGTTGGCCCAATGGGGATGGTGACAATGGAGGTCCAGGACAGCTGGAACCAGGGGGTCACATGTGAATAAGAGAGGAATTCATATGGATCAATAGGAATCTCTCTACATTATATAAAGACTTTCATTCATCCTACATGAGTCATCTTAAATGCCATTTCATCAGAGATGGTTTCCTTCTACACCCAAGACTTGGCCAATCCCGGCATCACATGCTTTTGGAGCACCCTAAATGTATTATATGAATCTCAATTGTAATTAGGTGATTGGTTCATATTTGCCTTACCTATAGACTATAAATTCCTTCCTTTTTTGCTTCTTTCCTCGAATCCCACCTAGGTCCAAGCCATTTATGTGGTTTTCATACCAAGTGAGAAGGGAGCATTTGTCAAAACAGACAATACATCTACAGGCAATGGGCCAGTCCTGAGTGCAGTGCTACATGTAGGCAAGGAAGTGGGGGTTCCAAGGTCAGGCTGCAGGAGAGGGCTGAATCCCTAGGGTCTAAAGAGAGCGTGCCACCATGACATATATAGCATGCATACATGACAGCATGGCAGAGTAAAGACAGGAAATCAAAGAAGATCAAAGATAACCCCCATCGGTTTCAAAACTTTGATTTTAAATTCCATATGTGGAAAAGAAGGAGCAGCATTACACAACCTCTTTACCAGACACACACACACACACACACACACACACACACACACACACACACGAACTTGAACTAGTTCTTTTGTAACTACAATCAAATTAAGATTTTGGGGACTGGTTTAAAAACTTAATTGTCATTTGCAATTTAATTCTTATTGGAAAACGCTTTGAGAGTTCCTACAAATATGTGTTGCCTACAGAGTTCATAAAATCCAATTATTGCTTTGCGTTGAAGTGAATTTTGTTGATTTCAGCTCCTTCTAAAGACAAGTGTAATGCCTGGAACCTAGCAGATGCTCAATAAATAATTATTTAAAAAGGGAAGAAAATTGAGTATTGACTATGTGTTATGTCTATGCAGAAAATAGAAAGAAATGCATTTACTTTAACAAAGAGTGCATACGTTACTAAGGATATGGTTGCAGATGGAATTCTCTTCAACCAATATTGGCTGAAGAAGAAGAAAGAAAATAGCTAAGAAACCTCAATGTTGTTAGAAGCAAGAGGAAGCTGTAAGAAACTAAGGCCAGTTTAGGGCCTGCTGTTCCTTCCTTCATCATGAATAGGTGTCTATTCAGCACAATACTCATAGTACTCCTGTAGATATCACTTAATTGTGAAGTGCACATAAAGAGATATAATACATGGTATAATACACCACAATCACACTGCCCTTTAAAGTCATTATATGAGCATGTTATTCTCCTGCTTAAAGATACCACATTGCCCATAGGATAAAGAGAAGAATCTTTAGTTTGCATGTTCAACCTAACTCACCAGCCCCGTCTCAAGTTGTTCTCCTGCCCACTTTCTGCCTTTCAAACCTACTGGGCTTTGGGTCCTTTGAATGCTTCATTCTCCTTTCCACATACAGTACAGTTTTATGCACATGATATCATCACCCTCTCCCTTCACCTAGGTAACGCCTACTCACCCTTCAGAGGTCAAATGGAATCTTGCTTATGGAGGAAGACCTCCCTAAATCTCCTAGACTGGTTCCAGCTGCTCTGCCATGACCTGTCATGCAAGCTCTGTGCCTCTTCATCCAAATAGTGATTAAGCAGATGGGCAAATTATGTGTTTAATGTTTGTCTCCCCTCTAGAATTCAAACTTGAGGAGAGCAGGCATGTTTTTCTTATGTTTTTCTTATCTCTGTTGAATTTGTAGGGCCTAAAAATTGCTTTGTGCATTTTTGTTGAATGAATGAAAGAATGGATGCTGATTGCAGTTATCTGCTCATGCTCAAGCTTCTGTTGTGGGCTTCTTTTCTCAAAAAAAAGTCAGAGTTGTTTCGGATTCTTCCCTGAGTCCTTATTTTTCTCTCTTTAGTTAGCCTTCCAGTGAGATGCCAGGGCGTCGTTCACCATCCTGATATTTATTTATGTATTTATTTTTGAGATGGAGTCTCGCTCTGTTGCCCAGGCTGGAGGGCAGTGGCTCACTTGGCTCACTGCAGCCTTCGCCTCCCGGGTTCAAGCAATTCTCATGACTCAGAGTAGCTGGGATTACAGGCATCCACCACCATGCCCAACTAATTTTTGTATTTTTAATAAAGATGGGGTTTTGCCACATTGGCCAGGCTAGTCTTGAACTCCTGACCTCAAAGGATCTGCCTGCCTTGGCCTCCCAAAATGCTGGGATTACAGGCATGAGCCACTACACCCATCCTCATCCTGATGTTTATGACTGAAAAATGTGTATCTCCTGCCAAGACTTCTCTCCACAATTTCCCACCCTCAGAACAACTGCTTCTCGGACACCCTCATGTTGGTCTCACACACAAGTACCTATACTTCATTTTTGGTACAAGCCCCTTTGTAAAACTCTCGTCTAGTTATTCCAGTAATTTCTTTGTTCACTTTCTCCCCAAGCTTTCAGAACAACTGGCAACTCTAGAATGCAGCTTCTCCCTGTTGCTGATGAGCCTTTGCGCAGCTGTGTTCAAACACGCAGAGAGGAGTTGGAGGAACGGTGAAATGCAGGATATTTTGTAGGAGAGTAGCATAAGGACAGTATTTCAGACAGCTTTATTTCCCTTATTCTGGAATCTTAAGCATTATATTTCCATCAATGACTTGGATGATGAAATAGCTATATTCAGGAAGTTTGCAGAAAATATTTACAAGCTTTTAATTGAAGGACACTTCATGAATTGGAAAAATAACAAGAACATAATTAAATGAAATGAGAGGAAAAGCAGAGTACTGCAAGAAGGGGAGAAACTTAAGAAAGGGAAAAGAACATTTGCTCCAAGAAAGTGTGGCTATCAAAGATTAAGAAAAGCAAAATGGCATCTGATATGGCTGGGCTGTGTCCCCACCCAAATCTCATCTAGAATTGTAGTTCCTCTAATTCCCATGTGCCATGGGAGGGACATGGTGGGAGGTAATTAATCATGGGGGTGGTTACCTTCATGCTGTTTTTGTGATATCGAGTGAGTTCTCATGAGATCTGATGGTTTTATAAGGGACTTTTCCTCACCTTTGCTCTGCACTTCTCCTTGCTGCTGCATGTGAAGAAAGACATGTTTGCTTTGACTTCCACCATGATTGTAAGTTTCCTGGGGCCTCCCCCGCCCTGCGGAACTGAGTCAATTCAACCTTTTTCCTTTATAAATTACCCCATCTTGGGTATGTCTTTATTAGCAGTGTGAAAACAGACTAATACAGAGTCTTAGTGGAAAATGCTACAGCATCACACTTCCAAAGCTGATTTGCTTCTGGTTGCATAAACACAATGCAGGCAGGAAGGAAAAGGAGCTGATTGGTGCAATGAAAACATGCCTGATCCAGGAGCCTGAAGATGAAGATAAATTCAAGTCCTAGTTCCTCTGTACGTGAGGCCTCAGCAGACTAGGAGCCCATTCAATTTGGGAGAAAACAGAGATCATCTAATAGAAACTTCTCACTAAAGACAAGAAATTTGAGCCCACAGAGAAGGAACTTCCAATGTCACACACCAGGAAATTGTAGCGAGAGACCCTCTTTCTTCCAAACTTGGCTATCTCATAAACTTATAGGGAAAAACACCTGAGATTCTGTTTGTAAGCAATTATTTCAGCATGCAATTTCAATGGAAGTATTGTTGAAAGGAGCAGCCACTTGTAATCCTCATTTATAAAGTAACAGTGGTCAAGTTAAAAATAGCTGTCAACACTAAAATATACAAGTGGACCTATTCCACTTCTCAAGAGCCAAGAGAGCACCTAAAAGAGAGCCAGAGAACTGAGGAGTAAGTGGTACAATAGAAAGCTAGGAGAAATAGTTAAGGACACCTATTTTTATTAGTGGATATTTATTAAACATTTATTAAGACATTGAGGTAGGTGTTGGGGATCCAAAAATGACAGGCACAGCCCCATCTCAACAGAACTTACAATCTAATAATAGCAGGCAAATGCATAACAAATACATTCACTAATGCAAAAGAATTAGAACAGAATTGTGCTCCGTGTCACAGAATTATGTTCTGGGACCAACGGGGGCACTAAGGAAGAAAGGACAGACGTTCCCGTGAGTGGTGATCTCATAAGAGTAATTATTAAACCAGAAATGTGTCCTGCCCAGGAGTGGCTCCTTTAGAGCAATGACAGATCTAGTTACACTTGAAATTAGGAGAGAGGGGCCGGGCGCAGTGGCTCACGACTGTAATCCCAGCACTTTGGGAGGCTGAGGCAGGTGGATCACGAGGTCAGGAGATCGAGACCATGCTGGCTAACACGATGAAACCCCGTCTCTACTAAAAATACAAAAAAATTAGCTGGTCGTGGTGGCGGGCGCCTGTAGTCCCAGCTACTCGGGAGGCTGAGGCAGGAGAATGGTGTGAACCCTGGAGGTGGAGCTTGCAGTGAGCTGAGATCTCCCCACTGCACTCCAGCCTGGGCGACAGAGTGAGACTCTGTCTCAAAAAAAAAAAAGAAGAAAGAAATTAGGAGAGAGGATGAGCTTTTGTTGTAGCATCAAAAGAGATGGGCAATAATGAGGAAAAATAGCTTTACAATGAAAGTTATTCCAAAAATTATTTGCTATAAATGGTATAGAATCTTCTTTCTTAGAGAAAGGATACACTGTCATCTGGCTGGGGTGGCTTAACTATGTTCACTAAGGTTCTCAAGACTGCTAAACTGTTATTTTTGCAAAAACACAATAACTTTAAAAATTGGCTGTAAGCATGCCTGCTTAAGCACTCTAAATGCAAACAATTACTGCTTATATAACAGTGACTCATACCCTATGGTGTCACCTAAAACCTGACTATTCTCCAAAGCTTTCTAGTTATAGATGGAAATTCTCATACTTAAAAACTTGTAACTTACAAGCCATCACAGGTGCAAAGCTATTTTCCAGAGCAAAAGCATATCAACTCCGTCTGGCAACAAGACATGCAGTAACAATTATGCACCATCCTTTTAGTTCAAATATACTTTTGCCCGAGGCATTAGCCATTATTCTAGTGTGTATTTGCTATGTTTACACTTAGTTTTGAGATACTTTATGAACATTTACTCCAGTGTCTCAAATAAATGCAAAAACAATAAAGCTTGTAAAAAAAAATACTAGATTGAAGAAGCGGACAATCACAAATGAAACAAAAGTAGAAATATGGTATTAGAAAAAATTTTAAGAAAATGATATGTGCGTAAGACGTTTCTCTTTGGCTCATAGGAATAATTCAGTATGACAAAGCAATTTGTAGAAACTGCTGCTCTAATCATCTTTAGCAAAAGATGAGAAAGAATAACTACCAAAATGGAAAAAAAAAACAGAACAAAAAACCACAGTGAGCGTGGCAAAATTTAATGAAGAAGAAGCCTGGAAGATTATCCAAAGCTTCAGCATGGTAAAAGTAGCCAGGCACTAGGGTGGCCAGCCACACTTGTAGGTGCCTAGGTCTTTTCAGATCTGCATAATGCAAAAGTCACTGGTGACATGTCCATCACAAGCAAAAGTGAGTGGTGACACATCCATCACAAGCAAAAGTCAGTGGTGACATGTCCAACACAGATGGGGCAGCGGTTCTCTGTTGGTAGACTCCGTCCCATACAGGGGAACAAGGCTTAGTGATTAGAACAAGGCTGCAATCCGGCTTCCATTTGCCACCTCAGTTGGGTGGCCAACCTGCATCTACAAATTGCTTGCTAGAAAACTCCTCACAACACAAGTGGCACTCATCCTGAAGTGGGGATACCTACCCAAAATATTTTTGTTATAGTGAAAATCGATCTGGTTTGGAAACAGATGCCAAGTGGAACTTACAATATCAAGGAGGAAAAGACTCTGATTGTAAAGCTCTTAGAAGAACAATTCACTGTCCTACTGGATGATAATGCAGTGAGGAACCACAATCACAAGCCTCTTGTAGCCATAAGAACCTACATGGGGGAAATTGGCTTATTTACAAATTTTTAGGTATGGTTGGTGGTAGGCAAACATGTTCACCAGCAATTCCTTCTACCACTGGTTGCATGCGCCGTTTCTTCCATTAAGAAATGAAGTCTATTTCCTTTCCCCTTGAACCTGGCCAGATCTTTTAACTTGCTTTACTTGCTTTGATTTCTCCCCCTAAAAGAATATAACAGAAACGACACTCTTGAACCTCCGAGCCCAGGACTTAAGATTGACAGTTTCTTCTTTCTCCCTCTTGGAAGCCAGCTGCCATGTACATAGTCCAACTACTCTGAGGTCAATATGCTACAAAGAAGCTCAGGCTACCAAAGGAAAGATCAAATAGAGGAGAACCAAGGAACCCCAGCTATGCCCCCAGCTCATCAGCCAACTAAATGCAGTTGCTACAATGATCCCAGGCAAGACCATCAGGAAAACTTAACTGGTTAACTTATGAAATCAAGAGATATAATATATTGCTTTACTTTTAAGCCACTAAGTTTTTTGGTTGTTTCCTTTGCAGAGCCTAATTAGATCATAAAAGTAGAGGAGCTTTTGTAATAACAGATGTGTGAGCCAAAAAAATATATAAACAGATTCCTCCACAAGATTCCATGGAAACCACAGTGAGTGGCAGGATGGCAATAATCCACACATGAAGAAACAAAGGCAAAAAGAAAAATTTTCTATAAGAACCTCTGCAAATAGAAGGGCTACATTGTCACTGGAGGAACAAGAACAATGACCACTGATAAAGTCCGTTGGGAGAAGATTCCTACATGGGGTAGAAAGTTTGCATAGATCAGTGGTTTTCAAACTATTTAGCAATGGAACCCCGATTGCAAAATTAATAAAATTATATTTTATTAGTAAATTATTTTTAAGTTTAAAGCCTTCCTTTTACTTCCTATAAAAGCCACTGATATGGTTTGGCTGTGTCCCCACCCAAATCTTAACTTGAGTTGTATCTCCCAGAATTCCCATGTGTGTGGGAGGGACCCAGGGGGAGGTAATTGAATCATGGGGGTTGGTCTTTCCTGTGCTATTCTTGAGATAGTGAATAAGTCTTACGAGATCTGATGGGTTTATCAGGGGTTTCTGCTTTTGCTTCTTCCTCATTTTTCTCTTGCCACCACCGTGTAAGAAGTGCCTTTCTCCTCCTGCCATGATTCTGGGGACCCCCAGCCATGTAGAATTATAAGTCCAATTAAGCATCTTTTTCTTCCCAGTCTCAGGTGTGTCTTTGTCAGCAGTGTGAAAATGGACTGATATAGCCACTATCCATGAGATCAGTAAATGCATTTCAGTGCAAACAAACCAAGTTTAATGGCAGCTGTATTCTTTTTTTTTTTTTTTTGAAATGCATCCTAGGTCTGTCACCCAGGCTGGAGTGCAGTGGCACGATCTTGGCAACCCCCGCCTCCCGAGTTCAAGTGATTCTCCTGCTTCAGCCTCCCGAGTAACTGGTATTACAGGCACATGCCTCCATGCTTGGCTAACTTTTGTCTTTTTAGTAGAGACAGAGTTTCGCTGTGTTGGCCAGGCTGGTCTTGAACTCCTGACTTCAAGTAATCCACCTGCCTCGGCCTTCCAAAGTGCTGGGATTACAGGCATGAGCCACCACACCTGGCCTATAGCAGCTATATTCTTATTCCTACTATCCGTTTCATGTCCGTATGTTGTTTTGGATGTACTGAATAGAGGAAATTCACATTCATCCAGAAGTAGGCTAAGGGGAACTGCAGTTCAAGGGCATGTCCCTCAAGCAAAGCAAAACGCCCAAGACATGACGGGTGCCCAGTGAATACTTCCTCAATGTGCAAAAGAGAAGTAGGTTGCAGGAAGGGAGTTCCTGATCAGGTGCCTGTTTCCAGAAGTGGCCACTTGTGTGGCAGCTGGCAGTGATGAAGAGCCCTTTGGCTGGAACTGGTCCCAATCTCAGCCCCTTCACTTGCTGCTTAGTTCTGGAGCCACTTAAGAGAATCTGTGCCGCCTTTATCCACTCAAGGCATAGAGAGCTCTCAGCCTCTCTCCCTTCCTTTTTTGCCAGGGAGGATGCCCTCTCTGATACAGGCACAAGATCAGCACTGTCTCCTTCCGTAATCAGCCTGTTTCTTTTTCATTCCTCTGCCCACTTTAATACAACCAATACAGCTGTTTTGTTACCTTTGCCATTTTATTCCCAAAGTTGCAGCTTATATTGGGTGAACCTTCCCAAAGGAGATAATTTCATTAATGTCCATTTCATTCATTTTAAATTCATTCATTTAAAATTCAATTTCATTAATTTCCATTATGGAAGCTTAGGTGATGAACAAAAATCAATGGACTTACTTTATAGCCTCATGGGTTAGTAGTCTCTGAAGGGTGATTTTGTTTGATTAAGCTCAGCTGATGATATGAATTCCAAGCAGCAAATGATCACTGAGTACCTGTTTTGTGGAAGGAAGGCATTGGTGTACACACGTGGAGGCTGTGGACTTCATATGTTGTACTTGGTTTCAGCCTTTACTGAAACAAGTGCGGACACTAAATGGCAATGGGGTCCGTTTAGCTGACTGGATATTAGCTGCTCAGGCTATTTTTACAAGGACCGTTCTAGCCACATCACCACATGTAGTGCCCTGTGACGCAAAATGACTCCATTGATGGAAATGCTTTTCTCCTCTTCCTCTGCCTTTTGCCAAGGCTAAGGGAGCTGAAGGAGACGTTAGGTAAAGGGACCGAAGAAAATGTAACAGACAGCAGCTCTAAACAGACTGGCCTCTAGGAGACTTGCTAAGAGGAGGTCCTTCTGGGCTGAGTCAAAGCTCCCATTATTTTGGAGGTTTTCTGGAATCTTCTGCTTTGTCTGTCATTCTCCCCTCCCTCAGGGTCCATAGCAGTGTACACATTACCTTTTCAAAAGCCACTTATCACTTTGCATGGCCACTGTGAATGTACATGTCTCTCACACATATTGTGAACTCCTCGAGGGAAGGAACTCTGCCCTGGACGTGTTTGTAACCCCTGTCCCTAGCTTGGTAGATACAACAGGCCTTGCTTAAATAGTATTTTAACAAAGAGCCCTGTGTCCTGTACAGTTCTAAGACAAAGAAGAAAGCAGTTACAGTCTTGTGGAAAAGGTGGGAAAATGTGGGAAGATGGTAAAATCTGTTCCCTGATTCTTCTGGTGCCTGCTGGTACCTTCTCTGGGCTGACAAACAACTGCCATCTCTGGTAAGGAAGGGTTGCTGTCCTGCTGCCAGGCACACAGATGCTGAGGCATACTGCTGCCCTGAGCTTTCCGTCTTTCTAACTTAATAATCCTCAACATTTTGGAGAGAAAGCTTTTGATTTCCTTCAAGGTGTACAGGGAAATTTTACCAAGATAGATCATATTCTGGGCCATCAATTACGTTTCAATGAATATGAAAAGATTAAAATCCTACAAAGCGTGGTCTCTGATCACAATGGAAATAAAGTAGATATAAATAAAAGATATTTAGAAAATCCCCAAGCATTTGGAAACCAAGTAATACAATTAAAATATCCCAAAAAGATATAGTAAATAGTTGAAAAAGAAAATTTATGAGATGCAGTTAAAACAATGTTTAAGGGAAATTAAGCACCAAACACCTATATTAGAAATGGAGAAACATCTTACTCAATATCTTCAGCCTCCATTTGAAGAAAGAAGTAAAAGAAGAGCAAAGTAAACCCAAAGTAAGCAGAAGAAAGGCAATAATGAAGAATATAAATCAATGAGATAGAAAACAATAAAACAATGAGGAAAAATCAATAAAACCAAAAGCTGTTTTGTTAAGGAGAAAAATTAAAATGAGAACCTGTAGCCAGTCTTATTAGGAAATAAGAGAAAAGACACAAATTACTAATGTCAAGAATAAGAGAGGTAACATCACTATGGATTCTATACATCCTAAAGGGATAATAAAAGAATGTTCTGGCTGGGTGTGGTGGCTCATGCCTGTAATGCCAGCACTTTGGGATTCTGAGGTGGGTGAATCACTTGAGCTCAGGAATTCAAGACCAGCCTGGCCAATATGGTGAAATCCTGTCTCTAATGAAAATACAAAAATTAGCTGGGCATGGTGTTGCATGCCTGTGGTCCCAGCTACTCAGGAGACTGAGGTGGGAGAATCACTTGAACCCAGGAGGTGGAGGTTGCAGTGAGCCGAGATCATGCCACTGCCCTCCAGCCTGGGAGACAGAGCGAGACTCTGCCTCAAAAGAAAAAAAAAAAAACAAACAAAAAAAAACCAGAATGTTCTAAAAACTTCATGCTTTCATGCTAATAAACATTCAACAACTTAAATGTACACATTTCTTGAAAGACACAAATGAGCAAAGTCCACTCACAAAATAAATAATATGAATAGCTCTCTATTAAAGACATTGAAGTTGCCATTAAAAACCTTCCTCAAAAAACAAAAAACAAAAAACTTCAGGCCTACATGGCTTCACTGGTGAATTTTACCAAATGTTTAAGAAGCAATGACACCAGTTGTACACAAACTCTCCCAGAAAAGGAAAGAGATAGAACTCCTTCTTAACTCATCCTATGAGGCCAGCATTACCTGCTACCAGACAACAACATGACTAGAAAAGGAAACTACTAACCAATGTCCCTCATAAACATAGATGCAAAAATTCTTATCAAAACTTTATTAAACTGAATCCAATTATATACAAAAAGCATAGTAGATCATGACTAAGTGAGTTTCCTCTCCCATGAATGGAAAGTTAGTTTAACATTTTAAAACTGATCAATGTAAGTAAATATATCAACAATTTAAAAAGTAAGAATCATACTATCATCTCAATTGATGCAATAAAAGCATTTGACAAATCCAGCATCTATTCCTGATAAAAACTCTCAACAAACTTGGAATAGAAGGGCACTTCATCCACCAGATAAAGGATTTACCTTTATCAGATAAGAAAAACATAGACTCACCCCTACTTAATGGTGAAAGACTGAATGCTTTGTCCCTGAGAATAGGAACAAGACAAAGATTTATGTTATCAATTCTCTTCATCATTGTCCTGAAGGTACTAATCAGTGTGATAAGGAAAAATAAATAAATACAATAAAAGACATTTAGATTTGAAAGAAAAAAATAAACTCTCAATTCACTAATGACATCTTGTTAAAAATGCGAAAAAAATCTACCAAAAAACTATTAGAACTACTATGTGCATTTAGCAAGGTTGCAAGATATAAGGTCACTATACAAAAATCAGTTACAATTTTATGTACTAACAACAATTGGAGATTGAAATAAAAAAAGGTCACTTGACATTTGACAAAAATGTCAAATACTTTGGGATTCATCTGTCAGAAGATGTACAGGACCAGTAAACTGAAAATATCAAAATATTCCTAAGAGAAATTAAAGATCTAAATAAATGGAGATATATACATTGTTGGTAGATCAGAAGACTCAATAATATTATAATGTCAATTCTCTCAAAAAAAATTTTTTTTTGAGACAGAGTCTCTCTCTGTCGCTCCAGGCTGGAGTGCAGTGGAGCAATCTCGGCTCACTGCAACATCCACCTCCCAGGTTCAAGCAATTCTCCTGCCTCAGCCTCCTGAGTAGCTGAGATTACAGGTGCACACCCCCATGCCCAGCTAATTTTTGTATTTTTAGTAGAGACGGAGTTGCACCATGTTGGCCAGGCTGGTCTCGAACTCCTGACTTCAAGTGATCTGCCCATCTTGGCCTCCTGAAGTGCTGGGATTACAGGCCTGAGCCACCGCGCCTGGCCAATTCTCTCAAAACTGATCTAAAGAGTCAATGCAGTCTGTAGAAATTTTTGTTAAAATGTACTAGATTATTACATACTTTATAAGGAAATATAAGTTATCTTAAATAGCCAACACCTTTGAAAAATAACATAGTTGGAAGACTTACATTACCTGACTTCAAGGTAAATGTTAAAGCTAGAGTTGTCAAAACAGTGCCGTATTGGCATAAAAATAGACAGATCAATGGAAGAGAACAGAGTCCAGAAATAGGCCCACGCACATACAGTCATTTGTTTTTTAACAAAGGTGCAAAGGCTATTTAGTGGAGAAAGGATAGTCTTTTTAATAAATGGTGTTGGAAAAATTATATATTTTTATTTTTAAAAAAATCTTGTTTCATACATCACAATATATACAAATATTAACTCAAAATGAATGAGGCCTACTTGGAATGACAAGTAAACGTAAAACAAAAACTGTAAAATTCCTAGAAGAAAACATGCAAGAAAATTTTTGTGAGCTTGAGTTAGGCAAAGATTTCTTAGATATACAACCCACAAGTGAAAAGCTGATAAATTGTGCATCATCAGAAATACCTTCTGGTCTTTGAAGAATGGTGTTAAGATAATGAAAATTATATACAGTAGCTGAAAAACATAGCATTTAGATTATATAAAGAACCTCTAGAAGACATTATTAGAAAACAAATAATGCACTTTAAAAATGGGCCCAGATTTGAATGGACACTTTACCAAAGAAGCTATATGAATGGCAGATGAGCAAGTGAGCTGATTCTCAGCATAATTAGTCATTTGGGAAATGAAAATTAAGGTGATTTCGGACCACATAGTTATTAGAATGTTTAAAATTTAAAAGTCTGAACATACCAAGGACAGGATATATCCATAAGGTAAGGATAGGGAGGAAGTGGGACTCTCATCCACTGCCAGTGAGAAGGTAAAATGGTACAACCAATTTAGAAAACAGTTTAACAAGTTCTTTAAAAATTGAATATCCTTCTCTCATATGACCCGATCACTCAATTTCTTGTTATTTAGCGACAAAAAAAAGAAAGCATATGCTCATATAGAGACTTACATACAAATGTTTCTTGCAGTTTTATATATCGTAAGTAAACTGGAAACAAGGCAAATGTTTATCACCAAGTAAAAGAACAAACAACTTGTGGCGTATTCATATAATGGAATTCTAGTAAGAAAAGATATGAAACAAACTACTGGTGCATGCAACAACATGAATTAATCCCAAAATAACTAGGCTGAGTGAAAGATGTTAAGCAAAAAACAAAGAATGCTTAGTGTATGATCACGTTTACATAAAATGCTAGGAATTGCAAACCGATCTCAAGTGACAGAAAGCAGATCAGCCAGCAATTGCCTGCCTTAGGCAGTGGAGCAGGAGGAAGGGCGTGAGAAAACATTTGGAGGGGGTGGAGGTGTTCAGTCTTGACTGTGGTCACAGTTTTATGAGTGTTATCCAGAAGTCAAAACTTATTAAATCTTGCAGTTTAAACATGTATAACTTTTGCATATGAATCAAAGGAGTTTTATCTATACCTGCGAATATGGAAAGATTTCCAAAATATGTTTTATATAGAAAAAGAGAGAAGGCTTATAGCAGTATTTATGGTATACCACATTAGTTGTTTGGTTTTTTTAGAGACATCCATATGTAGTCTGGTCATCGAATGAAATTTCTGAAAGGATTCACAAGAAACTGTCAATAGCAGTTCTCTGTAGGTAAAGGGAACTGAGGTTTTATGGGGGTATAGAAGGAAAATAATCTTGTTTTTCATTTTGCAGAGTTCTATACTATTCGGAGGTTTTACGTGATTTACACATTACTTTTATAGAAATGATTCTCGAAAAAAGAGATCTGGAAAGTATTGGGCAAAAAAGAAACATTGTAAGAGTAATTTCTGCCTAAAGCAAATGTTGCTGGGGTTAGTGCTCAGTATCTATGTAGGTATCTGTAAAGCTTGATAGTTGTGCGTCTTCTGCAATTTAACTTTGTGATTTATTAAAGCACACACAAAGAACTTGAACATTGGTGAAAACTGCTGCACTGCTGCATATATTGGGGTGGAGACTGCTATTTGTCCCCTAATATATTTTGGAAAGTTTCCTCCCTTCCCATCTCTCTTCTGCTGTATCTTTTTCTTGTAGAGACCTCATGGTGGTCAGACTTCGTACAGGATGGCTGAAGGGTCCCAGCATAAGTATCTTAAGAGAGATGGCAAAGGTTTCGTTTACTACCTACCTGATGAATCATGCAGCTTCACTTCTGCCACATTCTGAAGGGCTGCCCAGGTTTGAGTGGAAGGGGCATGTTCCCCATTTCTTGATGGAATGTCCAGGGGTTCATGGATACATTTCCAAACCCTTACAGAGACATTTTTTTCTAAAGATAGTGTATGCATGTGCCCTTTCCCACTTCCTCATCTTTTTCTCCATCCCGTTGCCTGGAACGTGGCTTTTCCCAGGCTAGACCATGAGGCTGCTTCCAGGCCCCGCCCAGGAAGAAGATGGAAGGGCTCTGGGTCATGTTGGAACATCGCAGCAGCCCCTTGACACCTACTTAAGCTCTGACTGCTAGTTTGTTTGAGAAAATGTAATTTTGAGTTTTCCATCACTGAAAGCCAAACATAATCTATACTGATTACCAAAGTCAGCAGGACTCGACAGTGAAGGCCTTAAAAGGATTGGTCAGTAAGAGTAATCCGATGAGAGCACAGGAAAAACAACATTCCACTAGCCTACCACTCTTGAAAATGTGGGGTTATTTTATTGACCTTGCAGGGAGAAATCCAATGTTGACTCGTGATGGGTAAAGTCCTCAAGCATTGGGCTAGCTTTGTTGGATTTGAATTGCTGTGAGTCTGCTGCACGTCTGGGGGTGGTGTGTGTGTCTTGAGGGCAGTGAATCTGAGAGCCTGGGATGCATGTTTATCTGGCTTATCTCATTAGATTCTTTGATCAAAACTCACAAATTCTGAAATCAGAGCACTTCCATCACCTCTTAACCCAAAGCAGCATTTCGAATCATAAATGAGATTTGGGGGCAGATTCCAAGGTCTGCTTAAGGTAGGTAGTTATTCAAGTAGGGGAATTATATGATGAGTAGTTATATATAATTTATATATGAGTAACACAAGTTCGATCCACTCCCACTAGGATTAATATTTTTCTGTGTAAAATATTCATGCAGTTGCTTTTTTGAGAAAAAACTTAACAAAATGCCTCTGAAATTATTTTGTGAATTGCCTATTCTTTCCCCATTGGTCAGCTGGAGTTTTCCTCTGTGTGGTATCTATGTGTTTCTTTCTAAATCAAGGGTTCTAGCAGAATTAATTTCGGTGCATCGAATGTCAGTCTTAGAAAATCATAAATGTTCCATGTTGGGTATTGTCAAATGTTGGGCATCATGGTTCTACATGAATAATCTTTTGGTTGATAATTGCTAGAGAGACTTATGGTTTACTGACCTGCTGGGTTCATGCAGATTTATTGACTTAGAGCTAATTAAATTGTTGTGTGTTGCTTTTGAGATTCTACCATAGAATCATGCCTGTCATTAGCACAGATTTTGTGCAGGAGGCTTGAATTGGATTGACACAGACATTTTTTCCTAAGTGCTTCCCTGGAGTGGGGTAGAGGTGAGGAGAGAGGAGAGTAGGATGGCTTCACAGAGGTTAAAGATGTACATACAAAAACTTCAACTTGGGCACTTGTTTTGGTTTTTTGGGTTTTTTTGGTTTGTTTGTTTGAGTTTGGTTTTTGGTTTTCTTAGATTTTGAAGCTGTATGTCTAAGCTTGCTGCATTTCCCTCCAGAATTATCTCTTTGAATAGGAGCTTTGTTTGGCGGTCATTCTGATTTCTTTCAGCATATAACATTTAGGAAAAATTTAAGTATATACTATGCTGCAGGCTGCAGGGTTGTGAATAGATGAGTCATTTGGGATAACTTTACCAAAAAAAAAAAGGGTATGTTTTTCCATTTAGGATATAACTGAAGAAACCATAGGAGTGGAGCTAATCAGCATCCATGGTCAAATCAAGTCTATAATGTCCCTTTGCATCTGGTTTTTAGGATTAGAGCTGATCAAGAAGCCAAGCTGGGACTTGCAGTCAACTGCTTTGCTCTTCCGGCCACTAAGTGTGTGGCCTTTTTGCCAGTGACTGAGTGTTCCTCAGTTTCTCGGTTTCTTCCTCTGGAACATGGTGATAGTAATCATACTATCCTATAGGATTGTTGTGAAGATTAAAAGACCACATATGCAAAGGCTTTAGAATAACAAGTAAATGTTGATTGGTATTTGTATTAATCCATTCTTGCATTGCTACAAGGAAATACCTGAGGCTGGGTAATTTATAAAGAAAAGAGATTTAATTTGCTCATGGTTCTGCAGGCTGTACAGGAAGCATGGCTGGAGAGGCCTCAGGAAACTTTCAGTCATGGCGGAGGGCAAAGCAGCAGCAGTTTCATTTTACATGGCCAGAGCAGGAGGAAGAGGGCGAGGAGGCAGGTGCTACACACTTTTAAACAACCAGATCTCATGAGAATTTGCTCACTTCCAAGAGAACAGTACCAAGGGGAGTGGTGGTAAGCCATTCATAAGGAGTCCACCCCCATGATCCAGTCACCTCCCACCAGGCCCCACCTCTAACACTGGGGATTACCGTTTGACATGAGATTTGATGGGGACACAGATCCAAACCTTATCACTGTTGCTCATTTTAATTTTTATCATCATCATTAAATGTGTAATAAAACTCACATTTATACTGACCTTTTACAGTTTGAAAAGTTTCACAGCTGACATCTCCTTTGACCTCAATTGTCTGTAATGAAATTGTGTACTAATTTTGCCAGTCTGTTTTAGAGATGAGGAAACTGGGGTTAGAAAGGTTAAGAGTCTTTCTCAAATGACCACTAAGTGATCAAAGAGGAAACTCAGAACGAGCTCCGCTGAATCCAATCTTAACTCTCTATTTACTGCTTCACCCTGCTTTTCCATAGTATTGTCAAATTTAGAACTGGAGGAAATCTCAGAAAACATTTAATTTGCGCCTTTCTTTATATGGATGGAAAAAATGAGGCTCAGAAATAATGAAGACTTGCCTAAAATCACATATCTTGGAGCAGACCCAGAATTCTTGATTACTATCTAAAAGCCCTTTTTCCACTACCATATATCAGATAGTAAAAATTCCAGCGAGGCATTGAGGAAGTGGTGATAACATTCCCACACAAAGAATAAGGTTTCCTTTTAGTAACTTGAGATTCTTAATGTCATTGCTTTTCTGCAAGCCAACTGTTATAAAATTGCTGTAAAAGGCAAATAACATCCTTTCCATAAATGAGTTATTGTCGTACATAGAGGATCCCTTTAATTTCCCTGTTGTAGCAAAGACTTCAGTTGCATCTAGTAATTTCTCTCTGTCTCGTGGAAAACAGAGAATGCTATGGTGTGATTGTTTGCATGTTTAGTGTTTCCAGGAGATATGAGGTGTGTCTAAAACACAAGAAGGTCAGTTTTCACATGTGGCTTCTGGAAGCAGAAAAGGAATAAGGACATGTTGGAACATATTTCATCTTGCAACCTCAGCAGAATAAGTGCGTATGGTTTTGTGGTAGCAATTTTCTTATGCATTTCAGGATACAGCCAAATAAAAGTCCATTTGGTACAAAAGATAGGTATCAAATTTTCCATAAAATCAACTCTTTCAGGCCTGACCCTGTGTTCTAGGAGACATAGGGAGGAAGAAATGTCTAGAGCAAAGTTTATGACTGGCAGAAACAGTGCTTTAAAGATAGACAAACAAAACAAAAGCATGTGTCTACTACCATGCCTAAAGGGGTGATCTAATTGCTCATTAGAATGGAAACATTTCTGGGAAGGGCTTCACCTCCCAACTCATCACCAGATTACTCTTTCCCTTTGACTTAGGGGAAGGGCATTTCTGAAAGGTGACCTTCTGGCTTTCAAATATCTCAAGACCTTTCCCACCTCAGAGCCTTCACTCATCCTGTCTTTCCATCTGCAATGCTCCTTCTGTGCCCGGTCTCATCTCGTGCTTGTCAAAGATGTTTTCCTCGACCACTCCATTTAAAATAGGTCACCCAGCCCTGTTCTTTAAATTTACATCCTAGGCCGGGTGCAGTGGCTCATGCCTGTAATCCCAGCACTTTGGGATGCCGTGGTGGGTGGATCACCTGAAGTCAGAAGTTCGAGACCAGCCTGACCAACATGCTGAAACCCCATCTCTACTAAAAATACAAAAATCAGCTGGTCGTGGTGGCAGGCACCTGTAATCCCAGCTACTTGGGAGGCTGAGGCAGGAGAATCGCTGGAACCCAGGAGGCGGAGGTTGCAGTGAGCCAAGCTCGTGCCACTGCACTCCAGCCTGGGTGACAAAGCAAGACTCCATCTCAAAAAAAACATATATACATATATATGTCCTATTTGCTTCTTGTACAGCACTTATCACAATGTGAAATTACTTACTGTTGTTGCAGTAGATAGTCTATTTCTCCAGCTAGATGTTAATATCCATGAATGGAAATAACATTTAGCCTCAAATTCAGTGCCTAGAAGGTGCTCAGTAAACATGTGCTGAAAGAAGATAGTTGGCTTGGTCAATTAGATAGAGATGTGAGATCATTGCTAAAGAGTTAAATTTAACTGAAGCATTTAGAAACAAAATTGAACTAGATGAAATTATGGTGTGGCTATAAATCATCAGCAGCTGATGGGTATTTTTGTTTTTGTTTTGTTTTGTTTTGTTTGAGACGGAGTTTCACTCTTGTTGCCCAAGCCAGAGTGCAATGGCGCGATCTCGGCTCACTACAACCTCTGCCTCCCAGGTTCAAGTGATTCTCCTGCCTCAGCCTCCCAAGTAGCTGGGATTACAGGCACCCGCCACCACATCCTGCTATTTTTTTTGCATTTTTAGTAGAAACCCAACAGGGTTTCACCATGTTAGCCAGGTTGGTCTCGAACTCCTGACCTTAGGTAATCTGCCTGCCTCGGCCTCCCAAAGTGCTGGCATTACAGGCATGAGCCACCATGCCCAGCCAGCAGCTGAGGTTTTCAAACCAGAAAGTTGATTTATTTAAATTTGTCCTAGAAGTGTAATTCCAGTGTCAGAAGTAGCTTATCTTTTGAAATCAAAGTAAAACCGATTTAAGTCTACACCACATGTGTGTAGTCATAGCTCTAAATCCCCCCAATTCTCTCTAGATTTAGGAGAGGAAGTTGGTTTATAGTAATCTTTGGTCATCTCTAGGTCCACCTTTCATTTTTCTTGCATTGGCGTAGCTCGTAGATATTGATCTATATCTATATTCGTATCTATCTATATATATATACACACTCTCCTATCAAAATTCCATATATATGGGATGAATGTACATATTCATACTGCCCAATCCTTCCAGATCCAGATGTGGAACTTAGTCTGGTTCTGTACCCTGCTCCAGATGTGGAACCCAAGTACATA
The DNA here is from genome assembly GCF_000001405.40 of Homo sapiens. NCBI lineage: Eukaryota > Metazoa > Chordata > Mammalia > Primates > Hominidae > Homo > Homo sapiens. Next base: position 5,098,388 of record NW_018654717.1, read on the forward strand.
CAAACACATAAACTGTGTTGCCCTTCCCCACTTTCAAATTCCCACTCTTTTCTTTTGTAGGAGTTCTCTCTCTCTTGCCAAGTTATTCCTTAGGGATTTTACCATAAACTCTAAGCTACTTTTCAAGGTATTTTTCTCAGGCAAAACCAATTCCATCTCTAAAAGAAATTGTGGTGCTGTTAAAATAATTTATTATTAATAGTTTATTGCATTAGTTAAAGTTCATTTGGTTTTAAATAAGAGAATCCAAATTAAGCTAAGGTGAGCAGGTTAAGGAATTTATTGTAAGGATACCATCATTTCTCTCTCTCTCTCTTTCTTTGTCTTTCATTTTTTTTTCACCTCAAGGATACTGTGGTTTTAATGGAACTTAAGGCAGAATGAAATAGCTAGACCTTAAGACTGTCTCATGGTAAAAATGCAGATGTTACATATGTAGTCTCTGAGGATCACAGGTAATTCCTATAGAAGGAGAAATTAGTGTGACCTGGCCAGACACCCCCAGAAATGTTTATGGTGTGACCTAATGAGTGTACAAGATTTTATTCCATTTGTAGAGATCAAGTTCGCGTGAGTCATTTACAATAGAACACTTCACAGACTCCAGAGCACATTCACATAAAACCATTTTCAATTTTTTAAAAAATGTAGTCATTATTTCACCTTATTTTTTTAAAAAATTTTTTACCATGCAAGTGAAATATGCATGAGACTGACAAGAAATAATTTTTTTTTTTTTTTTTTTTTTTTTAGACAGAGTCTCACCCTGTCACCCAGGCTGGAGTGCAGTGGCGTGTTCTCGGCTCACTGCAACCTCCACCTCCCAGGTTCAAGTGATTCTCCTGCCTCAGCCTCCCTGTGAGTAGCTGGGACTACAGGCGCACACTACCATGCCCGGCTAATTCTTCTATTTTTAGTAGAGATGGGGTTTCACCATATTGGCCAGGCTGGTCTCAAACTCCTGACCTCAGGTGATCCGCCCACCTCGGCCTCCCACACTGCTGGGATTACAGGCATAAGCCACCGTGCCCAGCCAATAATTTATTTTTAAACAAAATTGTGCCAGAAATTACCTTGACCTTTGAAGTGATCATCTTAAAAGCATCTTTATTCTAATGAAGTTGTCATTTTTGGCATTTTTTTGTACACGCACTCTGTGTCCCTACGAGGGAGGTAATAAATACTTCACTCCTACAAAACATGACATATATTATATTTTATCTTATTACAGATGAGAGAATTCAGGCTTAGAAAAGTAAAGTGACTCAGCTAAGATTTCCTATCTAGTAAATATTTGTAAGAATATTAATTCATGGTTCAGGCTCCAAAGATATTATTAAAAAGTGTTCTACTTCTAATAATAAAAAAAATAGTTCCTAAAAAACACAATGACCATATCTAAGCTGGTATTTTTTGTCCATATGAGAGAAAAGGCTTTAAAACATAGATCTGCCCTGGCCAGGCCTTTCATCTTGCAGATGTCGCAGTACCCTCTAGTGGCACAATGAAGACACAGACCTCGAGAGAAATTTTTTTCATTTGAAAACTGAGCCCTTCATTTTTAAGGGTAACAGGGGTTAATGTGGGACTTCCAATTAAAAATAAAATGACCAGATATGTTTAACATCTTTATTTCAAAAACTCCACTAAAATGGAGATAGCAAAATTAAAATATTATTAATCCACAGAGGCAAAGAGAACTGGAGATGATCCCATAAGGCAGTGGGCCCCAACTTTTTTGGCACCAGGAACCAGTTTCATGGAAGACAATTTTTCCACTTACCAGGGTGGGGGAGGAGAAGATGGTTTCAGGATGATTCTAGCACTTTACACTTATTGTGAACTTTATTTCTATTATTATTACATTGCAATATATAATGAAATAATTACACAACTCTCCCACTGTAGAATCAACTGGGAGCCCTGAACTTGTTTTCTTGCAACTAGACGGTCCCATCTGGGGATATTGCGAGACAGTGACACCCGAAGTGTGCCGCTTATGTCCAGTCTACATAATCTCATTTTGGTCGCTATCACTGCAAAAAATCCTGCTTCACAAAGACAGGGTGTTGGAAATGGAAGCAGGCTTTTCAGTGCTTTTGTGGCAATTTCAAGATATTCGGCCTTGACTTTAATCCGGAACGTATGGAGATTTGAAATTGTCTCAAACGCCCTTTGTGTGTGTGTGTGTGTGTGTGTGTGTGTGTGTGTGTGTGTGTGTGTGTGATGGGGTCTTGCTCTTGTTGCCCAGGCTGGAGTGCAATGGCGTGATCTCGGCTCACTGCAAGCTCCGCCTCCCGGGTTCAAGTGATTCTCCTGCCTCAGCCTCCCGAGTAGCTGGGACTACAGGCATGCACTACCATGCCCAGCAAATTTTTTGTATTTTTAGTAGAGACAGGGTTTCACTATGTTGGACAGGCTGGTCTTGAACTCCTGACCTTGTGATCCGCCCACCTCGGCCTCCCAGCATGTTAAACATACTTTTAAGGGCACCAAATACAACTGTGCAACTGAAGCACATCAACTCACTTTCCACTATAAAGCCTGCCACCAGATGCAGGTTGTCACTTCCCACTCACTGATAGGGTTTTGATACGAGTTTGCAAGCAGTTGATTTATTTGGTCTCTGTGCTGTAAATCCTCTCTGCTAATGTTAATCTGTATTTACAGCCACTCCCCAGCGCTAGCATCACAGCCTCGGCTCCACCTCAGATCACAGGCATTAGATTCTCATAAGAAGCTTGCAACCTAGATCCCTCACGTGTGTAATTTACAATAGAGTTTGTGCTCCTATGCGAATCTAATGCTGCTGCTGATCTGACGGGAGGTAGTGTTCAGGCAGTAATGTGAGCAATGAAGAGCGGCTGTAACTACAGATGAAGTTTCACTTGCTCACCGGCTGCTCACCTCCTACTGGACCACCTGGATCCTAACAGGCCACTGACTAGTACCAGTCCATCGCCCAGGGGCAGGGGACCCCAGCCATCGGTGACAAAAGACTTCAATAAAATCCTTAGAAGACAGGAAGAGGACAGATGGGGGTGACTGACCTAACAGGACAGAAGAAGTTAAGGCCAGTGGCCTGTATGAGGCACAGCTGATGAAACTGGTTTGTCTTGCTCTGAAGATCACCTACAGGGTTCAAAGCTTGAAGCCACTATATTCTGTGAGCAGACAGATGAGGCAATGGGCTGCAAACTGAGTGGATTCAAATTCCGTTCACCCAGCTACTCACATGGGAGTCAGGAGGTTCACACTCAGGACAGTTTCAGTCCCAAGGCTCTGAGCTCAGGGATAGCAGTCCCAGTATAGACCAGGAGAAGAGAGGATGGGAAATGAGGGAAGATCCACACACTGAATGGCAGGTCTTCAGCCTCTCATGGACTGCTCCCATGCTCCTTTCTGGAGAAGCCGAAGAGTACAACCATCACAAGTCCCTCAGGAAGAAGGCTGGCTAACTGGTGAGCCTTCTGTGAAGCCAGCCTTCAACAAACCCAGCCTTGTTTGTTTAGGTTTTTCTCTAAAATATGAATAGATGGTCAAAGTGAAGCGGCATCATATTCTGGGGTAAATACCCGAGATTTGTTGTCTCACGGCCATGGAAAACTAGGACACAGATACACCAAGAGTGAGCTTAAGGCGGAAGTTTAATAGGCGACAGAAAGAGAAGATCTCTCTCTGCTGCAGAGAGAGGGGTCCTGAATGGGTTTCCACTTCCATGGTGAAATGCAGAGCGTTTTATAGATGAGCTTGAGGAGGTGGTGTCTGTTTTACATATGGCATGAAAGATTGGTTGGACCAGGTGTGCCATTTTACTGGGTGTGAAAAGGTGGCTGCCCACCCTAATCTTTTATTATGCAGATGGTTCTCTACCTGGCGAGTGCCATGTTGCCTGTTTCTTTACTGTACACATGGTGACAAAGAAAAGGGAGGATGGAGCCTCCATGTTGAACATGCCTGGCCCCAGGTAGCCTTTTCCTCGTGGACAGCTGCCGTCATTCACCCGTGGAAGCTTCCAGCTTGCTCACCTATATTTGCAGCTCGATTTTTTCAGGCTGCTCTTTGTTAGAAAAGAACAATTTCTTGGGCTGCTTTTTGTCAGAAGGGAAGCATTGTCGAGGACTCTTTTACCATCACTATCCGCCCAAATAATTTCTTTCTGCCTTCCGTATCAAGAGGTCATCACACATTTCAGGAAAGTCATCACCATGAAAAATGGAAACCAAAACCAACTTAGTGGAAACAAAAGACGCAGGAGACGGTAAAAAGCTACACTTAAATCAGAAGAGCATGTTATGTAAAGATAAATAAGTAAATTTTAAAAAGTAAAGACCTCTTCAAAGTTTATAAAGATGGTAACTGAAGTAACAATTCATTATAAATTTTGAAGGCTAAAGTTGAAGAATTTTCATAAATGTTAAACATTTTTTTAAAAACTAGGCGTTGCTCTGAACCTACTCTGGTTCTAGGGATACCTGATTCTCCGGTTGTTTTTTGCTCAATTAAACTCTGTCAAATTTAATTTGTCTAAAGTTTTTCTTTTATCAGATGGTATTGTAAGGTTCTTGTATCGGTTTGAACCTCGAGAGCGCGCCAACAGACAACACGACAGTGTGGAGCAACATGCTGTTTTAATGAGAGCCTGGGTGCTGGCGGGCTGAGGCCTAAAACGGCGTCAGCCCCAAGTGAGGATGGGGCAAAGGTTTTATAGTCTCCTGTAAACAGGAAGTGTCCTGGTCTGACGTAACTGCAACGTTGTACCCAGATGGCCTCTTTCTCCATCTTCAGAGGTACTTGTCTTCCGGCTGGCTCTCTTCCTGCTTTTGCTATCTTGCTGGCGCATCTGCTCACGCACGCTGCTGATGCAAGCGGCCTTGCGCCCTGGGGCTGGGCCTGAGAAGGGAGGAGTTGCTCAACCCCTTAAGCTTTCAGGCCCTGGAGAGAATCTTACAATATCAGAAGTGGGATTCACATAGCGCTTCCCGTGACCCTCCAGGAATATCAAGTGACCCAGCAAGGTACTGTAACCACCCTATGGGTTCATTTTGCCCCCTGCCCAGGTAGAGACAATTTATCAAGACAGGAAAATTGCAATAGAGAAAGAGCTTAATTCATGCAGAGCTGGCTGAACAGAAGACTGGAGTTTTATTATTACCCAAATCAGTCTCCCGGAAAATTTGGAAGCCAGACTTTTTCAATGATAGTTGGGGAAAGAGAGGGGAGGTGACTAGGCAATAGGTTCTTGCTGCTGGTTGGTTGGGGGTACAATCACAGGGATGTTGGAGATGGTCCTCATGCACGCTGAGCCACTTCTGGATGGGGCCGCGGGAGTGGTTGGCAGGTCTGGGTGGAGCCATCAGTCATCAGACAAGCAAAAACCTGAAAAGACATCCGAAAAGGCTGATCGTGGGTTCTACAATAGTGATGTGATTTGCAGGAGTAATTGGGGAAGTTCCATGTCTTGTGACCTCCAGAATAATGGCAGGTAATCATTTATGTCTACACCTTAGCAGAAATCAGGCTCCTCCCATCCTCTTACCCTGGCGGTCTCTCATCAGCTTTACAAATGTGGTTGAGCTTTGGAGAAGAGCTATTATCATTTAAACTATAAACTAAATGTCTCCCAAAGTTAGCTTGGCCCATGCCCAGGAAGAATGAAGGGCAGTTTGAAGGGTACAGGCAAGATGTGGGATGGTTAAATTTTCTCACTGTTAGAATTTTTGCAGAGGGAGTTCAGTACTCGCCTGCCCACTGTGTCCATTGCTGTCTCACAACTGGGGATTACTGCTCAATTCTCTCTCAGATTCTGAAGCCCCGCTGATTTATGATTTGAGCTATCTGAGTTTGTTTGAGCAAATTTTTTTATCCAAACTGCATTCAGAAGTTGTGACAGAAACTGGACTGGGTCCAGGATCAGATTGGATCCAAGAATTAACTAGCCTGGATCCAGTTAGAGACCTCAGGTGTCTGATTGGGTCAGACAGGAACTGACAGTAAATGGCAAAATTGCGGTGGAGTGTGAACTTTGGCTTTTGGAAATTCGCAGGAATTTTTGTATTCTGTCACCTTTGTTTCTTTTTCTCACATGCTTAGTAGGGAAAATCATTGACAAAGTTGATCAAGGGGATCTGAGAGCCAAAGGCAAGATTCAATGTAAAATGAAACCCTTAATTTCTGAAGAGCTGAATACACTCCACCTTCCAGCTATGCCTACATTTACATGGATAAATATGAGTCCCTGGAAGCAGCAAACACTTACAAAACTGTCAAAATCTTACTAAAGATGATTTAAAATCACAGTGGAATATTCCAAGTGAACAATACCTCACTTTAAGAAGTGCATTTAGAAATGAGATTGTAAAATGTTTCTTACCAGACTTAAAGTCTGCGTTGATATTAATGCCTGACAGGTATCATGAGGCATATTTGACCCCGACTTCCCGGCAATGCCTGAAATAGTCTCTCAGGTTAAATTTTAAAACAGTCTTGGCTGAGGAGGAAGTCTATTCAGATGGTTGGGGGGGCCTTAGAATTTTATTTTTGCTTTACAGACCTGACACCTAATGAATGTGTGAATAGAAAACACCTAGATGCTCAGAAGAATGGGTAGTGAAATATTCGTATTCATATACCAATCAGAGAGTTTTGGCTGATCACAGGCTGCCAACTGTTCAAACCACATTCAAATAAGGTAAATGCTGAGCTGTAACCAATCTGTCTGCTTCTGTACCTCACTGCCTTTTCTGTACATCATTTTCCTTTTTCTCTTCATCAATTTTCTCTGACTACGCAGCAGCGCAGAGCTGCTCTGAACCTATTTTGTTTCTGTGTCTAATTTTTGAGTCTGATTTGTGAATCATTCTTTGCTCAGTTAAATTCTGTTAAATTAGGCCAGGTGCAGTGGCTCACACCTATAATCCTAGCACTTTAGGCACTGAGGCAGGCGGATCACTTGAGGTCAGGAGTTCAAGACCAGCCTGGGCAACATGGCAAAACCCCGTCTCTACTAAAAGTACAAGAATCAGCCAGGCATGGTGGTGAGCACCTGTAATCCCAGTCACGTGGGAGGCTGAGGCAGGAGAATCACTTGAACCCGGGAGGCGAGGTTGCAGTGAGCTGAGATTGCACCAAGGCCTTCCAGCCTGGGCGACAGAGTAAGACCCTGTCTCAAAAAATAAAGAAAGAAATAAAAATAAATTGACGAAGGATTGAGCATGCAAAATAGAATCAGCTTTTGACCCTGAATACCCTGCAGTGAGAATTCCCCTGTGGTTCTCAGGCTTCTGTAATTCCAGCAATACACTCTTCCTTCAGGTTCACTAAAATGCAGATATTGTAAGATAATGCTCATTTCTCACAGCTTGCTTCAATAATAATGATCATCATAGTAATTTACAACTTAATAGTCAACACTGCCTTTTTAACCCAGTCTGTGAGACTGAACCATAAACGTGACATTCTTTGAAGTAAAGCTCTCAATTAATATACCAGACTGCATAAACTCCAATAACTTACCTTTCCACGGAAAGAGAATAGGTGGGTATTCTCTCTGAAGACAAATGGTGGAGAGTAGACTCTCATCAAAGACCCTCTGGCAGTAATAAGTTGCATTCCAGAAGGTTCCAGAAGGTTCTGTGGAAGGCTGCAGTTTGGGATTGGTTCTCAGATGTCTGTCTAACTGCTTTCTAAGGATGAGGACTCCTGGTTTGTGCTTTAGCTACACCCACAGGAGCAACAGACTAAGACATTCCTCCACACAATAACAGAACCAGGGAGTGCAGACCATGTGGGTCTTACCTGGCCTGTTGTCCACCGTCTGGTTTTATCTTAGACCGAGCCTGCTGCAATCCATGTTGTGTATTGGCACTCCACTTAAGTTTCCTGTTTGTAAAAAGCCCCTTTCATTCGGTGATTCCTCAGGGCTTTAGGGGAACTTTCTGGAAACCAGGCAGAAGGAAATAATGGTGGTTTTGCTGAGGATGGGTGACGTTGGGCACGGGACCCAAATGAGTGGTTTGAGCAGAAAGTAGCCTCCACGCTGGACTAATGCAATAGTCCTGCCATGATTTCATTGCAGGGCTGTGACCGTCTACGACAAGCTGGCATCTTTCTTTAAAGAGGCACCTCTGGACCTGCAGCACCGGCTCCTCATGAAGGTGGGCAGCACGCACTCTCTGTTCAGGGCCTGGTAGGCCTCCCATCCTCAGCTGCCTTCTCTCCTGCTCGCCACTGCCCTGGCCTCTCCCCTTCTCACTGCAGACCTGGGAACCCACTCATCCAGGGGTTGGCAAACTAAGGCTACAGGCCAGTCTCCTGCTTTTGTAAATCAAGTTTCATTGGGACACAACACACTCATTAACTTCTGAGTTGTCTATAGCCGCCTTTGAGCTACAATAGCAGAATTGCGTTTTGCAACAGAGAACGTCTGGCCTGCAAAGCCTGAAGTATTTACTCTCTGGCCCCTTAAGAAATGTTTGTGGACCCCTGCACTGTCTTACTCTCCTGCCAATGGGTTCCCAGGCCTGTGGCAGGATCTGTGGACCTGTGTGTCCCCTGGGGTGTCTCATGGGGCTAAGGAAGGGACCTTTGTGCAGGTCCACATACCCTGAGGTGTGCCCCTGGGTAAGCTGGGGTGGTGTGGGAGGGCATCCTAGCACCCTCATCTTGAGTCCAGGGGATGATAAGACAGTAAGTCCCGTGGAGAAAAGGAATGAGTCAGTCTTGTTTGCTGTTGTAACCTTAGCACCCAGAAACAATATTAGAGAAAGCAAGCCCATGCCTCGATTGGCAGGGGTGGCCTGGTGCTGCTGATGCGGCTGGGCACCCCAACTGTTGGGAGCCTGCAGGCCTTGCCATGGCAGGAGATGCCCGTTCTGGGTCCTGGGCCTGCTCTGTGGCCTCTCACAGGGTTTTTTTCTCCTCCTTCAGCTCAGAACCTGAGGACCCAGCCATGGAGCGGTCAGCCTTCATGGAGCAGGATGCTGGGAGCGGGCTGGTGATGCGTCTCCATGAGCGGCCAGCCCTGCTGGTCAGCAGCACACCTGGACAGGTCTGCACGACCCCTGGGGCACTTGGGGCTGGTGTGACGGGCACCTGGCCAACCTGTGTTCTCCTTACCCCTACCAGTCCTGGATGCCCCCACCCCGCCACGGTCTCAATGAGAAGGGGAGGGTGTGTGAGCTGGAAGAGTGCTGTCTAGAAACAGGCCCCTGACATTCAATTCTCTTCTCATAGAGGACGAAGACTTCTCTATCCTGCTGGCAGCTTTAGAAAGTAGGTGTGTGGCTGCGGTGAGGAGCTCTGGGCTTGTCCGGGCCACTGAGCTGTGAGCTGCTTGCCTGGCCTGCAACATGTTCCTGTCCTGGGCTACTGGGTGGGGCAGCCTGGGGACAGTAGGGGTGGTGGAGGTGGGCCTCCCTGAATCCCCATTTGGGTCATTGAGTGACCAGGCCCTTAGGCTGAAATGCGCCCTCCAGGAGAGTATCTCACAGAGGCTGGGGGCCTCCCTGCCAGAGCAGTGCACTTTCTCCACCTGACCAGGGGACTCTGGCTATTGTTTATTTAAAAATTTTTTTCTGAATGGGCATGGTGGCTCACACCTGTAATCCTAGAACTCTGGGAGGCCGAGGCAGGCAGATCACCTGAGGTCCGGAGTTCGAGACCAACCTGGCCAACAGGGCGAAAAGTGTCTCTACTAAAAATACAAAACTTAGCTAGGTATGGTGGTGGGCACCTGTAATCCCAGCTACTTGGGAGGCTGACGCACTAGAATTACTTCAACCTGGGAGGCAGAGGTTGCAGTGAGCTGAGATCACGCCATTGCATTCCAGCCTGGGTGACAGAGCGAGAGTCTGTCAGGAAAAAAAAAAAAAAAAAATTCTATCAGAAATTCCATGTAGAATTGCTTCTTTTTTTAAACACAGAGTTTGAACAACTGACTCTTCACGGACGCAACCTTCCTTCTCTTGTCTGTGTGATAACAGGTACTGCCTGGGACCCTGGGTGTCTGTTTGGCTGGGGGATGGCAGAGGGGGAGGGGCACGCAGCCTTCACCCTGTGCTTCCCACGATCTTGTCTCCTTAATCCTCACTGCAGCTCTCTGCCATAGGGTCTTATACTGCTTGACACGTGGGAAACTGAGGCTCAGAGGGTTTCACAGCAGGGCAGGGAGCCCAGATGTGAATCTGTAGATACCAAGCTTTCTACTTTTTCAGTAGTTTCCAAGCATCTTTTCTGTTGTTGTTATGTCATTGGTGTCTTTTTTTTTTTTGAGACAAAGTCTCTGTCTCCCAGGCTGGGGTGCAGTGGTGCGATCTCAGCTCACTGCAACCTCTGCCTCTCACATTCAAGCAATTCTCATGCCTCAGCTTCCCGAGTAGCTGGGACTACAGGTGCCCACCACACCCAGCTTATTTTTGTATTTTTAGTAGAAACAGGGTTTCACCATGTTGGCCAGGCTGGTCTTGAACTCCTGACCTCAAGTGATCCACCCGCCTTGGCCTCCCAATATGCTGACATTATAAATATGAACCACTGTGCCCGGCCATGTCATTGGTGCCTTAACCAAGCCTCTTTTAATTTTTCAAATGGAAGAGCCCCTGTCCCACAGTTACTGCTGCTGAGCCCTTTCAAGATGACTCAGTGAGGAGGGAGAAAAGCGGAAGTGGTGTAGGAAGAGGCGGGGTCTGGGCCAGCTGCTGGTCCTGCTCTCCTCCCTCCTCTGGCCTCTAGGCTCCCAGGAGTGGTTTGGAAAGCGCGCCATGTGCTCTGGAGGCTGTGGCAGGGCAGGCGCGGATTGGAACCCGCACCATGTGCTCTGGGGGCTGCGGCAGGGCAGGGGGAGTCCTCGTGTCCCCTGTGCACAACACAGACAGAAGGCTGGGTCCACCCAGTGGGTGGTCAGGTGCCAGGCCAGTGCTTACCCCACCATGTTTGCAGCCCGAGGCCAGCTGGCTGCAGGTGCAGGGCTATGCATCAGGGGTCAGGGTGCACACACCCCTGCAGGTCTCGGGGCTCCTGGGTTGCTTCTGGAAGGGCCCAGATGGGGCCTGACTGGAGCTGCCGAGGGGTGGAGCTTCTGGGAAAAGGATCCCTCCTAGGGGGAGTGTCTTGGGCCTGGGGCCATGTGGCAGGGACAGAGACGGGTCCATGGCAGTGTCTGCTCTTCTCTGTGAAGGCAAAGGGCCTCTGAGGGAGTATTACAGCCGCCTCATCCACCAGAAGCATTTCCAGCACATCCAGGTCTGCACCCACTGGCTGGAGGGCCGAGGACTACCCCCGCTTCTAGGTGAGAGGCCAGCAGGAGGCTCAGGGAGGAGGCGGGGACTTAAGCAGGGGTAACAGGCATGGGCATGATGTACTTTTTCTGAAAAGGTGGCTCTGGAGGCCACTTGGGGACAGGACTTGGGCTCTGGCTTAACTCCCAGGAGGAGGCTACTTCCTGGTGTGCCAGCCCCTCCCTGCCAGGTGGCCCCAGAGGCCCTTTACCAAGGGGTTTGAGGAGGCCACGTCCTTTCAGCCTGCCATGCCCTCCATTCAGTCCTCTTCCTTCCTGCAGGAGGCCTGGGCCTGGGGTTGGGGCCACTGTTGCCCAGGTGTGGGAGGGCAGTGGCTTTGGGAGGGGGTCGGGGGTCGCTTGGCCTCTGTGTGTCCTACTGTCTTTGTCGGTGAGATGGGACAATGACAGCACACCCTCACAGGTGCTGGGGGCTGACAAATGTCAGGTCTGAGGACAGTGGGTGGCCCACTACGGGGCCAGTTCCCCTTCTCTATAGTCACCCTGCTCGTCTTCCATCAACTGGGTGCTCAAGACAGTGGAGTGGAGGATCCGCCTGTACAGCCTGTGCTCCAGCGTCATGCAGGCCACAGCTCTGTCCAGCCCTGACCCCGACTGCCCCTCCTGCCACCTCCATTTTATAGATGAGGAAACCGAGGCCCAAGGGCTTAGGGAACCCTGCTCTGAAGCACACAGTAGGGCTGCTGGGCTCAGACCCTCCCTCCCTGTGCTGAGCTACCCTCCTCCTGCTGCAAGCCCCCAATGCCCCGAGCCCACCCTGCTCACCGGCCTCTGCCCGAGTTCCCCTCATGGTGTCGGAGTGTGGGGCATCCTAGCTCTTCCCTGGTGCCCAGCTCTTTCACTTCCACTGGAGTCCTGCAGTGACAGCTCAGGGACATACAGGCCCAGGCTGGGGTGGGGGCTCACCTAGCTCGGTGGTGAACAGCTGGCACGTCTCTCAATTGCGGACAGCGAAGGCCACGTAGACCTCAGAAGCCCGCTGGTGCTCCCGGCAGGCAGCCAGCCTCCGCAGGACCCTGACCAGTGACACAATGGCTTCTGGGCAATACAGCACATCTACGGTGAAAGCTTCAGGTTACTGAAAGGGACCAGCGGACAGTTCCAGGTCACGCTGACCTCAGCAGCAGGGCGAGGCCAGAGAGGCAGCGATCATATGAGACTATTAGATGCCTTTTGACCATTTGAGCCATTAGATGGAAAGGCAATTACTTGGGTGAAAAAGGAGAACCCTTAGTAGAGAAAGCTGCAAAAGACCGAAGCAAAAGAAAAAAATCTCCAGACTCACTGGTGTTCCTTACAAAAACAGCTCTGGTTCTCGGCCTATCTAGAGGGCTTCAAATGACACAAAGCCTGACCCTGCTGTGAACTTCGTGTTTCAGGTGTCTGCTGATTGGTCTGCTGGCTTGCAGGGGTGGGCCTTTGTCCCTGGCCAGCGCTGGACCTGTGGATTTCAGGACTGTGACCCAGGACCACAGGCAGAGCTCTGTTCGACCAGAGAGGGGACTGAGTGTGCTGGCAGGGCTGAGGGGTTTTTGGTGGCCCAGCCAAACACCACCTTCTCTCAAGGGCCCTGTCCTCGTCCCAGAACTGGTTGTTTTCCTCCTGTGGTCTCTGAAGGACACAGGGCATGGCTCTGGGACAGAGCCATGTGGTGATGACTGTAATGGGAGTATGCCTGACTCCAACAAGAGGGCTGTGGCTTGAAGGTCACCTTAAGAGGCACCCCGTCCTTTGATTTCACCCTGGAGGCCCAGAGTAACTCTTCTGGAAGCCCCATCATGTCCATGCCTGACAGCGCCCATTGTTCCCTTTTCCCAGAGCCAAGAGCTGGGTAGAGCTGCAAGGACAGTGCCTGCACAGGGTGCTCAGGGCTGGGCATTACCTGCTGCAATGACAACATCTAGCTGGAAGGCAGAGCGCTGATGGACCGTCACTACGTCCCAGTCCAGCGCTGGGCCATTGTCACCCTAGGGCTGTCTAAGTTGGCAGTGATGTCTGCCTCTAATGAGAGGCCATTGAGAAGGACATTTCCTTGGAGCTGCTCGAGGACTCGGCTGTGACAGTCGCTGAAGATGTATGCCCGGGGGCGGCATATCTTGCAGATGGCCAGGCCTGTGAGGCTGGCACCACTGCCAAGCTCTAAGACAGACCTGGCGAGAGGAAAGGGGACCGTGTCTGCGACTGCACCAGGGTAAGCCCGCCTCGGTGCCCTGCCCTGCGCCCCAAGGTCACCTGTGAGTGAAGGCTGCCGGGTTCTCGATGGCCCATTCTGCAATGTAGAGGGCGGCATCCCATGTGACCAGACCCGTGGTGCTGTGGGAGATGATGGCCATGCTTTCGGAGAGTGTGACCGAGCCTCCCGAGGGCTGCACCAAGAGAGGGCGAGAGAGTCAGTCCAGCAATCAGAAGGCAAGTGGCTTAGAAGACAAATAGCCATCCACCACATGGCCAAATAAACCATGACAGGACCAATTGCCAGTCAGCAATGAGAAGCAGCTAACTGTTGACATGCCAAAAGCTTGCACGGGCCTCAAGGTTGTCATGCGGCATGAAAGACACTCATCTCAGGCCACACAGGATTCCATTTATCCAACATTCCTGAGACAACAGAATTCTGGTGATGGAGCAAAGGTCAGCGGTGGCCAGGGGCTGGGTGTGGCTATGAAGGGGTGGCTGCCTTGTGATGATTCAATATGCTATGTTTTTCCTTTGTGGTTTTCTGTATCTATGTTTTATCTTATTTTTTTTGAGCTCTGTCACCCAGGCTGGAATCAGTGGCACGATCTTGGCTCACTGCAACCTCCACCTCCTGGGTTCAAGCAATTCTCCTGCCTCAGCTGCCCAAGTAGCTGCGACTACAGGCATGCGCCACCATGTCCGGCTAATTTTTGTACTTTTTTTTGAGACAGAGTTTCGTTCTTGTTGCCCAGGCTGGAGTGCAATGCCGCAATCTCGGCTCACTACAACCCCCACCTCCTGGGTTCAAGAGATTCTCCTGCCTCAGCCTCCCGAGTAGCTGGGATTACAGGCGCCCACTGCCACACCCCGCTAATTTTTGTATTTTTAGTAAAGATGGAGTTGCACCATGTTGGCCAGGCTGGTCTCAAACTCCTGACCTCAGGTGATCCACCCGCCTCAGCCTCCCATAGTGCTGGGATTACAGGCATGAGCCACCATGCCCGGCCCAATTTTTGTATTTTTAGTAGAGACACGGTTTCACCATATTGGCCAGGCTGGTCTCGAACTTCTGACCTCGGATCCACCCGCCTCAGCCTCCCAAAGTGCTGGGATTACAGGTTTGAGCCACTGCGCCTGGCCCTGTCAAGTATTCTTTGAGGACTGGGCACCAGGTCCTTGTGAAGCAGGTAGTGTGTGTTACCTATTGGACAAATGCCCAACAACCCCACAACACATGTTATTGTTGTTGAAGTGCTTGATTTACAGACAGGGAAACCGAGGCTAAAGAAGGTTAACGGACCTCATGTCTAAGACTGCAGAATGGGTGAGTCAGGATTTGAACCCACACCCATGTTTTCACTTTGTCTGTGCAGGAAGGGTATCTGGGCTGTGAGGGGGAGGAGGGTGCCCTTCTCATACCAACAAATAGCTCCGGTGGCCCTGGGGGGACTCCTTGGCCATCAGGGTCTCCGCCAGCGCCTCGTACAGCTCATCCAAAGGCTCCGTGTGGACAGCCTCGTGCTGGGGGCAGACAGAGTGAGAGCTTGTTTGCTTTTGTTCTAATCTGTAAAAATGGCCAGATGATTTTCACCAAGTTTGCAGGGGAGATTTGGGATGGAATGGTGTGATACCAGCCAGCTTGCATATAAAATATTCACTTTGTTGGGCGTGGTGGTGTGTGCTGAATAGCCCCAGCTACTCCAGAGGCTGACATGGTAGGACTGCTTGAGCCCAGGAGTTTGAGGACAGCCTGGGCAACAGAGATCTTGTCTCTAAAAAGAAATAATTCCACTTGGTAGGGAAACGTGGATGGGAGGGCCTTCAGCAAGAGGTGTTCAGAGGGTAGGGTTAGGTGTAGTCTAGGGCAGGAGACAAGGATTCCGTGAGAGCTGCCACATGACCATGACAGAGAGCTCTGTGTTTGGATCAAACACAGAGAGGAGGAAAACAAAAGGTGCTTTTAAGTGAGCCCAGGCAGAACTGTGAGGGCGGCCCATGCTGCAGGCTGTGGCTGTCAGCAGGCTGCTTCTCCACAGCTGGCCCAGTCCTAGGATTCACAGGGCAGCAGCAGGGTACACTGGGTGACTGCTGCCCTCTCGTGGTGGCACAGGGCAGACCTGCTGGTGACCAGAGATGCACCCTTTTGGGGAGAACTAGGGAGAAAGCAGGTATTGGAGAAGCAGGGGATTGTTTATTTGTTAAAAGTGTGGCCCTTTCACTCAGCAGGTCTGCTACTGCCTACTAAGGAATGGCCTCTCGACATCCTCATGTCAAACCCTGCATGTTCGGGCCCATCTTTAAAATCCATCCTAGGCCAGGTGCGGTGGCTCATGCCTGTAATCCCAGCACTTTGGGAGGCCGAGGCAGGCGGATCACCTGAGGTCAGGAGTTCGAGACGAGCCTGGCCAACATGGTGAAACTCTGTCTCTACTAAAAATACAAAAACTAACCAGACATGGTGGCATGTGCCTGTAGTCCCAGCTTCTTAGCAGGCTAGGCACGAGAACTGCTTGAACCCAGGAGGCAGAGGTTTCAGTGAGCTGAGATTGTGCCACGGTAATCCAGCCTGGGCAACACAGTGAGACTCTGTCTCAAAAAAATAAATAAATAAATAAATAAATAAGTAAAAAATAAAATCCATCCTATATCAGTCAGGAAAGAGCTCATTCCAGCAGGATCAATGCGGAGAATTCACCAGAGGAACTAGTTCCAAAGGTATGGCAAGAGCTAAAACTTCCAACAGGGGCCCGTGGGGCAACCCAGAGACGGACAAGAGCAGGAAACTCCAAACCCTTTGGTGGGCAGGACAGAGGGTGTGGGTGATGGTTCCAGTGCTGTGGGCTGGTCCAGCCTGGTAGGAATGAGAATCCATATGCTAGGAGCTGGGGCCCCAGAGAAGCAGCTGCTGTGGAAACCCCAGAGGGCAGACTCAGGGAGAGACGCTGGCCTCCCCTTATTCCCACCCTGCACTGTCTCCCATGGGTCACACACACCTGCAGCCAGTTGCCTGGGGAGGCCCCTGCCATGCCGGGGTTTGCAAAGCAGGCCCAGGGCCTGGGAAGGACGGGGTGTGCAGCACGCCGGTGGCTATGCTGTCCAGCTACTGGGCGGACACTGCCCATAACTGACCTTTTTGATGAGTTCTGAGAGAAAGCACCAGGCATACTTGACTGACGGCGGGTGCTTCACACACACAGGATGCCTCACAGTCTACGGCAAAGGACAGAACGTTGGTTGCTCGAGAGCCCATCTTAAGTCTCCTATGAGCTTCAAGCCAACACAGCAGAGGGCAAACTCCAGGCTACCTGATCCCTCAGCAAAGATGCAGATGGACACAGCGTTCTGGCCCCACGCATCTGAAGTTTGTCTTAAGATATAAGCCGTTTCCTAAAGATGCTTCCACTGCAGTGGCACAGGCTATGGCAGCATTTCTAACGCCCATTCTGAGCAGGAACACAGGGCATGTGGGCCCAAACCACCTCCCTCCCAGGGGAGCCAGTGTGAACCAGGGTTTGCAGTAAGGACAGTCACCAACTATCTGGCTTTATGGAAGAGGCGGGGAGGCCCACTCAGCAACTGCTCTCTGGGAGCGTGTGTCCCTGGGGACAGGATGGAGGGGAGGGGACGCTCAGGGTGACTCCAGCTAAAGCCGAGAGAAGCCAAGTGCAGGATGAGCAAGTTCCAGGCAGTGGGAACAGCCTGTGCAAGCTCTGAGGTGGCCACGGGCTGGCACTTGGAAAGGAGGGCAGAGGGACTGGTGCAGCAGGAGGGGGGACGGCGGGAAAACAGGAGACTGGAGGGAGAGGGAGGAGACGGTCCGCAGCGCCTGCTGCCTGGGAGGGATGCAGATTCTGCCCAAGGGCAGCAAAGTACCCCACGCAACACACAGACTCTTCATGCTGGTGCTGCTTTTTCATTTGTTCTGACACAGAGTCTCGCTCTGTTGCCCAGGCTGGAGTGCAGTGGCCCGATCTTGGCTCACTGCAGCCTCCGCCTCCTGGGTTCAAGCGATTCTCCTGCCTCAGCCTCCGGAGTAGCTGGGACTATAGGCGTGCACCACCACGCCCAGCTAATTTTTTTATTTTTAGTAGAGCTGGGTTTTTGCCATATTGGCTAGGCTGGTCTTGAACTCCTGACCTTAGGTGATCCGTCCATCTCAGCCTCCCAAAGACCTGGGATTACAGGTGTGAGCCAGTGCACCCAGCCTTGTGCTGGGTTTTAAAGCAGCTCTCCCTACATCTCATGCTTCACCACCTACGAGAGTGAGGCTCAGGGTGAAACTCAGAGCAAGGTGCGAGATAACTTCAGGTATCTCCATCCTCGAAGCCCTGACCTACTGTATTGCCCCGAAAGTCTTCCCTGCTGTGGCTGCATCTTTTCCACGTGGATAATCTTGGTTCACCTCTAGCACAGGAATTCTTCACCGGGGCTCCTAGGATGGGCTGGGTGGGTGGGCGTGGAGGATGTCTGCCTCCCCTGAGTTTGTATGGAAAATGTATTCTGGTGCACTTCTTTCTGGGAGGGAGTCTATTGCTTTGTCTTTTCAGAAGGGCTCATGGCCCTTCGAAGGTGAAGACCCAGGATGCAGGGTGATCTGCACTTGGCCCTCAAGGCCAAGGTCAGCCTGTGGCTGGGCCGCGTGGTGATCCTGGCTCTCACTTGCATGCAGATGCACTTGAGTCCAAACCCCACCCTGGGCAAAGCAAGGGCCCATTTAGGTCTAGAAGAGACAGGAGTGGGCGGGACAGGCCTCATGAATGCAAAAAAGAAAGTCTCTGAGCATCTACCAAATGCTAGAAGCTGTTTTGCACCTGTCATCTCTGTTTTTGCTGTGGATGGTTTAAAAAACATTCCCTAGATTTCCCCCCCTTGCAGATTTTTGTATATTCTGATGTCTTTGTCTAAGTCTTAGATAGAAAACGAAACCGTAGGAGCTGTCGGAGGTGCTGACACCCTCCTGAAGTGCTGACTCAATGGTTTTGTTCTTTGAAGAGGGCTGTTTTTAAAGGGTACAAGCACACCTCTGCTGCTTCTCTCAGGTCTTCCGGAGAGATTCAGGAGGCAGGATCATGAGTCCCAGGGACTCTGGGATTCTTACCTTCTGCAAAATATCCTGCAGCAGCTCAGAATCTGATGAGTCTCTTAACTTTGCCTCTAAGCTCTGTGTGGATGGGAGAGAGAGAAATCTCAAGGGCCCATTCACAGGAACATTAAACACGCAATAGAATGTGTTGGCAAAGCTCTATGTGATCCCTCCCTGGGGACGTGGAGCCAGTTGGAAGTGGAAGCCACAACAGCTAAAAGCCTGACCTTCAGATGTCGCAGGGTGCACCTGGATGAGTCACAGGAAGAAGGCTGACTCTTGGTCGCATTAGTCCTGGCTACTCAGCTGCCACCCAGGTCATGGGCCAGCTCCCTGGTTACACTGGTCAGCCAGGAATTACCAGGGCAGCCATGGCACCAAGGTTTGATGGGCTTGCCATCTGAGTTTAAGTGGAAATGCAGAATGTGCCCATACCAGCCTGGGTTACATTGTCCTCTTACAGGGGCCTCAAGCCCAGCAGTGAGCTTTGGCTCCCGAGTTAGGCAGACTGTCTCGGCTGGTATGTGACACATGGCAAGGCACTTCATTGCTTCAGAGCTCCTTCTATGCCATAAAAGGCCCTACAAGGCCTGCTGCTAATCCCCCTCTCTGGACTATTCTCCCTCATCCCTGGCCCACACTGCTCACTCCACTCCAGCCACACTGGCTACCTTGGTGTTTTTCCTCAACCACAGCTGGCTTGTTTCCACCACAGGGCCTTTGCATATCCTGTTCCCCAAACCCTTCCCATGGCTGGCTGCTTCACCACTCAGGCCCCAGTTCAAATGCCACCTCTTTGGGGAAGGCTTCCCTGATTCCCCGACTTTGGTGACTCTTCTCCCCAGTTGCTCCATTCACCATTCCCCTGTTTTCTTGGCTTTAAAGCCACTCTCATCTGGTCTTTTCTTGTTTATTCATTTATTTGTTTATTCTCTGTCTCTCCCATGCAAGCAGAGCCTCATCTATCATGGGTACTGCTGATCCATGGTGCTTGGCTCACAGAAGGCATTTATTAAACATTTTGAGACTGAGTAAAAACACTAGCTAACACCGACATACATTTACCATGAGCCAGGCACTGATCCACAGGCTTTTGTACTCAACGCTGACAACAACCCTAAGAGGTAGGTATCATTATATCAACCATTTTATGAATAAGAAAACAACAGCACAGAGAGATGCAGTCACTTGCCCAAGGTCACACAGGGCCAGGGGTTGGGCCAGGATTCGAAGCAGGCAGGCTGTCTCCTGGGTCTGAACTCTCAACTACTACACCCTAATCAAACAATCCCTCTGGTCAAATGTGAGTGATAATAATAGTACCCACCTCGTGGGTGTTGAGGGTGAGCCCAAGTTAGCATTCAGCGTGGGCATGTGAACAATTATAGTCAATATTGAATGGAGACCTATGATGCTTTTATGAAGGTTTCTATTTTGGGTTAAAAATGCATAAATTTCTCCTGACCAGAAATGATCTCTGAGTGCTAAATATTTTATATCAATGGAATAACGCAAATGATTAAGCAACACCCCATAAAATGGGGCAGACCCAGGGAGGAATATATATCCAAACTGACTCATCCCAGTGAGCTCACTGCACATGAATTACAAATGGAACGGGGTGCATTAAGCCCCTCTGCTGGCAGAAGGGAGGCTGCTGCCTGACATGTGCCTGTGCTGAGAATGGCAGGTCCCCAGGGAGAGGAGAGGCCAGCCCCTTCTCTATCTCTTCCATCACAGGCGTGAAAGCCTCAGCGCATGAGCTGATTCTATGTAGTGCTCGACATACAGATGAGAACACTGAGGCCCTAGGGACAGCCTTTGACCTGGTCACCGCGCTCAGGAGGAGGTGGTTACCCGCGGGCCTGAGGGCGCTGACTTTTTAGAATGGGCGAGGGCAGATGTGTCCCAGTGACCAGAACGATTACTGCCTTTAAAAAGTCATGAAAATGATCGTGAACTGTACCCCACACCGAGCGCGCGTCTGCACCCCAAGACTGTGGAGACGCCCCCAGCTTCCGCCGCCAGCTCGCGGGGCAGGATGGGTGAGAGCGACTCTGGCCAGGCCCCAGGGACGGGGACCGGGTCTCGCGGCCCTGACCAGGGAGAGCCCAGGAACTCACGTGGCAGGAGCGCCGGGGGTTTCAGCACGGAGACCCATCCCGTCTGCCCCTGGACTCCGCGAGCCCCGCGGGCCTCTCCGCTCGCCCCGCCGCCCACCTGCCAGGGGAAGGAGCGCAGTGTGCGCGCCACTAGGAAGCGGCTCTCAAAACCCTGCAGCAAGAGTTTGGTACCCGCGTTCTCCTCGGGCGTCATGATGTGGGCGGGGCCGCAGCGTTGCCAGGAGATCGGGCGGAAGCCGGGCCTGGATTGAAAAGGGAGCGGGCCCAGGGTAGTGCGCGGGGGCAGAGAGGGGGCGGGGCCTGGGGGCAGGGTCAGGAGGAGCGTCCTGGGGGCGGACTCTAGGGCGGGGCCAAGATGAGCTTATAGGAGGGCGGGGCCTGGGGTGGGGCCAGGATGAGCGTCATGAGGGCGAGGCCTGGGGTAGGGCCAGGATAAGCGTCGTTGGGGCAGGTGCTGGGTAGAGTCCAGGTTGGCGGGTCCTGGGGCGGGGTCAGCATAGGGCGATCCTGGAAGCTGGTCTTCGGAAGCGTCCAGGTTGGTCGCGTCCTGGAGGCGCTGCCTTGCGTGGGGGCAGGATAAGAGTCCTGGAGGCGGGCATTAGGGCGGGGATAAACGCCATTGGGTTCAGGAGGCGGGACTCGGAGCAGAGCCCAGGAGACAGGTCCTAGGGCGGGGCTAAGGCCAGACCCAGAGAAGGGCTCAGGAGGCGGGGCCGGGGCAGGGCGTTGACTATGTCGTACCACATGGCCAGGCGGTGCGCGGACTCTGGGAGGCGGAACTTAGGACGGGCCCACTTGGGGAGGGGTCCAGGGTCCGGGAGGCGGGGCCGAGTCCGGGCTGCAGGCTGCGCTCAGGAGGCGGGCCCTGGGAGGCGGAGCTTAGGGAGGGGCCGGTGTCGGGAGGGACCCAGGGACTGGGAGGCCGGTCGGGGCTGGGCTCAGGGGCCGAGACCTAGCTGGGCTTGGGGCGGGGCCGAGACGGAGCGAGGGGTCCAGGGCGTGGGAAACGGGGAGGGGTTTGAGGAGGGGATCGGAATGTGGCTCAAGTTCGGGAGGCGTTACCTGCGGAGGGTTTGAGGCAGGTCCAGGAGCGAGCCCACGGTCCGCCGACGCGGGACCAGGGGCGGGCCCCAGGATCCGGAGCTTCGGGCGGGGCCGAGTCCGGGTTTGGGGCCCGGAAGGCGGGGCCAGTTAGGGCGAGGGTCCCTGGGATCGTCAGGTCAGGCCTTGGGCTAACGTAGGCACTCTCGCAGTTCCTCCGCCTTCAGGAAAGTCTTTTTAGCAGGGGCCTTACGGGTTCGCGCTTTGGTCCTGGAGGCCTTATCCTAGCCTCCTCTGTATCAGCGCCACCAGTCTGGGGCCCGAAAGGAGGGAGCTTTCCCTCTGTCCCCCAGCCTTTGGACTGTCACCAAACAAGCCATTCGTTCACCAAATACTTATTAAGCGCCTACCATGTGCCTGACAAGGGAGATGTAACGGTGAGAAAAACTAGGTGTGGTCCATGTCCTCCAGGGGCTCAGGGGCTCGTGGAAGAAGTGGACATTGAAGTATTTATCACACAAATGAGTATAAAAGTACAATAGCGATATCTGCCACGAAGGTGAGCAGACAGAGCTAGCGGGGCTTGCAGGAGGAGTTTTGATCTTGCAGGGACAGGAAGGAGGAGTTAGCTCCTGCGGGGTGGGATTGGGGGTGGTGGTGATATAGACGTGGGGACAGACTGGAAAACAACAAAAATATAATTATTTTAGTTCAAAGTTATTGTGTCTTGAGTTGAAAGGCAGGACAGTTAGCAACACAGTTCAGATTTCAGTACTGCCCCTGAAATCTGAACTGTGTACAAAGTCTAAAACGTTTACCGTAGCAAATTCCTCATAAAACTCCATTTGGAAGAGTCCCGAGAGCTAATTTGTTAAGTATACTTGCAGAAGGTAGATGAGGAGACAGATAAAATCTTATTACCTCTTTCAGATGAGAGGCACTTGAGCCCTGCTCAGCTATGAGAATAAGAGAGGGGGAATTAATTCTAATTGAATACACTTGTTCTCTTATAGCTGTTGTTCCCCACCAGAACCAAATGAGCGCAAGATCTGACAAAGAAAAAAAGAAGTTCATCTTTTATTCCCCCAAACCCTTTCATTTAAATCAAGAGGGTGGGATGTGGTTATTGCTGTGTTTTTAGGCAGAATCAACGGTTTCTGGGTCTGAGAAGTTGCATACACACTCTCAGTCCCTGTATCCTGAGATGGAGTCACCTGAGGATCCACAGCAAGTCCTAACCAGGGATGGGTCTGGGTGATTAAGGAAGGTTGGCTTCAGAACTGGGCCAGAGGCACTGCTTTGCTTTTGCTGTTTTGATCAGCTCTGTGCCTGCATGAGACAAGGAAAATCAATGGGAACAGGTTAGTTATAAATCCTGGGCTTATTTTATTAACTCACATAATAGCTATTAATTGTCTTCCTCCAAGGAGAAAAAGGGCATATACGGTCAATGCCATAGTAAGTAACACTGTATTATGTTATACTAAAATATTAATCTAGGTTCGTTCAGTCTTTCCTGATTCCATAGATTGGAAGCGGATTGAAGAAGGACGCTAGTGGACCACAGACCTGAGCCATGCACACAGAAGAAATCTTTTTTTCTTTTTTTTTTTTTTTTTGGAGACGGAGTTTTGCTCTCTTGTTGCCCAGGCTGGAGTGCAATGGCGCGATCTCGGCTCACTGCAACCTCCACCTCCCAGGTTCAAGCGATTCTCCTGCCTCAGCCTCCTGAGTAGCTGGGATTACAGGCATGAGCCACTATGCCGGGCCACTTTTGTATTTTTAGTAGAGACAGGGTTTGAACACGTTGGCCAGGCTGGTCTCAAATTCCTGACCTCAGGTGATCCACCCGCCTCTGCCTCCCAAAGTGCTGGGATTACAGGCGTGACCCACCGCGCCTGGCCAGAAGAAATCTTTATCTTGGTGTGCAGTCTCCGGAGAGGGACAAATGTCATCTCTCTTGGATTTGAATCTGGAAGGATCAAGGCACTGAAGGGATTTTTTTGTTTCAGACAGTCTCCCTCTGTCGCCAGGCTGGAGTGCAGCGGCGCGATCTCAGCTCACGGCAACCTCTGCCTCCCGGGCTCAAGCGATCCTCCTGCCTCAGCCTCTCGAGTAGCTGGGACTACAGGCACGCGTCACCACGCCCAGCTAATTTTTGTATTTTTAGTAGAGACAGGGTTTTACCATGTTAGCCAGGATGGGCTCAATCTCTTGACATCATGATCCACCTGCCTTGGCCTCCCAAAGGGCTGGGATTACAGGCGTGAGCCACCACGCCCGGCCTCACTGAAGGGATTTTTTTAATGTCACGTGGCTCTCACAGGTGCGGTGTGTTTGGGTGCAAGTGAAGATTACGACTGACGCTTAAAAACAAACGTAAAATTCCAGGTGGTGTTGCTATGCGGAGCAGCATTAGGACAATCTGAGTGGTTTCAGTTGCAAGAGTGTGCGTGTACGTGCAAGTGCTACAGTCAAGATTCAACTTCTGGCTTTGAGGGTCTCTTTAATAACAGTAATAGCAACCTAAGTCAGTTTAAGAGTATGGAATGGTTGCCTTTTAGAAGTTAAGCTATGGGCATGGAAGTTCAATCAGTACTTTGAAGTTTTTCCTTTATCTCTCCTATGGTTAATGGTTTCTGCAGAAAAGGACCAATTGATTTCTTTCTAAAATGTTGCTTCAGGGTGTAGAGTCCTTTATAGGTCATGTGTCAACTTACAGAAAATTTTTATAGTTCAAATATAAATTACGTTCAATGTAGACTTTGTAATAGAATTTAAGGTTAAGTAAAGTTTCCACTTTCCTTAGGCTGTTTGCAGTGCCCAGCAGGCCCCATCATATCGAGGTGGAAGTTCTGTTAAAGGAGGAGATTGATCAGGGATGGGCAGAATAAGGAATATGCGCAGCTCAGGCTAATGATACAATGATTGAGATGTAGAAAGAGGGTCAGGCACGGGATAACGCCTGTAATCCCAGTGCTTTGGGAGGCCAAGGCAAGAGGATCGCTTGAGGTCAGACCAGCCTGGTCAACAGAGTGAGACCTAACCTGTACAAAAAAAAAAAAACAACACAAAAAAAACAAAAAAATTAGTTGGGCATGATGGTGTGCACCTGTAGTCTCAGACACTTGGAAGGCTGAGGTCAGGGGATCCCTTGAGCCCAGGAGTTTGAGGCTGCAGTGAGCTATAATCACATAACTGTACTCCAGCCTGGGTGACAGGGTGAGGCCCTGACTCAAAAAAAAATTGAGTCAGGGAAAAAATTTGAAATCTTAATCCTCAGTACCCAGGAATGTGACCTTATTTGGAAATGTGGTCTTTCTAAATGTAATCAAGTAACGATGAGTCATCCTGGATTGGGGGCTGCTGGTGAGGGGGCAGATGCAGTGACTGGTGTCCTTATAAAAGAAGAGAATGAGGGCTGGGGATGGTGGCTCATGCCTGTAATCTCAGCACACTTTGGGAGGGTGAGGTGGGGGGATCACTTGAAGTCAGGAGTTCGAGACCAGCCTGGCCAATAATAACAATAAAAAAGCCATTTTAGGTTCCAATCCACTGAAAGAAAACTGTCCCTTAGTTAATGTCATGTTTATTGGATCCATGAAGTCTTTGAAAATTTAAACTACATGGACACTGCTGTCTGTGGTGGTGGAGAGAATACCAAGGATTTAAAGGTCTTTAAGAAAGAGAATGTAGAAATCGTACCCATTGGAAACAGCAAGATGATGAAAATCGTACTGACAGTAATAATAAGCTCAAATATATAGAGCTTACTATGTATCATGAATTGCTCTGAATGCTTCATAAATATACGTTCCCTCCTTTACCCTCATGGCAGCCCAGTAAAGTCGCCATTCCCCATTTTACAGCTGGGGAAACTGAGTTACAGAGCTTTTCTGCACTGAGTCATCAGGAGCAAATGCTAGATCAGGTAATTGAACCCAAGCAATCTGGTTCCAGAGCCAAATAGATGTATTTTTTATGGTATAAAACATATACATACATTTTTAGGGGAAGGGTGGGGTAGGATGGGATGAGGATTCTGGGTAATTGCTTGGTAAATGCCAAATACCTTTCTTGTCTGTCCCTCTTTTCAAATGATAAAGTAATGTCAATTGCAGCACTTTTTTTTTTTTTTTTGAGACAAGGTCTAGCTGGAGTACAGTGATGCAGTCATAGCCCACTGCAGCCTCAAATTCCTGGGCTCAAGCGATCCACCCACATCAGCTTCCCAAGTAGTTGGGACTACAGGCCCACACTACTATGCCCAGCTAATTATTTTAATTTTTGTAGAGATGGCAGGTGGCTGTGTGGGGGTGTCTCTCTATGTTGCCCGGGCTGGTCTCGAACTCTTGACCTCAAGTGAACCTCCTGCCTCAGCCCCACAAAGCTCTGGAGTTATAGGTGTGAGCCACTGTGGCTGGCTACAATACTATTTATTTATATTTTGGACCAACAGATATTCTAGCATATAAGAAATGTGATGCTCTCTGTACACTGAAGAGTTGGTCTAATATTTGTCCTGGTGGATACAGAAATTGCCTGTCTGCTCCGCTCTGGGTGAAGAAACAAGTCCGACTGTCTCTGAGGCTATGGAGCAGTCCATCAAGAATGAAAGCCCTCTGCCAGGCACGTTGCCTCACACCTGTAATACCAGCACTTTGGGAGGCCGAGGCAGGTGGATCACTTGAAGTCAGGAGTTCGACACCAGCATGGCCAACATGGTGAAACCTTGTTTCTACAAAAAATAGAAAAATTAGCTGGGCCGGGTGATACATGTCTGTAATCCCAGCTACTCAGGAGTCTGAGGCAGGAGAATCACTTGAACTTGGGAGGCAGAGGTTGCAGTGGGGAGCTGAGATCACACCACTGCATTCCGGCCTGGGCGACAGAGCGAGACTCTCTCAAGAAAAAAAAAAAAAGAATGAATATCCTCATGATGGCCTCAAGCACATTGGTCCCTGAAGAGAGTCAAGGAAGGCCCACTTTACTCTGCACTGCAAAGCAGGCAGGTGGACAGGAATCTGATAAGTGGATTCCGTGAGAGGCATTGACCCAAAGGATTTTCTCCCTAATGGTCAGTTCAGCAGAATATTAAACTCAGCACAGCATCCTGTTCCCTGAAACCATCTGTTTTGTCAGTGGGGAATGTTCTTGTCTCGTTAAATGTCCTCATGCTACTGTCAAGATATCCTGTTACAAAATGTCATAAACCAGGTTTACAAATAGGCCAGGTGATTGTGGAATTTCTCCTTGGCAAGGCCTTAGCTACGGGCGTGCGATTGGGGTGCAATAATCACTGTGTTCCGGGCCACTTGAGGGATAAAATATACCTTAGGTGATAAACTGTTGTATTTTAATGTGAATATTTCCACCAACATTAGACAGTAACCTCATGAGTTTTCTGTTACACTGTGGAGTTGCAACAAGCTAACAAGCAAGTTGCAAACATAATGATCGCATTTGGCTCCTATTCACAGCAAGGGTTCTTCAAGCTGTACCTGGGACAGTCTTCCCTCACATGAGGTTTATAGCATCACTTATTTCATTATTTATTTATTTTTTGAGACAGTGTTTTGCTCTGTCGCCCAGGCTGGAGAGCAATGGCGCGATCTTGGCTCACTGCAACCTCCGCCCCCCCGGGGTTCAAGCGATTCTCCTGTCTCAGCCTCCCGAGTAGCTGGGATTATAGGCACCCGGCACCACACCTGGCTAATTTTTGTATTTTTAGTAGAGACGGGGTTTCACCATGTTGACCGGGCTGGTCTCAAACTCCTGACTTCAGGTGATCCACCTGCCTCAGCCTCCCAAAGTGTTGGGATTACTGGTGTGAGCCACAGCGCCCGGCTATAGCATCATTTAAACTGTGTTTCTGCCATGAATTGTTAGTTGGTAGTTAACAAAAAATAGACCACCTCATTTATGTCTCACAGTTAGCATTGGTTTTTGTGTTTTCTTTAGGCTCGTTTTTTAATTGTTTTTAAAATTGTGCAACAGGGTCTTGTTCTGTTGCTGAGGCCAGAGTGCAGTGACACAATCTTGGCTCGCTGCAGCCTCAACCTCCTGGGCTCAAGCAATCCTCCCACTTTAGCCTCCTGAGTAGCTGGGACTACAAACACGAGCCACCACCGCTGGCTAATTTTTAATTTTTAATTTTTTTTTTTGAAATGGAGTTTCACTCTGTCGCCCAGCAGGTTGGAGTGCAGTGGCGTAATCTCGGCTTACTGTAACCTCCACCTCTCGGGTTCAAGCGATTCTTCTGCCTCAGCCTCGGCACCCACCACCATGCCTGGCTAATTTTTAAAAAACATTTTTAGTAGCGACAGGGTTTCACCATGTTGGCCAGTCTGCTCTTGAACTCCTGACCTCAAGTGATCCACCTACCTCAGCCTCCCAAATTGCTGGGATTACAGGCGTGAGCCACCACGCCAAGCCTAAGTTTTAAATTTTTTGTAGAGACCAGGTTTTGCCATGTTGTCTAGGCTGGTCTTGAACTCCTGGGCTCAAGTGATCCTCCTGCCTTGGCCTCTCAAAATGCTAGGATTACAGGCATGGCCCTTATGTCTGGCCCTTAAAGCTGCTTTTTAATAACAGCTTTATTGAAAGATAATTCATATACCATACAATTTACCCATTTAAAGTGTATGATTTGGCCGGGCATGGTGGCTCACACTTGCAATCCCAGCACTTTGGGAGGCTGAGGTGGGAGGATCGCTTGAACCCAAGAGTTTGAGATGAACCCCTAGCAACATGGCAAAACCCTGTCTCGACCAAAAATACAAAAAATTAGCTGGGCATGGTGTGTGTGTCTGTAGTCCCAGCTACTCAGGAGGCTGAAGTGGGAGGATGGTTTGAGCCCGGGAGGTGGGTGGTGGAGTGAGTTGAGATTGCACCACTGCACTCCAGCCTGGGCAACAGAGCCAGAACCTGTCTCTAAATAAATAAATAAAGTGTAAAATTCAGTGGTTTTTAATATATTCACAGAGTTCTGCAGCCATCATCACCATCAATTTTAGAAATTTTAATTACCCCAGAAGAAACCCTGTATCCATTAGCAGTCACCCCTTATTTCCCCCGACTATCCCCACCCCTGGCTCCTGGCAACCATTAATCTACTTTCTGTTTCTTTGGATTTTCATATTCTGGGCATATATATATATATACATATATATATATATATGTATATATAATCTAATATTTGTCTGGCTTCTCTCACTTAGCCTAACGGTTTCAAGGTGTATCCAGGTTGTAGCATGAATCAGCCCTTCATTCCATATTGTGGCTGATTAATGTTCCATCACACGGGTGGACTGTACTTGTTTGCTTATTCATCTGTTGTTGATGGGCATTTGCGTTGTTGCCACCTTTTGATAATTATGAATAGTTTTGCTACGAGCATCTGTGTGTGTCTTTGTATGAACAGACTTGCATATTTTTTGATATGGGCAAATGAGAACCAGCGGCGGGGGGCCTCTGTGGTGACTTTTTTGGTGATCTTTGTGTACTCTGTATAATGATCAGCCACTCAGGCTTGGGGGCAGCACTTAACCTTGCATTTCTTTCTTTTTTTTAAGATAGAGTCTCTCTCTCTGCCACCCAGGCCAGAGTGCAGTTGACGCAGGGCAGGGGAGCCCCGAAGTGGAGCATAGTGTGTCCGGAACTGGTGGGTTCTTGGTCTCCCTGACTTCAAGAATGAAGCCACGGACCCTCGGGGTGAGTGTCACAGTTCTTAAAGGCGGCGTGTCTGGAGTTTGTTCCTTCTGATTCTCGGATGTGTACAGAGTTTCTTCCTTCTGGTGTGTTTGTGGTCTCGCTGGCTTCAGGAGTGAAGCTGCAGACCTTCAAGGTGAGTGTTAAAGCTCTTAAGGCGGCGCGTCTGGAGTTGTTTGTTCCTCCCGGTGGGTTCATAGTCTCGCTGGCTTCAGGAGTGAAGCTGCAGACCTTCGAAGTGAGTGTTACCGCTCATAAAGGCAATGTGGACCCAAAGAGTAAGCAGCAGAAAGATTTATTGCAAAGAGCAAAAGAACAAAGCTTCCACAATGTGGAAAGGGACCCCAGTGTGTTGCCACTGCTGGCTGGGGCAGCCTGCTTTTATTCCCTTATCTGGCCCCACCCACATCCTGCTGATTGTTCCATTTTACAGAGAGCCGATTGGTCTGTTTTACAGAGAGCTGAATGGTCTGTTTTGACAGGGTGCTGATTGGTGCATTTACAATCCTTGAGCTAGACACAAAAGTTCTCCAAGTCCCTACTAGATTAGCTAGACACAGAGTGTCAATTGGTGCATTCACAAACCCTGAGCTAGACACAGAGTGCTGATTGGTGTGTTTACAAACCTTGAGCTAGATACAGAGTGTCGATTGGTGTATTTACAATCCCTTAGCTAGACATAAAGGTTCTCAAAGTCCCCACCAGACTCAGGAACCCAGCTGGCTTCACCAAGTGGGTCCCACACGGGGGTCGCAGGTGGAGCTGCCTGCCAGTCCCGCACCCTGTGCTGGCATTCCTCAGCCCTTGGGTGGTCGATGGAACTGGGCGCCCTGGAGCAGGGGGTGGTGCCCATTGGGGAGGCTCGGCACTCATCAGGGAGGCTCAGGCCGCGAAGGAGCCCATGGAGGGTTGGGTGGAGGCTCAGGCATGGCGGGCTGCATGTCCCGAGCCCTGCCCTGCAGGGAAGCAGCTAAGGCCCAGTGAGAAATTGAGCAAAGCAGCTGCTGGCCCAGGTGCTAAGCCCCTCACTGCCTGGGTCCAGCGGGGCTGGCAGGCCAGTCTGAGTGCCGGGCCCAGTGAGCCCATGCCCACCCGGAACTCACGCTGGCCCGCAAGCGCCACGCCCAGCCCCAGTTCCTGCCCGCGCCTCTCCCTCTACACCTCCCCGCAAGCTGAGGGAGCAGGCTCCAGCCTCGGCCAGCCCAGGAAGGGGCTCCCACAGTGCAGCGGTGCACTGAAGGGCTCCACAAGTGCCACCAACGTGGGAGCCCAGGCAGAGGAGGGGCCGAGAGTGAGCTCGAGGGCTGACACCGTGCTGTCACCTCTCAGTAGCACGTGAGGGTTCTTGCCTTTACCCAGGAAAGAATTCAAGGGCAAGCCGGAGGTATAGAAGAAAACAGTTTTATTGAAGAGGCAGCATTACAGCCCTGTGACTGCTC
Source organism: Homo sapiens (assembly GCF_000001405.40). Lineage (NCBI taxonomy): Eukaryota > Metazoa > Chordata > Mammalia > Primates > Hominidae > Homo > Homo sapiens. The sequence continues at coordinate 5,129,258 of NW_018654717.1, forward strand.
CTGTAGGGCAGGGTTACCCTGGAGGCAGAGAGTAGCGGCAGAGAGTTTGCAATCACATTTATACCCACTTTTAATTGCATGCAGATTAAAGGGCAGTTTATGCAGGAATTTCTAGAAAATGGGTAGTAACTTTTGAGTCATTGGGTCATTGCCATGGAAAGGGGCAGTAACTCCCGGGTGTTACCTTGGCAATAGTAAACTCACATGGCACACTGGTGGGCATGTCTGATGGAAAGCTTCTTCTGCCCCAGCCCTGTTTTAGGTAGTCCTTAATTTGGTCTGGTGTCTAAGCCCTGCCTGTGGAGTCAAGTCCTGCCTCCTATCTCACAGTGGCATGATCATGGCTCACTGCAGACTCAACACCCCCGGGATCAAGCAGTTCTCCCACCTCAGCCTCCTGAGTTGCTGGGACCACAGGCACGTGCCACTACACTCAGACACATTTTTTGCATTTTTTGTAGAGATGGTGTTTCACTGTGTTGCCTAGGCTGGTCTCAAACTCGTGGGCTCAAGCAATCTACCTACCTTAGCCTTCTAAAGTGCTGGGATTACAGGTGTGAGCCACTGCACCCAGCCCAACCTTACATTTTTAATCTCAAGTCACTTCTCTCTAGGTTTTGATTTCTTCTTTAAAGTGGTGGAAATAAGAGCATCTATTTTATAGGGTTGTTGGGAAGAAAAAAATGAAAGAACTGCTATTCAATGTTTAGTGAAGCTCTATGCACGATTTTGAATAATGAAGTTGGTGTTTATTTTTTATTATTTGTTTATTTATTTTTTAGAGACGGGGTCTTGCTCTGTTGCTCAAGCTGGAGTGTAGTAGTGCAACCACAGCTTAGTGCAGCCTTGACCTCCTGGGCTCAAGAAATCCTGCCACCTCAGCCTCCTGAGTAGCTGGGACTACAGGCATGCATCGCCATGTCTGGCTATTTATTTATTTGTTTGTTTTTTGTAGAGATGGGGTCTCCCTGTGTTGCCCGGGCTGGTCTTGAACTCCTGGCCTTAAGCAATCCTCCTGTCTTAGCCTCCAAAAACACTGAGATTACAAGTGTGAACAACCATGGCCAGCCTTATTTTTATTTTTAATCAGCCTTATCAAGTTGAATTGGTCATTAATCTTGTATAACAGTAATTTGGGGCAGCATTGGTTGGGCGGAGGGTGGGAAACATTTAGGACCCTGTGGGCTACAACTCGTAGTGTGTGCACTTATTTTATTTTGTTTTGTTATATTATATCATATTATATTATATTATATTATATTACATTACATTACATTACATTATATTATATTATATTATATTATATTATATTTTTTTGAGACAGGGTCTCACTCTGTTGCCCAGACTGGAGTGCAGTAGCATGATCTTGGTTCACTGCAACCTCTGCCTCCCAGCTTCAAGCGATTCTCCTGCCTCAGCCTCCAGAGTAGCTGGAACTACAGATGTGCACCACCACGCCCAGCTAATTTTTGTATTTTTAGTAGAGATGGGGTTTCACCATGTTGGCCAGGCTGGTTTCAAACTCCTGACCTCAGGTGATACACCTGCCTCAGCCTCCCAAAGTGCTGGGATTATACGCGTGAGCCACCGTGCCCGGCTGTGCGCTTATGTTTGATTTTTGCAGAACCACCCTTCCCTAATGGTTGTCTCCTAGATCCAAGGTGACTTTATTCATTTTAGAATGAACTTACCCCTTTGATACTGTAACCAGAGTTGGCATACATCACGATTGGCAGAACCCGGTCATGTTTAGCCATATGGAAGTGTTCTGGAAACTCCTCCTTCTTGTAGATGTGGAGGTGAGGGTACGCATTCTTCAGTGCCTGGTAAAGGGCTTCCTCTTGCCCCAATTTGGGCAGGGGCATCCCAAAGCCACCGTAGCCCACGATATCAAACTTGACTAAGTCCCTGAACTTGATGTAGTTGGACAAGGGATCTTGTTGACATTGGGTCTCTTCTTCACGGTGGTCATCCCACGGTCTCATGTGATGATGACGCTGAGGTGCTCTGTAGGCTGTGCTTCTCAGTGGCTCCCACCAGATACCCGATGGCGCTGTCGATTTGCTGAATCATCAACTTCCTGTTCTCTGCCTCTGGCCCGAATCGGTGTCCCACGTTATCTGGCTCTCTGTAGCACAGAGCCACAAAGTCAAAGTCTTCCTTGGTGAACCAGTTCATGACGGTATCGATGTTCTCCCTCCGCTCTGTCTCGCTGCTCTTTGGGTGAGTGTAGGACTCCACCAGGGACCGCTTGACAGCCTCACCCTCGTATTTAACACCTCCCTTGGAATAGTGGAATGATGCCACTTTGTTCCCCTTCAACTACAAGAAGAAAATTCCATCGGGGCCATTTCTCATACCTTTCTCACAATCAGCAAAGCTCAAGTTGTCTACATCTGTGCCCCAGTCCAAAGGCATAGGAAATATGTGGTCTTTGGAGTCAGACAGGATGGAGTTAGATTCTGGGCTTCCCCAGGATCTCATAGCATCTACAACACTGTTAGTTACAAGATGTGCTATTATTTTATGGGCTACTAAGCAGAAAAATGCTGCCAACGAGACTGTGACATTCTAGTGATTGTAAGGTGTATTCCAACTTCAGAGATGGCAAAATGAAAAATAGTTCCTTAGAATAGAAGGAGACGGTAATTTCTGAGTTGTTGGTGGTGAATTTGTGCATGTGTGTTTTATATATATATATATACACACACATATACACATGTACATGTATACATATGCATATATATACATATATAATATACATGTGTATATATAAACATACATATATACATAAATATGTTTACATAGTGGTGCAGGGGTACTATCATAGCTCATTGCACCCTTGAACTTCTGGGCTTAAGTGATCCTGCTACCTCAGCTTCTTGAGCAGCTGGGGCACAGGCATGTACCACCACACCTGTTTTTTTTTTGTTTTTTTTTTTTTTTTGAGACACGGTGTCACTCTGTCACTTAGGTTGGAGTGCAGTGGCACAATCTCAGCTCACTGCAAACTCTGACTCCTGGGTTCAAGCAATCCTCGTGCCTCAGCCTCCTAAGTAGTTGGGATTATAGACATGTACCACTATGCCCAGCTAAGTTTTGTATTTTTAGTTGAGATAGAGTTTTGTCGTGTTGGTCAGGCTGGTTTCGAATCCCTGGGCTGAAGTGATCCACTTGCCTTGGCCTCCCAAAGTGCTGGGATTACATGTGTGAGCCACGGCGCCTTGCCCTAATTTTTTTTTTTTTTAATATTTGTAGAGATGAGGTCTCACTAATTTGCCCAGGCTGGTCCTGAACTCCTGGGTTCAAGTAATTCTCCTGCCTCAGCCTCTCAAAGTGCTGGGGTTACAGGCATGAGACACCATGCCCGGCTGGTGGTGAGTTTTAAGATGTCCCAGTGTCTCAACCTGTAGAATGCCAAAAAGTAGATGGCATCTTTGTGAGGATTAAGCAGGCTAGCTTTTTATTTTTTTATTATTATTATTTTTTTTTTGGAGACAGAATTTCTCTCGTCACCCATGCTGGAGTGCAATGGCGTGATCTTGGCTCACTGCAACCTCCGCCTCCTGGATTCAAGTGGTTCTCCTGCCTCAGCCTTCCAAGTAGCAGGGATTACAAAGCCAGCTAGCTTTAAGATACGGTGTTAGGCATCACATTTTGGCATGGAGCAGGCACTCTTTTCTTTGCCCCCAGGTGGGACTAAGCCACCACAAGCCTTCCCTGGTGTGTGCAGTGGGTGATGAATGCTTGCCTGCTCAGCACCCACTTCCTGGTGGGCTGGGTCACATTACTATGACTCCCCCTTGAGCTTCAGTCCGCGCCTGGTTCGAGATTATTGGCTCAACCCGGGGACCCAGAGGTAGGATGTAGCTCTGGCCTGGCCAGAGGACCGAGGATGCTGCATGCCATGGCTACAGCTACTGGTTCAGCTTTGGGCTCATGTCCTAGTCAGAGCCAATGAGATGTAATCTTGGGATATCTGCTGGGCTGTTGGGAAGGGGACAGGCTGCCCTGCACATCCCCATTCCTGATGCTGAGGGATCTGAGAAAATCACTTGTAAAATTTGGGGGTGTTTGGAAGAAGGGGAGATTGATGTCTCTTTCTCTCTACAGACATCTGATCAGCTACAGAGCTTGACTAACCTACCCAGAGGCAGAATGATATGGTGGTTAAAAGTGTGCTCTGGGCCGAGATTTTGCCACTGCACTTCAGCCTGGGTGACAGAGTGAGACTCCATCTCAAAAAAAAAAAAAAAAAAAAAATCTGCTCTGGGCTGGACGCGGGGGCTCACAACTGTAATATCAGCACTTTGGGAGGCTGAGGCAGGAGGATCGCTTGAAGTCAGGAGTTTGGAATCAGACCCTATCTCTAGAAAAATGTTTTTTAAAAATTAGCTGGGTTGGTGGTGAATGCCTCTAGTCCCAGCTACTCGGGAGGCTGAGGCGGGAAGATTGCTGGAGCTTGGGAGTTCAAGCCTGCACTGAGCTGTGATCAGGCCACTGCACTCCAATTTGAGGGACAGAGAGAGACCCCATCTCTCTGAACAACAAAAATGTGTGCTCTGGTGCCACACTGCCTGGTTAGATCCTTTGTCCACCACTTAGATGCATGTTATATAAATGCTCTCCTCAGTTTCCTCGTCTGTAACTTGGGGATGGTAATGCTGCCCCAAGAAGTGGTTATGGGGACTAAATGCATGTGGGCATATTGGTTAGTATTCAACCAGCTTGATTTTTCCTGGAGAGGGAGAAAGAGCATGCAGTGAGGTGGCATGGTCAGGTGCATTGGGACAAGGATTATTTCCTCTGGCTTCTGCCTCCTGGGAGGTATAAGGACGGATCTGAAATCTGTCTGCAGACCCCAGAGTTGGGGACTGCAGAGGGAAATTGAGATCAGGGACCCTAGTCTGGCAGAAATGAGTGCAGCATGGGGCATTGGGTTCCTTCCATCAGAGGCATGGGGTGTGTTGCAGACAGTCATGAAATGTGGCTGAATCTTGCAAGGGACCCGTGGTCCCATGGTTGCTGCTTGAGACAAAGACCCCGGTCAGTGGAACCTGGTGACCTTCACCCTTCTGTGTCAGGCTGCAGACAGCAGGAGATGGCAGCAGATTACACCCAACAGGAAAAGGGCCATTGCCACCCCACAGGTTGCCATAGAAGGAGATGACATCTCTCCCTCTCCTCCTCCAGCAGTGTCAGCTGGGGAAGTGGTGGGTGGATGTGCACAAAAGAGTAGACCACAGACCATGCTCCTTCTCCTCCGGTCTGCTGGGGCCCCAAGAGAGTCTGCAGCCCTTGGCCAAGGACCGGCTGACACAGGGGAACAAAAGACCTGAGGCTGGGATAACATGGTGGTGCAGTTCATCCTCTGGAGCTCCCTGTGAGATCAGACTGGAGCCAGTCTCCAGCTGAGACCACATCTCACTTAGCTCCTTCCCTGCCATATCCTGTTTTCCTTACTCCTATCTCCTGAGACTTCTTCCTGAATGAATTACATGCACTCAATCCCTGCCTCAGTCTCTGCTTTTAGGGAACTTGACCTAAGACAGAAATCTTAGTACCAAATACTTTGCAAGGCCTCAGAAGCTCTGCTATCCACAAGCAGGTGAGATATTACCTTCCCTACAACCTGGCAGTCATAGTCTATGATGCGATTCAGCTTTATGGAAGTGCTTCTCTAAAGAACTTCCCCCAATTTAAGACGATCTTAATTTGCTTACTTGTTTACTGTCCATTTAGCTGCTCTAAAATGTGAGCTCCAAATCAGGGGCCGTGTCTGGTTGGTTACTCATTTCCTGAGACCTGGAATGGGCCTAGCTCAGAGAAGGTGCTCACTATTGATGGAATGCATGTTGAAAGAATGCATGAATCTCATGTCTTTTTGTGGGTGAAAAACTCATCCTATTCTCACCCTGATTAACTTTATTTATTTATTTATTTATTTTTTTTTCAAAATGGAGCCATGATCTGTCACCCAGGCTGGAGTGCAATGGTGTGATCTCAGCTAGCTGAAACCTCTGCCTTCTGGATTAAACCAATTCTCCTGCCTCAGCCTCCTGGGTAGCTGGGATTACAGGTGTATACCACAACGCCCGGCTAATTTTTTTATTTTTAATAGAGACAGGGTTTCACCATGTTGGCCAGGCTGGTCTCGAACTCCTGACCTCGTGATCCGCCCTCTTTGGCCTCCCAAAGTCCTGGGATTACAGGCATGAGCCACCATACCCAGCCACTCTTGATTAACTTAATGGAAATATTTACAGAGATTCTTTCTCTTCTGGGTTCTAACGTCTTATCTGTAACCTCTGCAGGTAATACATTTTCCTTCCTGATGATAGCATTTCTATGGTTGCTTTCACTTGCAAATCCTCTAATACTTATTTATTCCATTTCTGATTGGCATTAGACATAATTCTCAATTTTTAGTGACAGCACTTCGTTTAACTTACATATAAATCGACTTTGCCTTGAAATGTGACATTGACTAGAAGGATGAAACTTCTAACATGCTGTAGAACATAGTTTGACTGGCTAACTTATTATTTAGAAGAAGCTAATATTGCCATTATGAGGGACTTAGGTGACTCTGAAGAACCAGTTGCATTTGTAATGTTTGCAATGTTAAATCACAGATATTGCCAACGTGAAATAGTTTCCATATGCTGTGTTCTCAATACACACCTTTTCCAAAGATATCCCAAGCTGTAGTCTTAGAAGACTGTGATTTTTCTTATTTGTTCTCACAGGAATTTGGGGAGCTATGCGGGATCTCCATAAAATGAGCTCCAGAAAGACACGTGTGCACACACACACACTCACACATGTCCCACACCGCACTTGACTCTGTTTATTTGGGACCCATGATTATCAGAAGTGCTATTTTTAACAAATACTTCTGAGAAATAATCTGAACACTTAATTGGATGCAAAAGAGTGGCTATTTACTATTCTACCCTTTAATTAGCATAATCAGTGTTTCCAGCAGCAAAAGCAATTGGAAAATCGCTTGTTTTGTTAGGTTCATTCTTCTCCCTTAGCGTAGTGTGGCATCAGCATGGTTATTATTCTTAAATTGCCTCTTTAAAACAAGAGCTGGTGCTTCTTACAGGCAATTCCTAACTCTTGGGTTTTGTAGAGGGTCCAAAACTCTTTAGAACCTATAATTCAAGGAAAGCCTCCACTTTGGTTTTGCATTTTGTCTGGTCTCTTTGGGTGACAGAATTTATGTCACAAGGTGCACATGTTTTGGGGAGGCTCATGGACAGCCCATCGCTCTTGTGCTTTGGTAGGAAATATGTGCAGTTATGGGGAAGGAGTTAGTTACTCATCTAGGGAACAATTGGGTAGAAAGAGATGGACTCCCTGTATTTGAAATTCAGAACTCAAGCTTGGCTCTAAGTGTTTCCTTGCTTTGCTGTGCTCCACGGGAGGCACTGAGCAGAAGGAAGCGAGTTGCCTGAGATTCCTCAAAGCCCGCAGCCCTTTTGGAGGTTACATTGTTATTCTCAGAGCCTTTATGATACATAATAAAGACCTAGCTTGGACCAACATTAGGATGAGTTATCTTGCTATTAACATTCTTTCAGGTAGAAGTTGCTTTTAGGTAGAAGTTGGTCCCATCTTGCTCACAATCCTCCAAAGCTTGGAAGTTACTTTCCAGGAGACTTAGCTTGCACTGAGAGCCGCCCTCCCACCCTCTCTCCAAATTTCCTCTTGGGAGTAGCCTAACAAGGTGCTGTCCCAGACCCTTGCCAGCCACGATGACCCCACCCAGACCATCCCTCTGCTGTTTCACTCTTTGATATTCTCTGGAGCTCTCTGGGGAGGGGTGAGACCTGCTGTCTGGTTTGTACGGTTTGCCCAAGTCTTACAGTCATGGCTGGCTGCCTCTCTCTGAGAACTGGGACTCCTGAACTTGGTGAAATGCCTCAGCCATTGATCATGTGAAATTATCGGTGACACTCATTTAAAATCCGAGTCTGCTCCAGATGGACTCTGACTCTTTCTGCCCTGACTATGAGAGAGAGAGATCGTGAGAGACAGAGACCATGAGAAAGACCGTGAGAGAGAGACACAGAGCTAGAGAGAGAGACCGTGTCCTGACCTGCTGGACAGTGGAGATGCTTGTGGGCTGTGAGCAAGGGATGCAAAGGCTGCCGGGAATCCCATCTTTCCAGCATCATCTGCCAAGGCACATCAGTTCCTGAGTGTCTTGATGGGTTCTGGCAGCATTACTGTCATTGAAGGAAAACATTTTAGCCATATTAAAGGTGAATGCAGCAAGCTACACACAGGCTGCCTGGAAGGGACGCGGGACAAGGGTGGGTTTTCCCTGTGATGGACAGGAGGCAGGCGGCCCTCCCACAGCCCTGCCTGGCAAAGCAGATGTGTCCCAAAAAGGCAATGGGGGCAGCTGGAGTGCTGTGCGGAGGCGGGCTCACCCGGGCCCTGGGTTCGCTCTGATTGCAGCGGTTTCCCGCCAGCTCCTTGGAGAGCTGGCAGATGACCCAGCCCCACAGCAGGAGCTGTGAATGGCAGAACGAGATACAACAATTTGATATCCACTTGCCAGATGAGCCGGGTGTCGTCAGTCGCCTGGCCCTGCGCCAACCTCTTTTTGCACAAACACTTATGAATTCAGCCAGGAGGAAAAGCACTCTGATTATGAATTGAGCAGAAGGAAACAAAGTTCTGCGGATAAACACCAATGAGACAAAAAACCACGAATAAGAAAAATGACAGAAAAGGAGAACCTTCCCAGAAGCCTCCTGCCAGTGAACAGCCACCGTAGCAAGAGCTTGGAGGCCCTGGGTTTTGAACTGTGAGATAAGGAAGATGATGAAAACCTCCCTAGCAGCCAGGCAAGCACAAGATTCCTGTAAAATCCAGGTCTAAGTGTTTTAACCACAGAAGTAATATTATGTCATAGGTGAGAGCTGTGAGTTGCTGAACCCAAAGTGAGTTCAAATCCGAGCTCTGCCTCCTGCTACCTGTGTGTCCTTGAGAAGTTCCAGCACTGCTTTGTGCCTCAGTTTTGTCATCTGTTAAATGGGCATAATCACAGCTCGTGCCTCAGAGTTGTTGTAAATTAATACATGTAAAGCACTGAAATCAGCCTGGTATACAGTTAGTGTTATGAACGTTATTTTCTTGGAAGGACAGAACTTATTTTCATGGTCTAAGCCTGAAAGTCTAAAAAATGTGAGAGAAGAGGAAAGAATCTAGAGTCTCACCATGAGGGAGAAAAGTCAACTTGAAGCAGGACAGGGTCATTGACAATTTCCTGTGATTCTACAGCTGCCTTGTACACTATGGTAGCTCCTGTCCACTTACTGTTTAGATTTTGTGATTTAGAAATGAATTAAGGGTGGGCATGGTGGCACACCTGTAATGCCAGCATTTTGGGAGGCCAAGTTGGGCAGATCACCTGAGGTCAGGCGTTCAAGATCAGCCTGGCCAACATGGTGAAATCTCGTCTCTACAAAAATACAAAAATTAGCCGGGCATGATGGCGGGTTCCTGTAATCCTGGCTACTCAGGAGGCTGAGGCAGGAGAATTGCTTGAACCTGGGAGATGAAGGTTGCAGTGAGACGAGATTGCACCACTGCACTCCAGCCTGGAGGATAGAGTGAGACTCTGTCTGAAAAAAAAAAAAAAAAAAAAAAAATTAGTTAAGAGAAAATTGAAAATTCAGTTCTTCATTCTCCCCAGCCACATTTCAAGGGCTCAAAAGCCCATGTGGGCGGCTAGCAGCTCCCATGTTGGACAGTGCAGAGTAGAGCAAGCCTGCCATTGCAGAATGTTTGATTGGACCATGACTGAATAGTCTATTGCAGTGGTCCCCAATTTTTTTTTAGCACCAAGGACCAGTTTCCGTGTACTTGTTGGGGGGAAGTTTCAGGATGATTCAAGTGCATTACATTTATTGTGTACTTTATTTCTATTGTTATGAACATTATAATATATAATGAAATCATTATACCACTCACCATAATGTAGAATCAGTGAGAGCCCTGAGCTTGTTTTCCTGCAACTAGATAATCCCATCTCCGGGTGGTGGGAGACAGTGACAGATCATCAGGTGTTAGATTCTCATAAGGAGCACACAACCTAGATCCCTTCCACATGCAGATCACAATAGGGTTGGTGCTCCTATCAGAATCTAATGCCACTGCTGATCTGACAGGAGACAGAGCTCAGGCGGTAACGCTAGCCATGGGGAGCAGCTGTAAATACAGATGAAGCTTCACTCATTAGCTCACTGCTCACCTCCTTCTGTGCAGCCCAGTTCCTAACAGGCCACAGACCGCTACTGGTCTGTGGTCTGGGGGATGGGGACCTCTGGTCTATTGGATAACACTAGCTTTGAGGGTACTGATCAGCCAAAGAAGCACTGAGATGATTTGTCCTCCATTAATAAGAATGATGGACTTTTTTTTTTTTTTTTGAGACAGAGTTTTGCTCTTGTTGCCCATGCTGGAGTGCAGTGGCACCATCTCGGCTCACTGCAACCTCTGCCTCCCAGGTTCAAGAGATTCTCATGCCTCAGCCTCCCAAGTAGTTGAGATTATAGGTGCCTGCCACCATGCCTGGCTAATTTTTGTATTTTTAGTAGAGTCGGGGTTTTGCCATGTTGACCAGGCTGGTCTTGAATTCCTGACCTAAGTGATCCACCTGCCTCAGTCTCCCGAAGTGCTGGGATTACAGGCGTGAGACACCGTGCCTGGCCAGATGGACTTTTTTGGAGCATTTAGTTCCAAGCACCTTCCCTGCATTTTCTCAGTTAATCCTCCCAGTGACTCTTTGAAGCAGGGACTATGACAATCGTCATTTCACAGATGGAGCAACTGAGGCACAGAGAGGAAGTCAATGGCCACGGTCGCCCAGCTGAGGAAGGATGGAGCCGGCTGAGATCCTGTTCTGGGGATCTAACTCTGCAGCCTGCATTCTGGGCTGCTGTATTCTCCCTTGTTGCTATCTGACGAGCACAGCATGGGCTCAGAGTACAGACAGGAGGAACCAGCTAATAAGGAGAGGTCTAGGGTGCAGGCTGGTGCCTTGGGGAAGAAGAGAGAGGTCCCATTCTAGAGGGATGGCATTGGAAGTTCATAGTGATAAAACAAAGCCAACAGGTTTTGGGGCTGAGAGTTAAACACACAGCTCTGGTTTCTGCCTTTTCACAGTGGTATGAATGAGCACTGAGAGCCTCTCGAGCTAAAGTTGTCATCATTGCTCTTCATAGTCTGAAGGTGCATGAAATGGTCAACTTTCTTCCAAAGGGCTTTTATGCCTAAGTCTGTGGTTAGTGTATAAACAGATATTTACTGAAGTCCTGCTGGGTGCAGACACTGTGGCCAGCCCTGAGGCTACAGTTGAGATGAAGCTAGTCTCTGTCCTCATGGAGACCTGTCTATTGATAAGAAAAGAGAAAGCTCACTGAGCATTGACCCTGTGCCCACTGCTTTTGATACATCTCTCATTTAATCCTTCTATCAAATCTGTGAAATAAACACATCACCATCATCCTATTTCACATTTAGGGAAACATATGCTTAGAGAGGGTAAGTAACTTGGTCAAGGTCACACAGCTTCGATCTCTCATCCCACAGGCGCAGGAATGGGAGGCAGCAGCTGGGGAAGCCAGAGTCTCTGGCAGTCCTTGTCTCTGGGCGGTGATCCAGAGAGAGAGAGAACACGATTGTCTCAGCACTGGGTCTTCTTCTGAGTCGTCTTGAAGGAGCAATTCCAGAGCGTCTCGGTGTTAAACATCATGTTGTGAATGACTCAGTGATCTCTGACCCAGAGACCTTGGGGATAAAGGAGGGGAGGTACGGAGAACCCGTTTGAATGAATGTTACCGGGGTGTCAGTGTTCTTTGAGGCCACAGGCCATGTGTCACCAAATTGAAGGGGTGGCCTGCCCCTCCACACCTGTGGGTATTTCTAGTCGGGTGGGATGAGAGACGGAGAAAAGAAATAAGACACAGAGAGAAAGTACAGGGAAACAACAGTGGGTCCAGGGGACCGGCACTCAGCACACCAGGATTTGTACGTGCACTGGCCTCTGAGTTCCCTCAGTTTTTATTGATTATGATTTTCATTATTTCAGCAAACAGGAATGTAATAGGAGAGCAGGGTGATAATAAGGAGAAGGTCAACAAAAAACATGTGAGCAAAAGAATCTATATCATAATTAAGTTCAAGGGAAGGTACTATGACTGGACTTGCACGTAGGCCAGATTTATGTTTCTCTCCACCCAAACATCTCAGTGGAGTAAAGAATAACAAGGCAGCGTTACTGCAACATGTCTCGCCTCCCGCCACAGGGCAGCTTTTCTCCTAGCTCAGACTTGAACAAATGTACAATCGGGTTTCCACCGAGACATTCAGTTCCCAGGGGCAAGCAGGAGATAGTGGTCTTCCTCCATCTCAACTGCAAGAGGCTTTCCTCTTTTCCTAATCCGCCTCAGCACAGACCCTTTACGGGTGTCAGGCTGGGGGACAGTCAGGTCTTTCTCATCCCACGAGGCCATATTTCAGACTATCACATGGGGAGAAACCTTGGACAACACCCTGCTTTCAAGGGCAGGGCTCCCTGCGGCTTTCCACGGTGCATTGTTCCCGTGGTTTATTGTGACTAGAGAATGGCAATGACTTTTACCAAGTATACTGCTTGTAAATATTTGGTTAACAAGGCACGTCCTGCACAGCCCTAGATCCCTCAAACCTTGATTTTATACAACACATGTTTTTGTGAACTCCAAGTTGGGGCAAAGTGACTGGGGCAAAGTGGCTGGGGCAAAGCTACAAATGAACAACATCTCAGCAAAGCAATTGTTAGAGTACAGGTCTTTTTCAAAATGGAGTCTCTTATGTCTTCCCTTTCTACATAGACACAGTGACAGTCTGATCTGTCTCTTTTCCCTACATTTCCCGCTTTTCTTTTTGACAAAACCGCCATGGTCATCATGGCCCCTTCTCCCTGGTCGCTGTCTCTCCGGAGCTGCTGGATACACCTGTAGACTAACAATAGAGAGGACAGACATACAAGAATTAATACAAAATTTGCAATAGTGGAATTTCCAATGGTTTTAACCCAAGTGACAGGGTTAAGATTTGTGAGGCTATCAACAGCTTTTACCATTGCCTCCGTTTCTGACACCAGATTTAACTGGGCTTTTGATGTTTCAAAAATTTGTTCTTTCAATTTAGAAATATCTAAGGTAAGATTATCTTCTCTTCCTTGTAGATGGCTTCTAACCATGTCCCAGTGCTGTTCAGATTCATTACAGGCTCGAGGTGTAATAGAAAAATCTGACATATTCCAGTCACACTGTAACTGAAAAAGATATTCTAAGCTCATGAGCCTATCTCCCATCCAAATAACAGTTTGTCTAAGATCATTAATTTGATTTGCCAATTTTTGACCTGTTTGAGTCTAAGAATTCCTCAATTTTGAGGAATTCTTTTGCCAATTATTCACATATTCTGCAGTTTGAACAGAGGAGTGTAAAGCAATTCCAGCAGCCGCAGCAGTAGCTGTGACTGCAATAAGACCCATAATCACTGCAATCAAAGTAAAAATGAATCTTTTAAATCTAATTAGAACTCCTTTTAATACTTAAGGTATGTACGGATGGAGAAGCCTCCCATGGTCGATCCATGGACACAGGGATCCACACGCCTTCTCTTGCCCTTACTAACAGAATAGCATTCTGCCAATCGAAAGTTGAATCAATGCAAGTAAACAATCTACAATTTTCACTGGTTGTAGTTTGGGAATCTGGTTTAATAGCTATGTTTTCTACAACTAGCATATAAGGGGGTTTTACACAACTTTGCAAAGGAATTTTCAGATTGGAATTTAGGTTAATAGTTAATATGGCTTATGATTTCTTGTTCCCATAACTTGATTTCCAGACCAAATTCTAATGTGGTACGAGGCCACAGTGAGCTTCCATAATTCTGGGTGTTCAGGACCAAAAACAGGACTAACTAACTTTGGTCGGGGTGATGAAATCCTCTTTTCACCCCATTTCCATGGATAGGGTGATTCTAGCCTTCTATAAACCTGGTCTAGCCTTTTAGTTAAATCACTATCACAGGCCGGATTAGTGGGCCAGACACATGGGGCCTGTGAACATGAGTGGGTCTGGCCCATACAGTCATAATATAATTGGCCTTGAGGGGCCTAGTCTATAATAGTTTCAAATTTATTGTTTTGTAGTACCACTGCAGTATCAGCCACACATTCTTCCCAAACTAAGACTACTGGGTCTTTTGATTCTTTTGGAATTTCCTTGGGGCATGGTTTCCCTTTAGGCCTAAATTTTAATGATCTTTGATAGGAAGAATTCTGTAAATTATTCATTTGTGACCTGAGCGACATTCCTCTTATCATATGATAAGTAAATTTACTGGTGGCACTGACAGTAGGTACTTCTATCAACCAAGTTTGGATTGTAGGCATTAAGCATCCTGGTGCTTTTCCCAGGCAAATAGGAGGATAATGATACCCAATGGAAATGTTTATCATCATTCCTTTTTCTTCAGGTTGGGCAGGGCCACGGTCATCTGTGGGGCCTGGTACCCATGCACTGTTATTAACATATACTTCAATAGGATTATCTATCCAAGTGACTGCTCGAATTAAGGGTGGGAAAATCACATAGGCCCAGTAAGTATAGTTAGCTGTAGCGGCTCCTGAAGACATAGGGAGACTTACCACCGCTGATACAATCATTAAATCTGCAAGTAGCATATTCTCTGGAGTTTGTGTTACCCTTGTGTTTTCCAGGCTTTTTTCAGCTAACTGTGTCAGCTTCTTTAGCTGGGCCCAGGTCGGCGGCCCCACTTTCTTGGTGGATGGCAACTTCATCTGTTCTTCTGATATCACCATTTCGTTCACCCTGCGAGTCGATGATGTTCGATTGCGGGTTCTCTGTCTCTGCGGAGGTGCCTTCCCTTGCACCTCTGATGGGTTCATTGTAGAACTTCAAATGTCTAGTGGGTACCCAAAGAGGAAGCTGATTTTCTGCTGCTGGAACACAAGCAAAACCTCACCCCCATGTTATCACCTTACCTATTTCCCATGTTTTATTTTTGTTGTCTTTCCACCAAATCAGTTTTCCCTCATGTGGGCTGTTCTTTTTACCAGTAAAATGTTGTTCTGCAGAAGTAGTGGTCTGATTTCTATATATATTTAAAAAATTTAAAGTATAGAGTGCTAGATTAAGTTGCATCTGGGGAGTATTGTACTCCTTACTTTTTCCTTCTTTTGTTTAACCAATTGAGCTTAGAGTGTTCTATTAGTTCTTTCAATTATGGCCTGTCCTTGGAAATTAAGGATTCCTGTTGTATGTGTAATTTTCCACTGATTTAAGGATTTTTGAAATGCTTTACTACAGTATCCTGGCCCATTACCTGTTTCAATTTTTTCTGGAAATCCCATGACTGCAAAACAAGATAATAAATGTCTTTTAACATGGGAAGTACTTTCTCCTGTCTGGCAGGTTGCCCATATGAAATGTGAATAAGTATCAACTGTCACATGGACAAATGACAATTTTGCAAATGAAGGTACATGTGTGACGTCCATTTGCCATAATGCATCAGGACATAAACCTCTAGGATTAACTCCTGCCTCTTGAGCGGGCAGGTGTAAGACTTGACACTGAGCACAATGTTGTACAACATTTTTTGCTTGTTTCCATGTGATATCAAATTTGTTTTTTAATCCTGTTGCATTTACATGAGTGAGGGCCTGAAGTTCTTGTGCTTCCATGAAGGCAGATGATACTAGCAAGTCAGCTTGTTCATTTGCCTTAGTTAAAGGCCCTGGTAAATTAGTATGTGCTCGGATATGAGCAATATAAAATGGGAAATTTCTTTTTCTTACAGTTTGTTGTAACAATTTAAACAGCTGATTTAACTGATCATCCATACTATATTTGATTAGGGCTGTCTCAACATCTTTTGTAGCCTGTACTAAATATGCAAAATCTGAAACAATGTTAATAGGCTGATTAAAATCTTGTAACACTGAAATGACAGCAACCAATTCTGCTCTTTGAGCTGAGTGATATTGAGTTTCAATGACTTGTTCTTTTGGCCCAGTGTAAGCCACTTTTCCGTTGCTGGAACCATCAGTAAACACCGTCAGAGCATTTTCTAGAGGTTTTTGTCTGGTAATTTTAGGTAAAATCCAAGTAGTCAATTTCAAAAACTGGAAGATTTTTGCTTTTGGGTAATGATTATCAATAATTCCCACAAAATCAGCAAGACCAATCTGCCCTGCACCAGAATTGATAAAGACTTGTCTATCCTGTTCCTTGTTTAAAGAAACAATGATTTTATCTGGGTCATTTCCACACAATTTTACTATTCATAGTCTTGCCTGACCAATTAATGTAGCCATTTGATCTAAGTACAATGTAAAAGTCTTAACTGTACTGTGAGGAAGGAATGACCACTCCACAAGATCTGTATTTTGAACAATAATGCCTGTTGGAGAATGTGCAGTAGCAAAAATTAAAAGTTGGAGTGGGGCTAAGTGATCTATTCTATTTACTTTTGCTGACTGAAATTTTTCTTCAACTAATTCTATTTCTTTAGTTGCCTCTGGAGTTAATATTCTTTTACTATTTAAGTCTGGATCCCCTCTCAAGATAGAGAACAAATTTGACATGGCATAAGTAGGGATGCCTAGAGTTGGCCGAATCCAATTAATATCTCCTAGCAATTTTTGAAGTCATTTAATGTTCTTAATGTGTCTTTTCTTATTTCTACTTTTTGTGGTTTAATTTTTCTCTCCTCTACCTGCATTCCCAAATAATGAAAAGGAGTGGAGATCTGAATCTTATCAGATGCTATTGTCAGGCCTGCGTTTGCAACCTCTGTCTGCAGAAATGTGTAACAGTCAATTAATTTGTCTCTTGTTTCTGCAGCACACAAAATATCATCAACATAATGAATGATATAACAGTCTGAAAACTTGTCTCTAACTGGTTGAAGAACTTGAGCTACAAAAGTCTGACAAATAGTTGGACTATTAAGCATTCCCTGAGGCAACACTTTCCACTGAAATCTAGTGGCTGGTTCTTTATTATTTATGGCTGGTATAGTGAAAGCCAATTTTTCAAAATCCTGTTTTGCCAGAGGAATGGTAAAAAAGCAATACTTCAGATCAATTATAATTAAAGGCCAGTCTTCGGGGATCATGGCTGGAGAGGGCAGCCCAGGTTGGAGAGGCCCCATGGGTTGAATTACTGCATTAACGGCTCTTAAATCAGTTAGCATGCGCCATCTGCCTGATTTTTTCTGAATTACAAACACAGGAGAATTCCAAGGCGAAAATGAATGCTCAGTATGTCCCTTTTCTAATTGTTATTTTGCCAATAAGTGTAAGGCCTCCAGCTTTTGTTTTGGTAGTGGCCACTGATTTACCCATACAGGCTTTTCTGTTTTCCAAGTTAATGAAATGGGTTTTGGAGGCTCTACAGTGGCCACCCCTAAAAAGGATACCCTAGTCCTTTTCTTTCTGGATTTCCCTTAGCCTCAATTGGAACTTTAATGCCTTCTCCATTTTTCCCTAGTCCTTTGCCAGGGAGCTATCCCATTTTAGTCATGATTTTTTGACTCGTGGGGCTGTACAGAGAGACTGGAATAGTAATCTCTGCATGCCACTGTTCTAATAAGTCTCGGCCCCATAAATTAATTGGAATAGAAGTAATCATAGGCTGAACTGTACTCTCTTGATTATCAGGTCCTAGACAATGTAAAATCCTGGCACTTTGATACACTTCTGAGGCAGTGCCCACACCAACAAGTCCTGTAACAGGCTTTTGTTTAGGCCAATTTTTTGGCCATTGATTTAAGGCAATGATAGAAACATCAGACCCAGTATCCACTAATCCTTCAAATTGTTTTCCATGAATAGTAACTGTACACACAGATCTATTCTCTGAGAGCTGACTAGCCCAATAAACAGCTTTTCCAGCAGTGTTGGTACTTGCAAACCCTCCTGTTCTTTCTGTTTTGCTATCCCCAATTTTAATATAAGGCAAGAGCAGTAATTGAGCAATTCTATCACCTGGATTGGCACTCCAGGGAACAGTACAGCTGATCACTAACTGAATTTCCCCTTTATAATCTGAGTCAATTACCCCAGTATGAATTTGAACTCCTTTCAAATTTAGACTAGATCTTCCTAAAATAAGGCCTACCATCCCTTGTGGCAGCGGGCCATATACCCCTGTAGGAATCTTTTGCAGGGGCTCTCCACGGAGTAAAGAAATCATTTGAGTAGAACATAAATCTACTGCAGCACTGCCTGCTGTGACAGAGGATAATTGTCGTATTGTAATTGGCTGATTTCCTGAAATGGTGGTATTTACTGTGGGGGTTGTTGTCCCTGAAAACCCTGAGGAACAAATGGCTGAATCGGGAATGCCCCACTTTGTTGCGGGGCCTGGGGCTGGCCCCTCTTGCCGTTTCCCGACAATGGTTGTCCATTTTTATCAAATTTAGAACGACATGCCTTAGCCCAATGTTTTCCTTTTCCACATCTTGGACACAGGCCAGGTGGCTCTTTTTTTTTTTTTTTTTTTTTTTTTTTTTTGCTGTTTATTTAAGCTCGGGCAATTCTTTTTTAGATGACCGATTTGACCACAATTATAACATTTTCCCCCAAATGTTTTAACTTGTCCTCCTATAGCAACCCCTGTAATTGCTTGAGCCAATGGCATTGCCTTATGCATAGCTCCTCCAATCCCATCACAAGCCTTCACATATTCTGTAATTACATCAACTCCTGCTGAAACATTTCCTCTTAATGGCTTTATGGCTGATTGACACTCTGAATTTGCGTTTTGATAAGCCATTATTTCTACAATAACTTTTCGGGCGTTACCTGCAATGGATTTTTGAGCTGCATCTTGCAACCTTGCCACAAAGTCTGGATATGGCTCTTTAGAGCCTTGTCTGATTGAACTAAAAGAAGGGCATGAGGTTCCTGGGTCCTGAATGTTTTCCCAGGCCCTGAGGCAAATAGCCCTTACAGTTGTTCAATAGCCTCATTTTCATTACTGATTGTTGGTTAATAGTGTCCCAGTTTGGACCTCTTCCTAGCAATTGGTCTTCATCTATATAAGCAACAGGATTAGTAGCCTGATTTTTTCGTACCTGTTCTTGTACCCCATCAATCCACCAGGTTTTAAACTGGAGATACTGAGAGGGTGAAAGGGAAGATATAGCCAGAATTTCCCAATCATAAGAAATAAGTCTATTTCCATGAGCAATGGAATTTAATAATATTCTCGTATAAGGAGAGTTAGGTCCATATTGTTTAACTCCTGCTTGACTCCCTTTCCCGGCCGGCATCGGTTGTAACATTACCGGATATTGCCATGCCTCAAGATCTCCCTGTTTTCTGGCTGTAGCAATGGTCTCATGCAGTGCACTATCTTGTCCACTAGGTGGTACCGTAAGATCAAACGCCATCGCCGTGGGTTGATATAGTG
Source organism: Homo sapiens (assembly GCF_000001405.40). Lineage (NCBI taxonomy): Eukaryota > Metazoa > Chordata > Mammalia > Primates > Hominidae > Homo > Homo sapiens. The sequence goes on from NW_018654717.1 coordinate 5,148,781, forward strand.
CCTTGCTATTTGGCACAGGACGCACCGCCTGAGATCCATACTGAACCTCTGGAGACGGCGGATACTGAAATGCGGCTGGCGGCTGGTGTTGATAAACTACCGATGGTTGGGTTTTATTTTCTACTGGCTGGTATTGCGGATACTGTGCCTGGATTGGCATTTGAGATTGTGACATCACAGGCATCTGAACCGCGGGAGAAGGAGTTGGTGGCCATCGTGGTCTAAACTCTGATGGTCCAAATAATTCTGGACCTCCTTCCCCCAATTTTGATGATTCAGGATATATTACCTCCTGTAATTGATTATAGTCAACATTCTGCATTGACCAAGTCAGTACAGGCTCTACTGCATTTTTACAATGTGAACTTTCCATTCCTTTCTTAAACTCTGTTCCTGCCTCTTCTTCACAATCTATTACACAGCTTTCAGGGGCATCAAAGACTGAAACCCTATCTTCTTCTATTTGAAGTTGTTCTAAAGTTGCTTTAATAGTGGCCCAATCACTCCATACTGTAAGTGGGATGATTTTACCTTCCCTAATTGCTTGTTTTAGTTCTTTGCCAATTTTTTCCCAATCTTTTAAATCTAAAGTTCCCTTTTCTGGAAACCATGGGCGGAATTGTTCTATTGTTTGAAATAGCGTAACTAGATTTTCTGTAGAAGCTTTAACTCCCCCTCTTCTTAAGAGAATTTTAATGAAGCTGAGATAAGAAGCATATTTACTTTCAGTTTGCCCCATTGTTATCCTGGATTCCTCCCAGCACACAAGCTAACCGCAAGGCTGACTGTGGACGTACTCGGGAATCTCTCATCGGCTGTACTCAATGCTCACGTTCTTAGCGTACCTTCACCCTAGAGAAGGGCCCCACGCTGGGCTCCAGATGAAGGGGTGGTCTGCCCCTCCACACCTGTGGGTATTTCTAGTCAGGTGGGATGAGAGACGGAGAAAAGAAATAAGACACAGAGACAAAGTATAGAGAAACATCAGTGGGTCCAGGGGACCGGCACTCAGCACACCAAGGACATGCACAGGCACCGGCCTCTGAGTTCCCTCAGTTTTTATTGATTATGATTTTCATTATTTCAGCAAAAAGGAATATACTAGGAAAGCAGGGTGATAATAAGGAGGTCAACAAAAAACATGTGAGCAAAAGAATCTATATCATAATTAAGTTCAAGGGAAGGTACTATGACTGGACGTGTACGTAAGCCAGATTTATGTTTCTCTCCACCCAAAAATCTCAGTGGAGTAAAGAATAACAAGGCAGCATTGCTGCAAACATGTCTTGCCTCCCATCACAGGGCAGCTTTTCTCCGATCTCAGACTTAAACAAATGTACAATCGGGTTTACATCGAGACTTTGAGTTCCCAGGGGCAGGCAGGAGACAGTGGCCTTCCTCCATCTCAACTGCAAGAGGCTTTCCTCTTTTACTAATTCACCTCACCACAGACCCTTTATGGGTATCGGGCTGGGGGACAGTCAGGTCTTTCTCATCCCACGAGGCCATATTTCAGATTATCACATGGGGAGAAACCTTGGACAATACCCTGCTTTCAAGGGCAGAGGTCCCTGCGGCTTTCCACAGTGTATTGTGCCCCTGGTTTATTGAGACTAGAGAATGGCAATGACTTTTACCAAGTATACTGCTTGTAAACATTTGGTTAACAAGGCACATCCTGCACAGCCCTAGATCCTTCAAACCTTGATTTTATACAACACATGTTTTTGTGAACTCCAAGTTGGGTCAAAGTGGTTGGGGCAAAGTGGCTGGGGCAAAGCTACAAATGAACAACATCTCTGCAAAGCAATTGTTTTAAGTACAGATCTTTTTCAAAATGGAGTCTCTTATGTCTTCCCTTTCGACATAGACACAGTGACAGTCGGATCTCTCTTTCTTTTCCCTACACAAATAAAGAGCCCAGTGCCTTTTCTCATTGCTCAAGAGATTGAAGGGGTAGGAAGAAAAGATGTTAAGTTATAAACATGTTTCAGTTTTGGTACCACTTGAGCCAATTTATGTTTTGAAGAGGAAAGGGTCTTGCCTACTAAGTCAGTCCCTGGGTTTTCCTTCTGCTTATGGAATCCAGGCAATGGGCAAAGAGAAAAAGAAAACTAAGGAATCAGCCAGATGCAGTGGCTCATGCTTGTAATCTTGGCCCTTTGGGAGGTTGAGGCAGGCGGACTTCTTGAGTCCAGGAGTTCAAGACCAGCCTGGCCCACATAGCGAGACCCCGTTTCTACAAAAAATACAAAAAGGTGCTGAGCATAGTGGCATGCACCTGTAGTTCCAGTTACTTGGGAGGCTGAGGTGGGAGAACTACTTCAGCCCAGGAGGTTGAGGCTGCAGTGAGCCATGATTGTGCCACTATACTCCAGCCTGGGTGACAGAGTGAGGTCCTGTCTCAAAAGAAAACAAAAAAGATAAGAAAAAGAAAACTAGGGAATCTGGACAGAATAAGTTTATATATATAATAAAGAACTGAGATAGAACTGGGTTGACTGAATAATTATTTGAGTTGCTTTTGAGTGAATTTTTCCTATTGGAGTCTATCTTTGTTTTTTTGTGTGTGCGCGTTTTTTTTTTTTTTTTTTTTTTTTGTTTAGTTTTGTCTTTGTGTTTTTTTTGAGACTGGTCTCTGTTGCCCAGTCTGCTGGAGTGCAGTGGCACGATCTCAGCTCACTGCAACCTCTGCCTCCTGGGTTCCAGCAATTCTTCTGCCTCAGCCTCCCTAGAAGCTGGGACTACTGGGCATGTACCACCAAGCCCAGCTAATTTTTGTATTTTTAGTAGAGATGGGGTTTCACCATGTTGGCCGGGCCTGGTCTTGAACTCCTGGGCTCAAGTGATCCACCTGCCTCAGCCTCCCAAAGTGCTGGGATTACAGGTGTGAGCCCCTGCGCCCAGCTAGAGTCTACCATTCTTTGAATTCACTGCAGTGCAAAGACTGGAACATGTGGAACTCCAGGTGTATATGGGTTATGTAGAGATGCTAGGGGCAGATTAAGGAAGGAAAGATATGAGAAGCCTGCAGAGCATGCTTTCCCAGACTGTATGGGCCCTGGGAAAGGAGAAGTGGACAGAAAGGGAGCACTAGGTACCCTGGAAGAGAAGATTCATCCAAGTCATCAGGGAAGTTACTAATGCAAGGGAAAAAATTTAGAGACAGGGCCAGCCACGCTTCTTCCAAGTCCTTTCTGTCTGCTCAGTCACCTCTATGCTTATTTTTCTTCTTTCCTCTAAGTAGTGTCATGCGTTTTCTTCCTATTCCTAGTCGCTCCTAGTCAACTAACTCCTCTCTTTACCATCTTTTCATCAGAACTTGAAACCTCCTCTCCTTCATGTATTAGTGATCATGTTTCTCCATAATACTGCTAGAAACAAGAATTGAAACCTGGAAAACCTGCATTTGAGAACCAGATCTCCCTCTGCTAGCTATTTGAGAAGTTATTTTGTTCCATTCTTTTTGTTGTTGTCGAAACAGGGTCTCACTCTGTTGCCCAGGCTAGAGTGCAGTGGTTCAATCTTGGCTCACTGCAGCCTCAATCTCCTGGGCTCAATCAATCCTTCCACATCAGCCTCCTGAGTAGCTGAAACTACAGGTGTGTGCCACCACAGCTGGCTAATTTTTAATGCTTTTTTTTTGTTTACTTATTTTTTTTTTTTGTAGAGATGGTGTCTTGCTATGTTGTGTAGGCTGGTCTCAAACACATGGGCTCAAGCGATCCTCCTGCCTTGGCCTCTCAGATGAAATGGGAAAAGTTCTGTTGTCCCCCTCGAAGGGCATGCGATGCGGGTGTGGTTCGTTTATTCAGTGCCCCACTGCTCAAACCTCTAGGAGAGCATGCAGACAGGCAGGGAGACCCATGGCAGTGTCCAGGGGTGAATGTTTATAGTTGAAGCCCCAGTGGGCGTGTGTTACAGGGTGCTCTTTTAGTTTAGCCGTCTGTAGGTAGCTTGTGTTAGTCGGCTCAATTAGACCCCTGCCTTATTGCAAGGAGAGAGGGCTCTCTTTGTCCCGGGGTTCTTGCCTTGGTGTACCAGAAGTGGTGTGATCTCAGCTCACTGCAAGCTCCTACTCCTGGGTTCACGCCATTCTCCTGCCTCAGCCTTCCAAGTAGCTGGGACTACAGGCACCCGCCACCACGCCTGGCTAATTTTTTTGTATTTTTAGTAGAGATGGGGTTTCACTGTGTTAGCCAGGATGGTCTGGATCTCCTGACCTCGTGATCTGCCCGCCTCGGCCTCCCAAAGTTCTGGGATTACAGGCGTGAGAGTGCAAGGTTTTATTGAGTGGAAGTATCTCTCAGCAGATGGGCGTGCCAGAAGGGAGATGGTTTACCCCTGGAGTTGGATGAGTGGCCGGACTCTTCTCCGAATGTCCCAGCCAAACTCTGCGTTGTTCTGCAGTCAGTGGCCTGCGGTGTGACGGTGCCCATTGGTGCGTTCCTGTTGAAGTCCAGCACCCTTGTGTTCCTCTGCTGATGTGCTCCTCTCAAAGTCCAGCTGCCTGTGTCTGCCTGCTAGGGTCTCAGGGTTTTTATAGGCACAGAATGGGGGTGTGGCAGCCAGGGTGGTCTTGGGAAATGCAACATCTGGGCAGGAAAACAAAAATGCCAGTCCTCACCTAGGTCCGTGGACACAGGCCCTGGGGTGGAGCCCTAGCCAGGGACCACACCCTCCTCTACCCAGTACTTCCCTTCCTCACTTCCATATCATTTAAAGGGACCACATTCTTCCCTTCTGAGCACTTCCCTTCTGTATCACAAAGTTTTGGGATTATAGGCATGAGGCACTGGTCCCAGCCAATTCCGTTCTTTTAATGCAAACTAGAAAATAGGTGTTCAGAAAGGCCTGCCCTATCCACCTCAGGGAGTTGCTATGAAGATCAAATTAGACCATGTGCAACAGAAGTTTAGAAAAGATTCCAAAAGCACTGTGCAATGGGAATGTATTTTTAAACTCCACTGAGTGGACTTAAAACTATGGTTTTCTTTCTTTCTTTCTTTCTTTTTGGTTGAGACAGAGTTTCACTCTTGTTGCCTAGGCTGGAGTGCAGTGATGCCATCTTGGCTTACTGCAACCTCTGCCTCCCAGGTTCAAGTGATTCTCTGCCTCAGCCACCCGAGTAGCTGGGATTGCAGGCGCCCACCACCGTGCCTGGCTAATTTCTTTCTTTCTTTGTTTTTGTCTTTTTAGTAGAGATGGGGTTTCACAGTGTTGGCCAGGCTGGTCTCAAACTCCTGAGCTTAGGTGATCCACCCACCTTGGCCTCCCAGAGTGCTGGGATTAAGGCTTTAGCCACCGCACCCAACGTGTGTTTCTTTTTCAAGCAAGAAAACAAATGCCTCTCCCCAGCGCTCACTAAACAAATCCCTCTGTTATTTTTTTTTCCATAGGATTCTTATCCTTCTTGCCCCACTGCAAACAATCTATTTTCTTTTGGCCCTTCCGTCTGTCTGTGAAAGGGTCAGGCTTTCTAGCTAACCCTTAATCAAATATTTTTGATGACCACAGTCAAGACAGTACTTATTATTTTTTTGGGGGAACGGAGTTTTGCTCTTGTTGCCCAGGCTGGAGGGCAATGGCGCAGTCTCAGTTCACTGCAACCTCTGCCTCCAGGGTTCAAGTGATTCTCTTACCTCAGCCTCCCAAGTAGCTGGGATTACAGGTGCACAACACCACACCCAGCTAATTTTTGTATTTTTAGTAGAGATGGGGTTTCTCCATGTTGGTCCGGCTGGTCTCGAACTCCTGACCTCAGGTGATCTACACACCTCAGCCTCCCAAAGTGCTGGGATTACAGGGGTGAGCAACCCTGACTGGCCAGGACAGTGCTTATTAATTCCTGAGATGCATCCAGGAGCACATGACCTGGCTGTGACTGTTCTAACAGAGTTCCCCAAATGGGTGGCTCAGGACAACAGAAAGTCATTCTCTCCAGTTCCAGAAGCTTGATGTCTGAAACCCGCAGGGCCATGCTCCCTCTGAAGGCTCTAGGGGTGAATCCTTCCTTGCCTCTTCTGGCTTCTGGTGGTTGCTGGCATTCTTTGGCTTGTGTCCACATCATTCCATTCTCTTCCTTCATTCTCATGTGGCCTTCTCCCCTGTGTGTCTCTGTCTCTTCTTCTCTTCCCATGAGGATGCCATTATTACTCGATTTAAGGTTCACGCTATTCCAATATGACCTCTTTGTAATTAGATCTGCAGTGACCCTATTTTCTTTTCTTTTTTTTGTGATGGAGTCTTGCTCTGTTGCCCAGGCTGGAGTTCAGTGACACAATCTCAGCTCGCTTCAACTCTGCCTCCTGGGTTCAAGTGATTCTTCAGCCTCAGCCTCTGAAGTAGCTGGGATTACAGGTGCACGCCACCATGCCTAGCTAATTTTTATGTTTTTAGTAGAGACAGGGTTTGCCATGCTAGCCAGGCTGGTCTCGAACTCCTGACCTCAAGTGATCCTCCTGCCTCAGCCTCCCAAAGTGCTAAGATTACAAGCATGAGCCACCATGCCCTGCCCCTATTTTCTAATAAGGTCACATTCTGGGATTCCTGGTGAATGTGAATTTTTGGAAGACAGTATTCAGTCTAGCAAAAGGCAGAACATCGTCATTTTCTTCCCTACCTCAGAAATAAAGAAGTTAACTTCAACCCCTCTGAGAGAGAGAGGCTTCCTGAGCTTCCAACAATCAATTATCCAAATATTAGTCACAGAAGGGCACTAAGGGTTGTGCACAGCACGTGGCCAGCCCATTCTCTGAGTCTGTCAAGTTTAAGGTGAACGCTAATCCTGAATGAGTCTTAAAATGTACTTGGCATATCCTGTTCATTGTAAAATGTTCTCACATTGTGATGGCTGGGGCTTCCCTCTCAGGTGTAATCTGCGAAGTCAGACGTGACACAGCCTGGGTGAGGTGGGCCAAGCCGGGAACTGGGTTAGGAGGGAAGCTGGGGAATGATCTCCAAGGTCTCAGATCCCAAACTGGCTTTAGCCAGATTCACCCAGAGGGATCTCATAAAAAATGCACATTCCGGGGCCCACCCCAGACCTAATGAATCAGAATTACCTGGGAAGGAGCCTGGGGAGCTCTGTTTTCAGAAGCAGCCCAGCCGAATCCTACGGTCAGACAGGGCTAGGAATCGAAACTCAGTCTAGCGCGGTAGTTCCCAAACTCGTCTGTGCTTCAAAAAATACAGATGCTGATGTCCAGACATGGTGGCTCATGCCTATAATCCCAGCAGTTTGGGACGGTGAGGCGGGAGTATCACTTGAGCCCAGGAGTTTGAGACTAGCCTGGAGAACATAAGGAGATACTGTCTCTATAAAAAATTTAAAAATTAGCCGGGCGTGGTGGTGCCCGCCTGTGATCCCAGCTACCGTGGAGGTTGAAGTGGGAGGGTTTCTTGAGCCCAGGAGTTGGAGCCTGTAGTGAGCTATGATTGTGCCACTGCACTCCAGCCTGGGTAACAGAGCGAGGCCCTGTCTCAAAAACAAAACAAAACAAAAAACGGAGTCTATGTCCCATTCCAGAGGTTGAGGTTTAATTGTTCTTGGGTGTGGCCTGGGTTTTGGAAGATTTAAAAAAAAAATCTCAGGTGACCCTAAAGTGTAGATGAGTTTGGAAACCACACATTTAAGGCACACTTGAATGGGGGAGCAGTGAGGTGGCGCGGGCTAGCCGGCCAGAACCCAGGGGTGGGCCAGTAGGAACCAGCATTGCAGAGGCCATTAAGGCTGGGAAGCATAGTGTCTGGGGCCCATAACAATGCTTCGGCATGAATGCTTTAGACCTAAGACAATTGGCTCCTAAATGTGAAAACTGCAAGGCTGAAATGAATGCATGTTTAATGCCTTACAACATTGTCAAGTGATCAGCTGCAACTCCTTTCTGAGGGCATGATGCCTGAGATATGCCTGTAATGCGGGTTGATTTTAATTAATTTAATATGGTGTGGAGTGGGGCCTTCAAAAGTAAAGACGTCAGTTCTAAGTTGGTTGCAGGGTTCTGGGCAAAGGTCTTAAAACCCCATGGTGAGCAGATGGCCAATCCTGAACACCCCAATTTTAAAACAGGGCTTTTTTTCCAAGAGACTTTTTGAAAATAGCTCCTATTTTGAGAGGAGGAACCCTGGCAGGAGAGAGCCAGAGTTAAGCCCAGCTGAGAGGGGGTTGGTAGGCAGGGGCCTGCCTGATCCTCACTGAAGCTTGATACTCAGGGTGAGCTTCCTAAACCAGTGCAGATTTGCCGGCCCACTGAGCCTCCCAGATGAGAACCTGCATTTCAACAAGGTCCTTGATGCAGCAAAGTTTGAGATATACTGGGCTAGAACACTCAGGGGACACAAAGGTTCTCTGAAAACTAAGGAAAATAGGCAGGGTGTGGTGGCTCATGCCTGTAATCCTTGTATTTTGGGATGCCAAGGCGGGCGGATCACCTGAGGTCAGGAGTTTGAGACCAGCCTGGATCAACATGGTGAAACACCATCTCTACAAAAAATACAAAAATTAGCTGGGTGCGGCCGGGCACAGTGGCTCATGCCTGTAATCCCAGCACTTTGGGAGTCCGACGCGGGCAGATCACGAGGTCAGGAGATCGAGACCATCCTGGCTAACACGATGAAACCCTGTCTTTACTAAAAACACAAAAAAATTAGCCGGGCGTGGTGGCAGGTTCCTGTAGTCCCAACTACTCGGGAGGCTGAGGGAGGAGAATGGCATGAACCTCGAGGAGGAGCTTGCAGTGAGCCGAGATTGCACCACTGCACTCCAGCCTGGGCAACAGAGCCAGACTCTGTCTCAAAAAAAAAAAAAAAAAAAAAAAAAAATTATCTGGGTGAAGTGGCAGGTACCTGTAGTCCCAGCTACTTGGGGGGCTGAGACAGGAGAATAGATTGAACCTGGGAGGCGGAAGTTGCAGTGGCCCAAGATCGCACCACTGCACTCCAGTCTGGTGGCAGAGTGAGACTCCATCTAAAAACATAAAAAAAAAATACACAAATAAATAAAAAATAAAAATAAATACTGGGCTAGAAGACCCAGGAGACCCGAAGATTCTCTCAAAACTAAGGAAAATAATCTAGGTCACAAATATATTCTCTTCCTCCTTCTCCCCATTGCCCCCCTTCACCAGTAATCTTTATAGACTCAAATCGAGTTGATGTTCTATAATCAATTCTAGTCACTTTTATTTGTATTTATTTATTTTAGAGATGGGGGTCTCACTCTGTTGCTCAGGCTGGTCTCAAATTCCTGGGCTTAAGTGATCCACCCACCTAGGTCTCCCAAAGTGCTGGGATTACAGGCATCAGCCACTGCACCCGGCTGTCACTTTTATTTTTGATGTTCAAGTTATAAGCTAATACCTGTGAGACCATAGATTCTTTTTATGCACTCAATACACTTTCTTGTTTACCTTATATTTGTATTATGGAAAAGTTCTGTTTTTTCCACTTGTTTATATTTGATAATGAAGCCCTCTGTGCCTATCACCAGCCTCAGCCGCCATCATCTCATTACCAAGCTGGGTTATTTTGAAACAAATATCTTCTAATATTTAGCCGGTGTTCAAATTTCCCTAACCATCCTAAAGGAATGTTTAGAACAGTTGTTTCATTGGAAAGAAGGTCAAAACAAATACATTTTACATTTTTAGGCCAGTCTTGAAAGTAAGTGTAAAACCATGTGTGGGGTAGGAGGTGGGACTAGACTCTCAAGGTGGGGCCTGGATACCAGACCCAGTTGAGGACTAGCTAAGACAGATTCCACAGTGAATAACACCAGGAGGTGGGAATATTAAGGTCCATTGTGAAGGATGGCTACCACAATTTTTTGATCAACTAGTTATCAACCCTGACTGAAGCTGAGAGAGATTTGTTTTTGCTTTTTTTTCTTTTTTTTCAGAGACAGGGTCTTGCTACGTTGCCCAGGCTGGACTCAAACTCCTGGGCTCAGGTGATTCTTCTGCCTTAGCCTCCTGAGTAGCTGAGACTACAGGTGTGTGCCACTGTGCCCAGCAAGATTTTAAAAAATACGTATGCCCGGACACCACTCTAAACCAACTAAATGAGAATCAGATATCGTGAAGTCACTAATCATTTTGCTCCTGGGTCTTTATGACAGTTTTGCTCCTGGGAAACTCTTGGGAATGTGGTAGAGAGAGAGAAAGAGATGGGAAAATAAGATTTTAAGAAGTGTTGCTATGCATTTTGAAAATAATTTTTATTTGGTGTTTGTCTTGAGGGAAGGCGGTAAACATTTCAATTGCCTTTAAGTGTGCTTGGATGCTGGAACGATGGTTCTTTGAATGCAGCGTCAAACTGGCATTGGGTCACATGGCAGCCAGCATTAACCTTTATGCCACATTTATAAAACATGAATGTCATGAGCCCACTCTCAGAGACCTTATAATTTGGAGGGTTAGGTCAGATCCACAAATCTCTTCTATCTCATGGTAAAGGAAACCTGGCGTGTAGCAGGAGATGGTGTGATAACAATAATATATCGCATGATCAGTATTTGTATTCTTCTTATCAATATTAAACTTTTTGACCTCCTCCATTGTGTCATCAATTTGCTTAATACAGTTTCTGCCTCAGCGTCTGTTTTTAGGCCTGGCATAAGCTGTTTGAAACCCAGGCACATACCCCACCCATCATCTTTGGCCTAGTTAACACCTCCCCTCCCTGCGTGGTGGTTTGGAGAACCTGCTTGTTCCTCATCCCACTGATCCCAAACCCAGGACACCCCACAGCTGCTGACCAGGATTAAACCTAAGGGAGATTTAATGCCGTTAAATCAGAAGAAATTCTGATTCTCAGGGACTGACATTCATTCACTTAAATACTTGCAGAGTCGGCCAGGTGTGGTGGCTCACACCTGTAATCCCAGCACTTTGGGCAGCCGAGGTGGGTGGATCACGAGGTCAAGATTTCGAGACCAGCCTGGCCAACATGGTGAAACCCCGTCTGTACTAAAAATACAAAAATTAACTGGTATAGCTGTGCGTGCCTGTAATCCCAGCTACTCAGGAGGCTGAGGCAGGGGATTTGCTTGAACCTGGGAGGTGGAGGTTGCAGTGAGCCAAGATTATCCCATTGCACTCCAGCCTGGGCAGCAGAGCGAGACTCTGTCTCAAAAAACAAAAAACCCAAAAACTTGCAGAGTGAATTTAGGAAACCATGTAGTCTACAGTTTGATGCAATGTCTTCCTTTTCCTCTTTCTCAAATATTTTGAGCCAGGTACTATCCTAGATTGTCTTGTGATATTTACAATCTAGGAGAAGGCAGGAGAGAGAACTAAGAACAGAGAGCATGTTCTGAGATGTCTGCTGTGTTTGCAGGTACCTTCCCTCAATTTCCCTACTCACTGGCCATGCTGGAAAGCAGGTCTTGGAGCCATATTTGTACCATGGTACTTCCCCTCCCTATACTCAATTGGTTGGCCAGAAGCCCAATTGTCATTCTCTCTCTCTCTCTCCCTCTCCCTCTCTTCCTTCCTCCCTCCCTCCCTCTCCAAGATATCCAGTAACTGATTGATCAGCTGGCGGTGGGCTCTGCTGGCTGCCAGGGTGGGCCACCAGCAAAAAGGGAAAATTGGTTGTGAGTGAGAAGAAGAGATAAGAAAGTCCACAGGGCTGATAAGAAAGACCATGGGCTTCCAGGTGCGGTGGTTCACGCCTGTAATCCCAGCACTTTGGGAAGCCAGGATGGCCGGATCACGAGGTCAGGAGATCGAGACCATCCTGGCTCACACGGTGAAAGCCCATCTCTACTAAAAATACAAAAATTAGCTGGGTGTGGTGGCGGGTGCCTGTAGCCCCAGCTAATTGGGAGGCTGAGGTGGGAGAATGGCGTTAACCCCAGGAGGTGCAGCTTGCAGTGAACTGAGATTGCACCACTGCACTCCAGCCTGGGCGACAGAGCGAGACTCCGTCTCAAAAAAAAAAAAAAAAAAGAAGAAAAAAAGAAAAAAAAGAAAGAGACCATGGGCTTCTGAGAGCAAGAAAGAGGAATTTTGGTTTCTGTAACTGCAGTTTCCATTCTCTCATGGCCTCTCATTTGTTTCTTGTGCCCATGAGTTTGCCTGTTAGAGATAAGGTGTGTTTCTTGTCCTCAAGCTCATGCAAATGGGTTTCTGTTTCTTACAATCATTGTTCCCAGATATGGATGGTGACTGATGCTCTACTAAATGCTGAAAAAAGGCAGAGTGGAAGCACAGAAAAGCGGGCTTCTCTGAGGAGGTGACGTTAGAGCCCAGTTGGAAGGCAGGAGTAAATGTGCACCATGATTTTTTAGGATTAAAACCAAGTATGTCACTGCTTGGGCACATGTAGATAGAGGTGATTTAACGGTAAAGTGTCCCAGTTGTACCCATTGTCAGTTAGCTCACCACAGGGATTATGTAGCCCTGAGTTTGCTTAGTGCTTA